>NC_000011.10:43090303-43393333 GCF_000001405.40 Homo sapiens | reverse complement strand
GACTTCCGTGAGCTGTTCTAACTTGGGGAGGCAGCTGTGGGAACACCCTGACTTTATAGCTAATTTGTCTGGTGGCCTTGACTTGCGACTGGCATCTGAAGTGCAGGTAGCCTTGTGGGACTGAGTCCTTGACCTGTGGGGTCTGTGCTAACTCCAGGTAGTTAGTGTCAGAATTGTATTGAGTTGTAGAACACCTAGTTGATGTCGGGAGAACTACCGAATTAGTCGTGTGAGAAAAAACTCCATACATTTGGTGTCAGAAGTGTTTTGAGCAGAAACGGTCCAAAGTGGTACTTTGTTATGGAAGCCTGAGCAGACAAATACAACCACCTAACCTCAATCAGGATTCAGAGCCTTTGCTGTGGCTTAGAATGCTCTTCCGTGGTCTTTGAATTTTGGTTTCTTCTTATGATTCAGGTGTCAGCTTAAATTTCACGTTTCCGGATAGGATAACCCCAACTGCTAGATCTAAAGTAGCCACCCAGTTACTTTCTGTTTTAATTTTCTATAGAACACTTACCACTATGGTCTACTCTCAACTAACCATTCTCTGAAGGACACTGTAAAATCCTGGGCCAGTTTTCTCTTATTACTCATCAAGTTCTGGGAATGTAAAAGTTTTACATTACCTTCAGAAAAATAAGATGAAGATGGTAACACAGCTACAGAAATAACCATATAAAGCATCTGAAAGTCAAGTTATTATCGGACTTTTATCTGAAAATTCCTCTCAATATACAAAGCTATGTATTTGAAAAAACTGTATACAAAGGTGGCAATTATACATCTTATTTTATACCACTATAATACTGCTTAGAAACTAAACTGCATTTTATGATACTCTTTAGGCACAAAGAATAGCAAAAACATT
This sequence comes from Homo sapiens, assembly GCF_000001405.40. Classification (NCBI taxonomy): domain Eukaryota; kingdom Metazoa; phylum Chordata; class Mammalia; order Primates; family Hominidae; genus Homo; species Homo sapiens. The sequence goes on along the minus strand of NC_000011.10, from coordinate 43,392,462 downwards.
TTCTAAATGCCCACGTTAATCCTGAATGATACATTTACATTCCTGGGTCCTGTTACATAATTCCCTATTTCATTTTTTTTAAAGTAGATAGTCTCTTAAAAGAAAGTTACAGAAGATTTTGTTGCTGGTGGTGATTCTTTTTCTGTCTCAGAAAACAGTAATAATACATGTATTGTGTATAGATATATTAACGACACTAAAACATTAACTTTCTTACTTACACAATGTATATAATCCAGCCTATAAACGCTGTTGCTTATGTCAGTTTATATTTCGTTTTTCATCAGTTTAGATAAAACTTTCCAGCATCTCTTCCTGGGAAAGGAGACTAGTCTATCCATATTTCTCCCCAGCACTGAACTATGCAATTTGCATCAATGTAAGTGTAATTTTAAATCGTCTTCTAGATAAAAACAAATTAGTCAGGTATTTTCCAAGATAAAAATATCTTCTGTTTACACAGAGCCCGCTGGCTCAGCCCGCTGGCTCTTTAAGTGACTGATGACTTACCTTCTGTAGGCCTTCATGAATGAGGTGACCTATGTCATCTATACTCCTTCCTAACCGTTTAGATAAATATGTGAAGATTGGGTCTTCTTTAGGTAGCAGAGGTGCAGAAAGATTAACTCTCTCCTGTACACCCTGAAGAGAAGAAAAAGATTCAAAAGACATATCAAAGGATATAAAAGATGACAAATAATTCAGTATCTTGTAGTGTTTATTTTGAAATACTAATATTTTGGAATTTTAAGAAATAAGAGATGTCTATAAAATTACAAAGCTGTCAGGAAGGAGAGAAGAAAGAGAAATGGTCTTTATAAGTGAGAGACCAACTGAAAGAAGAACGCAACGCAAAAAAAAAAAAATCCTAAAGTTCTCTACTTACTCTCAAGTGCTGAAAAGCATGTATACTATATGGAAGTTCTAGAATTTTAGTACAATCAGGTTGCTCTGGGTCTGGAGGGACAGGAGATTCTGTGTCTATATAATCTTCAGGACTAAAATCAAAAAGAAGCAATGAATGAATAAAAGGTGAGATAAACAATATTTTATTTATTTATTTAGAGAAAGGGTCTCATTCTGTTGCCCAGGCTGGAGTGCAGTGGCATGATCACAGCTCACTGCAGCCTTGATCTCCTAGTCTCAAGCGATCCTCTCACCTCAGCCTTCCAAGTAGCTGGGACAACAGGCATGCACCACCACAATCAGTTAATTTTTTTTACTTTTTGTTGAGACAGGTCTCACTATGTTGCCCAGGGTAGTTCTGAACTCCTGGCCTCAAGTGATCCTCCCATCTTGGCCTCCCAAAGTGCTGGGATTACAGGCGTAAACCACTGTGCTCAGTCAATAATACTTTAAGAAATGTCAAATTTTCCCCATATTCTCATAGCATCTCAACTTTACACAATTGTTAGTCAATATTCATACCTTTTCACATAGCTGCCATGAAGAGTCAAACATTTTGGGAGTTTGAATTAAAGTCAAGAATCACAGGGAAAATAGTAGATAGGTCACAGAATAAGATCATGGACTTTTTAATAACTAATACAACTGCTCAATTGTCTAGAAACGTTAAACCAATTTATACTTCCACTGACAGTCTCTCTACATTTTTACCAGTTACTATTTTTTTGATATGCTTTCCATTTTGGTAGATGAAAACTATCTAAATGTTTTCATTTGTACTTTTTTGATAATTTCTGAGAAATTTTTTTCCATGTTTATTGGCCATAGGTAGTTTTTGTTAATTTTTTTAACTACAAATTGTTCAATTTTATTTTTTTCTCTTTTTTATTTTTCATTTTTATTTTTTTATTTTTATTTATTTTTTATTTTTTATTTTTTTTGAGACGGAGTCTTGCTCTGTCGCCCAGGCTGGAGTGCAGTGGTGCCATCTTGGCTCACTGCAAGCTCTGCCTCCTGGGTTCACGCCATTCTCCTGCCTCAGCTTCCCGAGTAGCTGGGACTACAGGTGCCCACCACCATGCCTGGCTAATTTGTTTTGCATTTTTAGTAGAGACGGGGTTTCACCGTGTTAGCCAGGATGGTTTTGATCTTCTGACCTCGTGATCTGCCCGCCTAGGCCTCCCAAAGTGCTGGGATTACAGGTGTGAGCCACCGCACCCGGCCTTTTTTTTAAGAGACAGGGTCTCACTCTGTCACCCAGCCTGGAGTCTGGGCTAGGGTAGAGTGGCACCATCATAGCTCACTGTAACCTTGAATTCTTGGGCTCAAGTGATCCTCTCAGTTTAGCCTCCTGAGTAGCTACAACTACAAGTGCACACCACCATGCCTGGCTAATTTTTAACATTTTTTTTTGTAGAGATGGGGTCTCGCTATATTGCCCAGCCTTGTCTCAAACTCCTGGCTGTTGGCAATCTTCCCGCCTTGGCCTCACAAAGTACTGGGATTATAGGTGTGAGGCACCACGCCCAGCCAAGTTGTTCCATTTTCTACTGTGGTGTTAAATATTTTAAATTAATTTATAAGAATTCTACATGTAGTATGTATTTTGAATTTTCAAATTCGAAAACTCATCTGTGATTGAAGCTTACCCTTATTACAGAAATAATTTCTTACTAATTTGAGAAAGGAAATGTTTGAAACAGCAATTTTATTTTTGGAAAGAGAACTTCTTTACCTGATGTCTTTGCTCTCCAAAGTTATGTATGTGCCATCATATAGATCCAGGTCCCCTAAGGGCACCTTGGCTTTGATGCAGTCTGGGTCTTCTTTATTATGTCTCTGTTCCAGTCCTGTGTCTCTGTCCTCATTCTCTTCTATGTGAATTTTTTGAGCAACTAATTGTTTCTGTTGAGAAGAAAGTAAGAACAGAATGGATTCTTCTAATATTTTAGTCTAACTACCATTGAAGAGAAAGGGGAATCTGAGCTGAAGAAGTCAGAATCCTCTATGTAGGAAGACAAGAATTCTGAAAATGCCCTTAGTTAACTTAGTCAACATACACAAGCTTCTCAAAAAAGATGTCCACATACAGAAAGTAACAGAACACAACATTTATCATACTGACACACATGGGCCTTCATAAGATGATTTCTGACTACCCACGAAGCACATCTACTAACTTAACTTTCCTGGCACAAAATGGCTCTGCAGTGAAAACAAACCTGTCAGGTTGTTTCAATCCTTCAAGACATAGTACATGTTGCTATTGGTACCTGGGTATTCCAGTTAATTCCTGTCAACCATAAAATATCTATTTTTTCAAATGTACAGACAATAACACAAATATCCACATTTTCACCACCCGTATCTATCATATGCCAATATTTTATCTCCCCCCTCCACCCTTTTTTTTTTTTTGAGACAGTGTCTTGCTGTCACCCAGGTTGGAGTGCTGCAGTGGTGTGATCACAGCTCACTGCAGCCTCGACCTCCTGGGCTCAAGCGATCCTCTCACCTCAGCCTCCCAAGTATCTGGACTACAGGCATGTCCCACATGCCCAGTTAATTTTTTTTTTTTTTTTGAGACAGGGTCTCACTTTGTCACTCAGGCTGAGTGCAGTAGTGCGATCACAGCTCACTGCAACCTCAAACTCCAGGGCTCAGGGGATCCTCCTGCCTCAGCCCCCTAAATAGCTGGGACTACAGGTGCACACCACCATGTCTGGCTAATTTTTTTTTTTTTTCCATACAGATGGGGTTTTACCATGTTGCCCAGGCTGGTCTCAAACTCCTGAGTGCAAGCAATCCACCTGCCTTGGCCTCACAGAGTACTGGGATTACAGGCTTCAGCCACCATGCCTGGCCAACTTTTCTATGTTTTATAGAAATGGAGTCTCACTATGTTGCCCAGGCTGGTCTCAAACTCCTGGGCTCAAGCAATCTTTCCACCCTGGCCTCCCAAAGTGTTGGGACTACCGGCATAAGACACCATGCCCAGCTCAGATTTTTTTTTTAAAAGAAAAAAAAAAAGGGAGTTCAAGGTATTCTTTAATGTCTTCTAAATCTCTAACTTCTTATAATTAATCTGAATTTATGTGTCATTTCCATGTATATTTTTATAAATATTTGTATAAAATACTACATTACTCTTACTCTCCTAAAATATTACTTTCATTATATGTGTATCAAAAATCAAAATACAGCATTGCTTTGTAAGTTTTAAAATTTTATATAAATGGTATCATACTTAATGTATCTACAACTTAAAAAAAGTATGTATGTTTTTGAGATTTATCTACATTAGTCAGGATAGCTCTAAATTTTTCATTTAAATGGATGTATAAATATGTATTTATCCATTTTCCTGTAAACATTTATGTTGCTTCTTTAAGAAAAACTTTCTTTGCTATTAAAAATGCTACTATATTCTTATAAATGTCTCCTTGTATACATGTGAAAAATTCTAGCAAGGGCAGAAATATGGGGGTCATATGGGATGCACATTTTCAGTTTTATATAGACGTGTCAATCTGCTTTTCACAGTGATTATAACAATTAGAATTGTCCCAGTAGATCATAACACCTATATCCCCAGAATCTTAGCAATGTTTGGTTTTGTCATACTTTTTAACTTATGCCAATCAAATAGGTATGAAACATTATTTTGTTATATTTATTATGGTAGTAGACTATGTTATTGTGATGGACTGTATTACTATTCACTAATATCCTGCCCCTCCTTACATGATACATCACTGTTTTTGCTGGACTCAGGCTTGGGCAACATGACTTGCTTTGGCCAATGTAACATAAGTCCCATGTGACCCTTTTATAGGAAAGGTTTTATAGAGTTAGTGTGTGCTTCACCATGTTCTTTCTTTTTCCCTCAGCTACTGAGAATGCCAAAATTACAGACAGAGGCTGCTCTGTCGGCCTAGGTCCTGTCTTATGGATCACAGTGACATGGTACAGATCCCCAACAGAGCCCCAAATGATCACTTAGCATGACCTTATTGTTTATGCCATTAAGATTTTTGGGGTTATTATTAATGGGGACAGAGCCTATGATCTGTTTCCAATTATTCCCTCCACACTTTTCATGGAGATATGCTATCCTGCCCTACTGACTTCAAGGCATGGCCACATGACTTGCTTTGGCCAATGGAATGTGAGTAAAGATGGTGTATGTCACTTCTCAGTAGAAACTTTAACCAGGCTTATATTATTTGGTTGTTCTTCCTTGAGCCTTCACTTTCCTTCATGAGAACAGCACTGAGGTTCTGCGGGCTATTTGTTGCCAATGCAAAAGCTGACTAATACACTATAAAATATGGACTATATCAACCAATAGAATAATATTTAATAAGATTGAACATATTTTCATATGTTTATGAGATATTTTGTGAATTAACTGTTTAAGTTTGCTTATTTTTTCCCCCCAATAGCTTTTCTTCTTTAAAAAACTGATTAGTAGGATTGGCGTGGTGGCTTGTGCCTATAATCTTAGCATTTTGGGAGTCCAAGCCTAGAGGATCACTTGAGTTCAGGAGTTTGAAACCAGCCTGGCAATACTGCGAGACCCCATCCCCATGAAACAAAGTTAGCCAAGTATGATGGTGGTGCTTGCCTGTAGTCCTAGCTACTGGAGAAGCTGAGGTAGGAGGACTGCTTGAGCCCAGGCAATGAGGTTATAGTGAGCAATGATCATCCTACCTGCTTTCCAGCTGGGGCAAGAGTGAGACCCTGTCTCACAAAAATGAATAAATAAATAAATAAATACATACATACGTAAGAAATTAATCTATAGAAATTTATGGAAAAAGTAATTCTATAAACTCATCCTCTATGAGTTATATGCATGGCAAGTATCAGCTTTTAGTTTGTAGCTTATCTTTTAATTTTGTCATTTGAAGAAAAACTTTTAATTATAAGGTGGGCAACTTTATCAACTGTTTTCTTAATTGTTTGTACTTTGTTTTATTTAAGAAATCCTTCCCAAACCTGAGATCGTAATTACATCAATCAACTACAGTCAAGTACCACATAAAGATGTTTTTGGTTAACAAGGGACCCCAGCAGTGGTCTCATAAGATTATAATACCACATTTTTACTGTACCTTTTTTATGCTTAGTTATACAAATACTTACCATTATGTTACAACTGCCTACAGTATTCAGTACAGTAACATGTTATACAGGCTTTATCACCTAGGTTTGTGTAAGTACACTCTATGATGTTCCCACAATGGTGAAATCCCCTAACAACACATTTCTCAGAGCATATTCCTGACGTTAAGCAATGCATGACTATCAATATTTTTTTTTAGTAAAAAGTTTCACTTTTCATACTTAGATTTTTAAACTGCATAGGAAATTTTTTTTTTTTTGTACATTGAAAGGTATTTTTTTCCCACATGGACAATCAATTTCCTAATATCATTTATAAAAAGTCTATCCTTTCCCCATTTATTCAATCAATTTTTATATTTCATGTTTTCTAAAACCTTACATTATACCTAAGTTTTCAAATATATTGGTCTAGTTTTTGTAGTATTAATAATTATGTCTTTAGTTTAAAAAATCTTTATCTGATATCTGCTTTTTCATCACTAACATTTCTTTTTTTCTGTCATTTCTTTTTCTGGTAAGCCTTGCTGCTAGAGTTTGGTTTATTTTTTAAATAAACAATACTGTTTTCTTGAGACTGTTTAATTTCTTATGTTATTTATAATATTATTTCCATATTTATATTAGGTTATTTTAGTTATTTGGTTTATTATGTTTTCTAACTCGTGTTGAATATTTAACTCATTTCTTTTCAGTCTTTTTTTTTTTTTTTCTTTTTAAAGACAAGCTCTTGCTATGCTGTCCTGTCTGGACTCAAACTCCTAGGCTCGAGCAATCTTCCCGCTTCAGCCTCCCAAGTATCTGGGATTACAAATGTGAGTTACTGTGCCATTTATTTTAATAAATGCATTTTTCTATAAATTCATATCTAAATATATCTAAGCTTCATTTCAGGATTTTTGAAATGAAGTGTTCCCACCATAGTCTAAAGTTTTGTGAGTTTTCTCTTTAAACCATGGGTGATTTAAGAATGCCTTCAAGATTTTCAAAAATTTGTGTTTTCTCTCTTTTTTCCTGGGTATGTGTATTTTATTTCTTTTAACTTAATTGCACTGTGATCAGAGAACATGTTATGCATGATAACAAAACTTTGTAAATTATTTCCTTTATATCCTGGCAGTGGTCAATTCTGGTAAATATTCTACTTGAAAACACTGTATGTTATCTTCGTTCAATTTAGGGCATACTCGCTCCCTCTATCTCTTTTTCTATGTCTTGCTGTATACATCTACATATAGATATATATAGATCCAAAGGTGTTACCTCCTGTATTTTATAGTATTTTTGTTGGACTTATCAGTTTCTGATAAAGATCTGCAAAATCGCTTCCTCTGGTTGACTTTTCATGTAATTCTGTTAGTTTTTGCTGTCTTGATATAAACATACTTATATCCATGAGGCCGAGTTGTTAGGTACATACAAGTATACGATATTATATTTTTTGGTAGGTTGTTAGCAAGTAGTATCTGTCTATTAATTATTTTAGGCTCTTATTTTGCCTGAGACAGGCCCACTGTTCTTTACCATTGTAAATCTAAAATTCTGAAAACCTAAAGCTTTAAAAAAATTTTTTGCATTAAAATTCACATGGCAACAAAACCTGATGGAAAGCCATTTTACAGTCTTTATACTCTTACCATGCATGGTCATACATGTCACTAAAGAAATATTAATGTATCTGATTGTAGAGTTTGAAATAGCCCTGAGAAGTAGAATGAAATATAAAATATTTGTGCCCATCACATTTCTTTTTTTTGTTTTGTTTTTTGAGACCTGGTTTTGGTATGTGACCCAGGCTGCTAGAGTGCAGTGGTGTGGTGCAATCTCAGCTCACTCAACCTCAGCATCCCTGGCTCAGGTGATCCTGCCACCTCAGCCTCCCAAGTAGCTGGGACTATAGGCACACACCACCATGCTGGCTAAGTTTTCTATTTTTGGTAGAAACAGCATTTCTCCATGCTGCCCAGGTTGGTCTCGAACTCCCGGGCTCAAGCAATCTGCCCGCCTCGACCCCCCAGAGTGCTGGGATTACAGGCGTGAGCCACTGTGCCTGGCCTAACATTTCTAAAATTAAAAAACCAAAACAAGAAACCATATTCCTAAATACATATATAGCCCCAATGATTTCAAATAAGGAACTGTGAACTTGTATAAATACATCCATATCACCTTTCTTTTGCTTAGCATTTGCATAGTAGATACTTTTTCTATGTTCTCTCCTCTCCTCCTACATCCTCTTTTTTTATTTGTAAGTTTGGTAACTATAGATTTCTTTTTTTTTTTTTGAGACAGGGTCTCACTCTGTCACCCATGCTGGAGTGCGGTGGTACTATCATAGCTCACTGTAACCTCAAACATCTGGGCTCATGCAATTCTCCTGCCTCAGCCTCCCCAGTAGCTAGAACTACAGGTGCCTGCCACCATGCCCAGCTAATTTCAAAATTATTTTGTAGAGACAGGGTCTTAAACTCCTGGTCTCAAGCAATCCTCCTGCCTTAGCCTCCCAAAGTACTAGGATTACAGGTGTGGGCCACCACACCTGGCCTGCATGTCTATTATTTTAGTGCTTGCCCCTATTTTTTTTTGTTTTTGGTTTTCGTCAGTAAATATTTCAGTATGTTTTGAAAAGAAAAGCCTCTTTTGTAAAAAATAAAACCACCACACCACTATCACATGTAAAAAATAGTAATTCCTTAATATCAAATATTCAGTCTGCATTCAAATTCCCAATTGTTTCTTCTCTTTTAAAAATAGAGTTTGTGGCCGGGCACGGTGGCTCCCGCCTGTAATCCCAGCCAGCACTGTGGGAGGCCAAGGTGGGCGGATCCACCTGAGGTCAGGAGTTTAAGGCCAGCCTGGTCAACATGGTGAAACCCTGTCTCTACTAAAAATACAAAAAAAAAAAAAAAATTAGCCAGGCGTGGTGGCACATGCCTGTAATCCTAGCCACTCGGGAGGCTGAGGCAGGAGAATCGCTTGAACCCCAGGAGGCGGAGGCTGCAGTGAGCTGAGATTGCGCCATCGCACCCCAGCCTGGGGGACAAGAGCAAGACTTCATCTCAAAAAAATAATAAAAAAATAAAAAAATACATAGTTGGTTTGAATCAGAGTTCAACATAGTCCATACACACTGCAATTGGTTGATTTGTCTCTTACATCTCTTTTAATCTACTGGATACCACTCTCTCTCTCTCTCCCCCACTCCCTTGTAATTTATTTGTTAAAGAAACTGGGGCCAGACATGGTGGCTCATGCCTATAATCCCAGCCCTTTGGGAGCCCAAGGTGGGAGGACTGCTTGAGCCCAGGAGTTTGAAACCAGCCTAGGCAACAAAGTGAGACGCTGTCTCTACAAAAAATAAAAAAAATAGCTGGGCATTGTGCACGCCTGTGGTCCCAGCTACACAAGAGGCTGAGGCAGGAAGATAGCATGAGCCCAGGAAGTTGAAGCTGAAGTGAGCCGTGTTCATGCCACTGCACTCCAGCCTAGGTGACAGAGCAAGACCCTGTCTCAAAAAAAAGAAAAAGAAAAAAAAGAAAATAAAAAGAAAAAAGAAAAAGGAAATTGGATTGTTTGTTCTGTAGAGTTTGCCACTCTAGGGGAATTTGCTGACTAGGTACTCAAGGTTCACTGAACATGTTCCTCTATTTTCTGTATTTCCTGAATATTGACAGCAGGATCTAGAGTAATAATCTTTTTGTGTCATGGACTTCTTTGGCAGTCTGATGAAGCCTATAAATCTCTTCTCAGAATAATCTTTTAAATATATAAAATGTAAGAGAAAGACAAAGGAAACAAATTACATTGAATAACAAATTATATTGTGGTTTGATTATTTTTTGGCAAGACTACTTAAAAAGTAGCAAGCAACATCCTTAAGTTTTTAATATATTTGCCAATAAATTTTCCCATAGGATTTTAATTTATTCAGTTATTTTTATCTTTTGAACATGACAAAACAGTCTAACATGCTTTAATTACTGAACATACTCCAACCCAACTACATATTATTAATTTTATCTAGTTTGACCTTAGAGAGCCCAATAAGTAAATAAATTTAGCAACTTTTTCATCAATGTTTTTAACTTATCATTAGACATTCTATGAACTTCCACTAGGTTTACTTTTCTTCTTGCAGAAATACATACTTAATATGTTTCTTTCAGCTGAAGTGAGGGTCTGTGGTTAGTACTGCTTTTGTATGTCAGAAATTATCTTTACTTTGCCCTCATTCTTAAATGATAGTTTAAAAGAATATAAAATTTCAGTAGAATTGATTTTCCCTTACCCTTCACTGTCTTCTGTTATCTAAGATGTTCATATAGTTGTCACTACTTGGTAGATAAACTGTTTTATCTAGTCTCATGGCTTTATGTCTATCTGTCAATGACTAACAAATTTCTATCTTGAGCCTGCATCTTTCCCCTTGAGTTTGCACTAGAAGGACCAACTGCCCACGTGACATCCATTCTTGAATGCCTGATAGGCATTTCAAACGTTAACATTTCAAAGCCAAACTCCTCCCCAATCCTGTACCTCCTTCAGTCTTCTTTATCTCAGCTAATATCAACCTCAGCCTTGCAATCACTCAGGTCAGAAACCCTGAAGTATTTCTTCATGCCCTCTGTCTCATCCCCTTCTTTCCAATCATTCCATGACCATCATCTAGGTCTCATAGTTTTGTGGTTGTTTCCAGGTTCTATCCAGTTACCAAGCTCAGAATCAGACCTTCCAATTTTGGTTTCGAGTTCCTATCCCAAATATTCTATCCTAAAATGATATTCAGGAAACTGAAGATGTAATTATTGAACTATTGGATGATTCAGTTCCTTTTTTTGGTTATCAGGGTTAGTCTTTCTGGTTTTGATATGTTTTCTTTTGTTGTTGTTATTATTATTATTTTTGCCAGGCTCTTTCTAGGAGCAGAATGGCTCCATCCTAGTCTTCAAGCAGTAAGCCTCGTTCTGTTCCTACATCTTGCATGGAATACTGTCAGCTCCCTTAACTCCACAGTGCTGCATATCAGACACTACTATAGTCTGCTCCTGGCCTTGGAGCCCAAAAGGTCGGTAGCTTTGGCCACATTCCCAATTTAGTGCTTCTCCTCATTTCTGGTTTATGGAGATGCTTATACTACTTTCAAGCCTGCCTACATTTTATTTTGGTTTATATTTTTATATTTTACCTGGCACTGCTATGCATATGAAGCAGAAGCTTCATAGTATAAGTATAAACAAAAATAGAAGTTTATATTTAGTATAAGTATAAACTCCTACACTACCTTAACCAAAAATTGGTGGAGTCAATATTTTTCATTTCATTTTCACTGACTTAATAAATGGCACTTTCTTCCTATATATCCTCCAATTTAAATCTCTTTCTCTTTATATAATACTGCCTCCCTAAAAAGATAGCAATAAACATATACAATGTGTCTATATACCTGAAAAAAAAATTTTTTTCTGCACCATTGCATCTTTCTGAACACCGGGTTTAAATAAAAATAGATCATGCTTCCAAGCATGAAGCACTATAAGGATACCTATTGTCTAATTCCTAGTATTGATAAAAATCAACATTTCCAAATTTACAAGTGATAAAACCAGTAGGAACAAGGTGAGAAACTATTTTTACAATGTTGAGGTATTCAAGTTCTAGAAACACTCTAAATATACTACTAATTAGGCAGAGCTGGTTACCATGTGCTAAAGTCTTCTCTCTCTTAATTCACAGATTTTTTTAAAAGTACATATTTATAACTATTTGTAGACATATGTATGTTGATAAATATACTAAATGTATGTAAATGAAATTCGGGACTTTTACATAACAAGAAAATACATGCCAACTTGGCTTAACAGGTATGCCAGCTTTTGGCCGGGCACGGTGACTCATGCCTGTAATCCCAGCACTTTGGGAGGCCGAGGTGGGCAGATCACCTGAGGTCAGGAGTTTGAGACCAGCCTGGCCAACATGGCAAAAGCCGTCTCTACTAAAAGCACAAAAATTAGCTGGGCATGATGGCAGGTGCCTGTAATCCCAGCTACTCAGGAGGCTGAGGCAGGAGAATGGCTTGAACCGGGGAGGTGGAGGTTGCAGCAAGCCAAGATCATGCCACTGCACTGCAGCCTGGCCGACAAGAGTGAGACTTCGACTCAAAAAACAAAACAAAACAAAACAAAAAACAGGTATGCCAGCTTTTAAGTCAAGAGATACAGCTTTTGTTTCTGGTTCTGCCATATCTTGCTTTGTGAAGTCAGGCAATTCATTGTCTTTAGGTCTAATTGTTTCCTTGCCTCTAAAATGAGGATGATCTTATGATTCCTTCTAATTCTCAAATACTCTGATTCTACTTTTATTACTTTTATTATTCCCATTAGTTTTTTTCTCATTTTGCAATTTGATTTAATGTTTCTACAACTTACAGTTTATTTACAATTTAGATTCAATTTACACTGTAACTTTAAAGCAGAGATTTCATGAGAAAAAAAAAACCTAGTTTTTCAAATAACAAATACTGTTTGCTATTAAGCAAAATCAATTTATGGAAATATGTTAGAGAAAAGGAAAACTGATGTTTATTAAAAAAAGTCAGATTTTATTAGCACTAATAAGATTCGAGCTTTCAAGGAACAAGGTGATTAATGTTTTTCACGTCAACCATAAGAAAACATAATAGGAAGACATTAGTTTTTACTACCTGAGAATAAACAATAATTACATTTTTAGGCTATTAAAACCTTTCTTTCTTTTCATATTTTATCCAGATTATTCTAGGAATATCTTCAGAGATTATATCATTTTCATATTTGATGGAAAAAACTTAAAAACACAGAAATTCTGTTCAAAGATAAATGAGTTTTAAGAATCACGCATATACCCAGGCTAGAGTAGTCTGTTTTTCTTACTACTACTCAAATATCACTTTGATAAAATGATAAAGAAAAAACACACACACACACACACACACATTGCAGGTAGTATATTCCCGCAAAAGTCAGAAGACTCAGACTTAAAAAATAATATGCTTTAGCTTTTCTTTGAACACAATGGCTCCTGTGAAATGCAACAAGCATCAGCTGCATCTCACATGCCCAGTTGCCTCACCTCTAATTCTTTGAGGTAGTTAACTGTTGCTTCTTGTCTCATTAATATGACTAGGTCATGAGGATGCTTCAAGTTCATTGGTGAATCCACCTGCAAGCAAGCAATAAATAAATAAAGCTCGGATTTCATTAATGCTGGTTTGGATTAACAAAGTCATTAATATGCTTTAAATTATTGTTCATTCGCCATTGTAATCAGCGTTATTCCTCAGCAAAACTCAAGGAGTATTTCAAAGTGATCACATGTAAATGTTAGCAAAGGGAATGACAAGTGCAACAGTTGTCCTGTGAACTCCAACTTGGAAGAACAAGCATTCAAAGTACATATTCTGACTTTACAGGTGATATAATAGTAAAGAAGTATTTGGCAATGATTGATAAAGTAACTTCCTTAAATGATGTTTCATGCCTGTAATAATAAAAAATGAATTGTCTTGTTTTGATAGCACATTTCATATCTGAATAGGCTTGGAAGTGATAAAAGGAAAATATTAAATGTACCTCTTTTTGAAAGCTATTTGTAGAAGTCATAAATCAAAGATAATATAAAATAACCTTGAGATTTATTACTTATTGCTCATGTTCTCTGGATCAACAAATCAAACAATTATGTTGAAGCTGTAGAAAAAATGAACACTCATATACTGGTAGCTGGCTTATAAATGTGTTCTCATTGTTTGGAGTGTCATTTGACAACATATATCAAAATGTTACAATTGCATAACCTTTGAGCAAAAGAAAGTCTAGGAAACTATCCTACAGACATTGTTCAATAAGTAGGCAAGGATATACATAAGGATGCTCATTACAACATTTGTAGCTGCAAAAGGACAATCAGAAACAACCTAAGTAAATCAATAAAGTGACAGAGAGACCCACTGTCCAATGGAATGGGATACAGGAAAAAATGTTAAAGCTACTGCCAGTGACCAGAGTATAAGAGCTTTACATAAGGAAGCAGGAGAAAGTGCTTAATTTACAACTCCGTCCAGACATCAAGAGATAGCTATTTAGTACATGACTCTACAGGTATTTTTAAATGAGATTTTTAGAAAAAATAAAATTGGGGGAGGGAAGAAACTGTGGAAGTGTGACAGTCCCATTCCAAAATGCCTAACCAAGGCTGGGCGCGGTGGCTTATGCCTGTAAGCCCAGCACTTTGGGAGGCCGAGGCAGGTGGATCACCTGAGGTTGAAAGTTTGAGACCAGCCTGCCCAACATGGTGAAACCTCATCTCTATTAAAAATATAAAAATTAGCTGGCATGGTGGCGCAGGACTGTAGTCCCAGCTACTCGGGAGGCTGAGGTAGGAGAATTGCTTGAACCCGGGAGGTAGAGGCTACAGTGACCTGAGATTGCGCCAACGCACTTCAGCCTGGACAACAGAGCGAGACTCTGTCTCAAAAAAACAAAAAACAAAACAAAACAAAACCAAAAAACAAAATGCCTAACCAGTCTGTTTACCTGATATTTGAAGAATTGCAAGAAAGAAAAAATGAGATAAATGAAGATTGAAAGAACTATTTAAAGCATAATCTTAGCTTTAGATTAAAAAGTTACTAGATAACAAAGTTTAATAATATTTCCATAGCATGGATCTGGTCAACATTCAATTGTGAGGAAGTACTTATCATTTCCTTGAAGCTTTTAGTTCAGCAAAGATACAGAGGAGGCATAAAGATAAAATTATTAGCAGAAGGAAGGGAGTTCACTGACAGCTGTGTTTCTCTTTTTGAGGTGACAGCAAATGGCAAAGATCTTTGCCAGATAAAAGTTGACTGCAGAAGACTTACAGCCTGACATACATGTTTTCTGAGGTACTTTCAAGTTCTTAAATTTTAAGATGTATGACTTGTCTTTGGGAAATGTTAATGTGAATTTCTCACTTCTCAAATACTTCTCCTCCTTAGATTATCAGAGTATGTTTGACAACTTTGTAAATACAGTTATATGCCAAATAACATTTCAGTCAATGGCAGACTGCATATGTGATGGTGCTCCCATGAGATTATAATACTATATTTTTTTTTTTAGACGGAATCTTACTCTGTCTCCTGGGCTGGAGTGCAGTGGTGTGATCTCGACTCACTGCAACCTCTGCCTCCCTGGTTCAAGCGATTCTCCTGCCTTAGCCTCCCGAGTAGCTGGGATTACAGGCGTCCGCCACTACGCCCAGCTAAGTTTTTGTATTTTTAGTAGAGATGGAGTTTCACCATGTTGGCCAGCCTGGTCTCGAACTCCTGACCTCGTGATTCGCCCGCCTCGGCCCCCAAAGTGCTGGGATTACAGGCATGAGCCACCACGCCCAACCTAATACTGTATTTTTACTGTGCCTTTTCTATGTTTAGATACACAAATACTTACCATTGTGTTACAACTGCCTACAGAACCATAACATGCTGTACAAGTGTGTAGCCTAGGTGTGTAGTAGGCTGTACAGTCTAGGTGTGTTTAAGTATACTCTATGATGTTTGCACAAGGCTGAAATCATCTGATACATTTCTCAGAACACACCCCCATTTTTAAGCAATGCATGAACATGTTACAACATCCATTCAACCAATAAGTGTTTATTAAGCTTCTATAAGCCAGGCCCACTATGAGTCGATGTCCTGAGTCAATGTTTAGAGTCTATGTACTCCTGTGTCATATACAACGTGTAAAAGAATGTTAATATGCCTTCAAAGTCTTTAGCATTGAAAAGAGGCTGCTGTAAGTCCAGAAGCAAAAAGGAGACAGGAATTACAGAGAGGTAGGTTAAAAAGGACATAATGAACACACAAGATCTCAAAGCACTTTATGGCTTTTTCACAAAGGATAAACAACCCTACAAACTTCCATTGCTGCACAGAACAATAAATGATGCAAATAATAACCTGAATTGTAAAGAAAAATTATAATCATTTTCACTTACTTTAAGGAGGTGAAGAAATTATGAAAAGTATTTTAGAGAAAAATTTAAACTACAGGGAAAACCTGATCAAGTATCTGGAAATTAGGCTCTATGGAATTCTATTATTCAGAATGATTCATTCTCTAAGAGTTCCAAGTAAACAAAATTTCACTGTTACTGTAGCAGTTTATTATAATAAAGAAAATGACAAGCCATATAAGGCAATTCAATTTCATTTTCCTTTGAATACATTATGTAAGTACAAGTTGAATATTCCTAATCTGAAAATCCGAAATCTGAAATGCTCCAAAATCCGATACTTTTTGAGTTCACTGCAGCATTTTGGATTCTGCATTTTCAGATTAGGGATACTCAACCTGTACATGTATCCAATTATATATAACATGAGTAAATATTTTACTCCTATCAAATTATGTTCATGTTATTTGTTGCTTTAATTAACCAAGATATTGTTAATATCTACACCTCCAATCTGGAACCCTATCTCAACAAATTCAGTAAGTTCACATGGTAACATGGAAATATCACTCACTATATGAGGGTAATTATTTCACTGCCAAATCAGATTAAGGGTGAACATTTTAAACTTAACCAATCTAAGAGTATAAACATTTTTGATGTCCTACAAAAACAAGTTTGAGTCAATCACTTTTTAATTATTCTTTATGGCAGAAAACTGAACATTTCTGTTGTAACATTAATTCAAGCTCTCATGTGCAACTTATTCTTCATATATACTGAACACTTTCACTGTTTTTTTTTTTAAATGGTATTCATCTAGGTACACGAAAGCAATATGGGAAACTCACTCTTCTCCAAATAGCACTTGGAAACTGATGAATATAATCTTAAATTATGCCATTCTCATTTAAAATTTTTCCCCTTAAGTTAGAAACTAGGGACAAAATAATTTTAATATTTTAATTCAGAATTATAGTTATTTAAATATTAAGACAATATGAAGGAAAACATAAATCAAAATCTTCAAAGTCGCCAAGATTTTGCCTCTATGTAAAACCTGAAATGGTTCTGTTTAGTGAGTATTTGTAGTGTTTGCTATCCAATATCCATAAGTCCCCCCTGTGGCAAAAGCACCTCACTTGCTTCCTTCCCCATATGGGAAGCCGTTGTCAGAGAATTTCTTTCCCTTGGTCATGGTGATTATTTCTGAGATACTACTCCAGTAAGGTCAGCTGGTACTAAAGAGACTCTAATCCAGAACTTTGAGCTATTGGTAACTAGCCATCTTGTATCTACATGGGGCCTGAGAATGGGGATGACGAAGCAAAGAAACAAAAACAGAAAAACTGATCCTTGTTATACTATTTGAGTCCTGAATCAAACTGTATCTGCAGCCCTTACAATTTGCCCAAACATTCCAATGAAAACTTTATAATACAGAAAGTATTGATGTGTTATTTCTAAACTTCCACCTAATTTTCACCTATGTCCCTCTGCCTAGGGCATCTTATTACTACTGTGGCTCTTATTTTTCTTTGGGTATATAATCAGTACAGGAACTGCTGGATCAAATGGTAGTTCTGTTCTAAGTTCTTTGAGAAATCTCCACAGGGGCTGAACTAATTTACATTTCCATCAACTGTGTATAAGACTTCCATTTTCTCTATAGCCCTGCCAACATCCTTTTTTTTTTTTTTTTGGTCTTTTTAATAATAGTCATTCTGACTGGTGCGAGGTAGTATCTTATTGTGGTTTTGATTTGCACTTCTCTAGTGATTAGTGATGTTGAGCATTTTTTCATATTTGTTGGCTGCATGTATGTCTTCTTTTGAGAAGTGCCTGTTTGTGTCGTTTGCCCATTTTTTAATGGAGTTGTTTTTTGCTTGTTGAATTAAGTTCCTTATAGATTCTGGATATCAGATCTTTGTTGGATGCATAGTTTGAGAATAGTTTCTCCCATTCTATAGGTTTACTCTGTTGATAGTTTCTTTTGCTGTGCAGAAGCTTTTTAGTTTAATTAGGTCCCACTTGTCCATTTCTGGTTTGTTGCAATTGCTTTTGGGGTCTTAGTCATAAATTCTTTGCCCAGGCCTATGTCCAGAATGATATTTCCTGGGTTTTCTGCTAGGATTTTTGTAGTTTTATTTCTTACATTTAAGTCTTTAATCCATCTTGAGTTAATTTCTGTATATGGTAAAAGGTAGGGATATAGTTTCATACTTCTGCATATGGCTAGCCAGTCATCCCAGCACCATTTATTGAATAGGGAGTGCTTTCCCACAAAAATTTTTTTATGTATTTCTTTTTCTACCTTCAGTATGTAACTTGCTTTCAGGTATATGCTAGGCATTTAATATACTGTTGATTGTTTGAGGACAGTATCTGTTAGATACTCTGCCACATTTATTAGATACTCCAACTCCATCTGCTAAAGCATTATCATTCACTGATGACTATTTGGAAAAAAAACGTGAAGTGGCTAAGGTACCAGAGATCAGAAACAAAATATGCATCTGACCAGTCTATGACTAACTGTATGGCTTTAAACAGATCATCTTCCCTGCCTGGGCTTCTGTTTCTTCATCTATAAACTGAAGGGACGCAAGCAAATGATTTCTAAAACTCCTTTTAATTTTCAAATCCTACTTCTATAAAAGACTTAACGTTACCGTAAAAGTATCACATTTTTACTAGCCAGACCTATACCCCCAAAATAGTCTGATATTCAAATATATGAAATTATCATCCTTTCAATTTGCCCATATAAATTCGTACTCACTCTGGGCAGGAATATTTTCCAAAGCTGTTGTTAAAAGCTTCTTTTAGGGCCGCGTGTGGTGGTTCACGCCTGTAATCCCAGCACTTTGGGAAGCTGAGGCGGGTGGATCATGAGGTCAGGAGATCGAGACCATCCTGGCTAACACGGTGAAACCTCATCTCTACTAAAAATACAAAAAATTAGCTGGGCGTGGTGGTGGGAGCCTGTAGTTCCAGCTACTGGGGAGGCTGAGGCAGGAGAATGGCGTGAACCTGGGAGGTGGAGCTTGCAGTGAGCAGAGATTGCGCCACTGCACTCCAGCCTGGGTGACAGATCGAGACTCTGTCTCAAAAAAAAAAAAAAAAAGCTTCTTTTAAACTGTCAATTTGTCAAATTAAACCAAGGCTCTAATTAGCAGTGGCTGGCTACTTCTGAGCAGTTATGTTGTTCATGGCAAAATCAGCCCTCTTTATCCTTAAGCTACTTAATACTAAGAAAATCTTTTTTAGAATTATAAACTAAATATATTTTACTGTAAAAACAAACACAGTACCATATAGACAATATGAAGGAGAAAATAAAAATTACTTGAAATTTCACTTTCAGAGATATCTGCTGTTAGATATATATCATGTCAGGATAACTTCTACATACATACACAAACACAGAGCTTTGTAGGTAAATATTTTCACAAAAATACGATAATAATATATCTACTATATTATTTCCTTCCTCTCTCTATTCCTCTGTACATTTTGTCAGACTTCCCAGTAAATACAGACCTATGTCAATATTTTTAGTGGTTAATATTATTTACCCAGGTTCCTAACTAAAATTCAGGTTTTTGGTTATTCTCCCTTTTTAACAATATTACAATGAACATCCTATACTAAAACTTTTGGCTGGGCGCAGTGGCTCACACCTGTAATCCCAGCACTTTGGCAGGCTGAGGCGGGTGGATCACCTAAGGTCAGGAGTTCAAGACTAGCCTGTCTAACATGGTGAAACCCCATCTCTATTAAAATTACAAAAATTAGCCAGGCGTAGTGGCACATGCTTATAATCCCAGCTACTTGGGAGGCTGAGGCAGGAGAATCGCTTGAATCCGGGAGGTGGAGGTTGCAGTGAGCCAGGCACTCCAGCCTGGTCAGTAAGAGTGAAACTCTGTCTCAAAAATAAATAAATAAATAAATAAATAAATAAATAAAAAATAAAAATAAGTTAGCTGGATGTGGTGGTAGGTACCTGTAATCCCAGCTACTCGGGAGGCTGAGGCAGGAGAATAGCTTGAAGCCAGGAAGTGGAAGTTGCAGTGAAAGGAGATCATGCCACTGCACTCCAGCCTGGGCGACAAGAGTGGCTCCTTCTCAAAAAAAAAAACCCATGAACCTTTTTAGACAGCTATCAGATTATTTCTTTCCTGTAACAGAAAGAAAACCGTTAGGTTAAAGGAACTATACTATTTTTTTGCATTTGTAAATTTACAGTTTTTGCTAGCTTTTCTCCAGAACAGTTGAATCAACTTAAATTCCTAACAACAGTGACTGAGTTCCTACACATCCTTAGGAATGCAGAAAAAAGGGTGAATATATACATTTTTTCTTTCTTTTTTGTTTAAAGAGATAGGGTCTTGCTCTGTCACCAAGGCTAGAGTGGACTGGTGTGATCATAGTTCACCGTAACCTTGAATTCCTGTGCTCAAGCAATCCTCCCACCTCAGCCTCCGGAGTAACTGGGACTACAGGTGAGCTGCTGCGTCAGGCCATGAATACATTTCAGTCTCTTCCTTGGCCATATGTATTTCTTTTGTGTATGTGATATTGTAAAATATATATTTGGTCTTCCACCCCACCCACCTTTTCTTGGCATACAACTCCTAAAATCCTTAGAATCTCCAAAGTGCTGTCTTTTTGTACAGTAGTGAGTTGACTGATGGCTGGCAGCTCCTAGGTAGTTTCAGGATCAGGGCAGGTCCCTGGAAAGACTAAGGCATGATTAGGACTTTCAGCCCCACCCCTTAACCTCTGGTGAGAGAAGAGGGGCTGAAGGTTAAGTTGACCACCAAAGGCCAATCATGCCCATGTAATAAAGCCTCCATAAAACCCCAAAAGGACTGGGTTCAGGAGATTCCGGAGAGCCAAACATGTGGAAGTTCCTGGAGAGGGCATGGAAGTTCTACACCCTTTGCCCCATACGTCACCCTGTGCATCTCTTCATCTGTGTCTTTTCTAATATAATAAACCAGTAAACATAAGTAAGTTTCCTTGAGTTCTGTGAGCCACTCTGGCAAATTAATTGAACCCAAAGAGGCAGCTATGGGAGCCCCAACTTGAAGCTGGTTGGTTAGAAGAGGCTGGGACTGAATTGGGTGGGAGGAGTCTTGTGGCACTGAGCTCTTGACCTGTAGGATCTGATGCCACTGCCAGGTAGACAATGTCAGAACTGAATTGGAAGCCACCTAGCCTGTGGCAGCTGCAGAACTGACTGCTTGCTTGGTGGTGTCAGAAACATGTTGTAAGAGAACAGTGGGAGAAACTGAGATGTTTTTTCCATTCACAATGTACTTATAAAAAATCTCACCTGTGTGTGATGGTTCACACCTGTAATCTTAGCACTTTGGGAGGACAAAGAAAGATCACCTGAGATAAGTTCAAGACCCCCCCCCCCACCTCCCCTCCCCGAACAACATAGCAAAACCCCATCTCTACAAAAACAGTTTTTAGAAGTAGCTGGGTGTGGTGGCACATGCCTGTTTTAGCTACTTGAGAGACTGAGGTGGGAGAACCACTTGAGGAGTTTGAGGCTGCAACGAGCCATGATCGTGCCACTGCACTGCAGACTGGACAACAGAGACTCCATCTTAAAACAAACAAACAAACAAACAAACAAACAAACCTGCCCCCTCTCTTTAACTATCTGACAGTTTATATATCATATTTTAAGAATATGGTTTCTAGTTGATATGACTTTACGTGATTATTCTCTTCTTGTTTGTGTTTTCTAACTTTTTCTACAGTGAACATGTATTATTTAAATTTATAAAGTGTTCTTTTTTTTTAATGTGCTATCCACAGGTCATCTTGTTTGTTAACACTGAAACTTTAGAACACTACGTAACATGTTTTATCTTTTTTTTTTTTTCCTTAAACAAACTGTAATGACAAATATAAGCTTAGGTCTGAGGAAGAATCTTGTATTTTTCCCTCGTGTATTCACTTATAGAGAAAAAAAATTCCTCTCACAGATAAGGACCAAGGTAGAACATCTCAAAAATGAAACATCTTTTGTATTTTCTTGCTCCTTACCTTTCTTCCCTCAGATTTTTACCCTTATCACAAATCTAGCTCAAACAATCAAATGATTGTCTAAGAGACCCTTCTGTTTGCGATCCCTTCCAGGCTACTATGGTAGCAAGCAAGATGAGTTTCACAGGGATGGAATGACGCAGGCAGAAAGTCTGTTGCTCCACTTCTCATGGAATTATCTCTTCAGGATTCAAGTCTAACCATCATGGGCTTACATCTTCTTTGAGGTTTAGAGAAGTACAGGTTCGCAAAAATAGCAGCCCAGCTTCCACTCTTGAGAGAGATACGCATGGGCTCCTGGCTATAACTGTCAAAACAAATGTGTAATATAAACAGATCTTTTACTAGAAACATTTCATTGTATGAGATTGAGAAAACTATTATAATGAACTGCCAAGATTTGGAAATATATTTGTTAATTATGACTTTTTGAAGCTAGAGTACTTGTACAGTATTTTTGAAAAATCAGAGGCCGGGTGCAGTGGCTCAAGCCTATAATCCCAGCACTTTGGGAGGCCAAGGCGGGAGAACTCCTGAGGTCAGGAGTTCGAGACCAGCCTGGCCAACATAGTGAAACCCTGTCTCTACTAAAAATACAACAATTAGCCAGGTGTGGTGGCGTGTGCCTGTAGTCCCAGCTACTCGGGAGGCTGAGGCAGAAGAATCACTTGAACCTGGGAGGCAGAGGTTGCAGTGAAATAAGATTGCACCACTGTACTCCAGCCTGGGTGACAGAGCAAGACTCTGTTTCAAAAAAAAAAAAAAAGAAATCAGAAACAAATTTTAATCTTACAGGATATCAAGTCATCAAAGGAAAAAACAAACTTCAAATTAATGAAAATGCTAAACCTTGACTATCATGCTAAACCTTGACTATCACCTGAATTTCCATGGCCTTATATCCCTGTTTTCTAAAGTTTTACCCTCAACTGGATTTTACCTTCTCATTTTCACAGTTCCTGAAATGTACAAATGTATCCTTACAGCTGTAAATTTACATAAAATAATCTAGGTAAGGGACACGTATTGCACAGTTGTTATCTAGATTTGAACATCTATAGTGTTGCAGTCAATTTTATGAGAATATTCATGTCTGTAAACAATCACCATTCTCCTAATTGACAAGCAAGTTAGTAACCATTTTCAACATGAACCACAAATGAGTAACTTCCTATAATAGTGCTACCAGTCCACATTTTCTAATTCATGTCACCAGGGCATATACAAATAACATAATTAATAAAGTAGAACATTTGCAACTCTAAAAGGAAGGTAAGTGAAAAGCTGGATCAAGACACAATAGTCAAGGCTCAAATAGACGCTGTTTTAGATAAAACTAGTTAGAACAAGAGATGACATGTGAAAAGAGACCTGAAAGGAGAGAGAGGCTGAGCCGTGATGCCATCTGCAGAGGAAGAAGCAAGGACAAAGGTCCAAAGGCAGAATCAAGCTTGGTGGTTTGAAGAACATCCCGAGGGCTGGTATGGCTGAGGCAGAGCACACCACACCACACAAGAAAGAAAGTGGTGTCTGAGGCTGGAGGAGAAGACAGGTGCCAGGTTCTAGATCTTACAGGACCTTGTAGGCCATAAGGAAAACTCCAGATTTTAATCTAAGTATGATGGGAAACTACTGAAGATTTTCTGATGTTCTTTGTTTCCCTCCTATCCCAAAGGGAGTGACATGACCAGCTGTGCTTTTTAAGAGATTACTTTGGCTGCTCTGGAGATAACAGATCTAGGGGACAAAAGTAGAAGCAAGGAGACCAGGTAGGAAGCCACTGCATAGGTTCTGCAAAGAGATGAAGACAGTATTGACTGGAATTACAGAAATGGAGGTGGAAAGACATGGCTGGATTCAGGAAACATTCTGGAAGTAGGGCTGACAAGTTATTACTACGTTGGGTTTGAGATATGAGAAAGAGTCAAGAAGATACCAAAATTTTGGACCTGGGCAATTTTGTGAATGGGGGAAGATCAGGTGTGGTGGGGTAGAAAATCAAGAGTTTAGTTTAGGACATGATGTATTTGTGATGACAACTAAATGGTGATGTTCAGTAGGCAGTTGGATATATGAGTCTGAAGTTCAGGAAGAAGTTGAAACTGCACGTAAGATTTGAGAGTCTTTAGAATATAAATGGTACTTTATGCCCCGAGACTGCAAAAGATCATCTGGTGAACATATGTACAGAGGGAAGAAAAGGGGCACACCAACACCTAAGACTCATCAAGAAAAGGTGAATTCAGCAGAAGAAAATGAGAAGTCAGGGCCAGGGACTGAGAAGAAAAACCAGGAATACGTGTTGGCTCTTCTGTATGCTAATGCATGTAAGAGCTATTACAGGTGTAAAAAGTTGCTTAGTTGCACACATTCTCTCTCCCTTACTCAGTGTTTCCTCAGTGTATACTATGTGTCAGCCACTCTTTTAGGTAAGCATGTAAGAAAATAGCTGAGTAAGATATGAAGACAAATGCTGGGCTGCTAAGAACTTAAGATTAGTGAGAACTGAGCATAGGCTCTGGGTATCTTGACAAGAGTTATAGGGATGAAGGATGAATTGGAGGGGGCTTAAAAAAGGAAGAGAGAGGAGACTCCACGAGCACAGATAACTCTTTTAGGGTGTCTGTCTGTAAAAGAGACACACACACACACACACACACACACACACACAGACATTCCCCTTGTTTTCACTTCTGCTATCAAGGAGTACAGCTGAGACGCAGGTTTTAGCTTACACCCTGCTCCTTAACATTTTGGAATGCAAAGTTGTTCTAATTTTTGACGTGAGCAGCTCGTGAGCCCTCTTATTTATTCTTCACTATCAGAGCGCCTTCTGTTTACTTTCACCAGAGTGACTTCTAAACTGCAACAACTGCTGAACCCCACAGCTGGTTCTAATCCCTCCTCAACAGTGCAGCTGCCATTTCTCATCTACCACGCCTCTGTTTTTTCTGATTATTTTCTTCTGCTTATCTTTTTCATTGTCTCTTGTTGCCCCATACTTTTTGCTTTTTGATGCCTGCGCATTAAAGTTGACCTTTTAGATATCTAAACTGGTACAAAGACAGCGAGGATGATTTCCCTTGCATAACACAACATGACTACAGTAGGTAAGCAGGAATGATCTCTGAAATTATGGCTCTTCTCATCTACTGTGCACCTTTTCTGAGGGCCTACGGGCTGATTCAATAATGCGTGACTCAAAGCTTTAAAGACATGGAAGTCTGAGGCTTCTTTTAGGCTTAGTCCCCAGATGACTAAAATATTACTGAATACTATAAGGATTCATTGAGAAATGTCTAGTGTGGCATTTACCTAAGTAGGTAGGCCCAACACAGTATGGTAGATCCTTTCATAAAGGAATTCAGGATGCTATGGAAGCACATAGAACAGCTTATTCAAATTTGGGCATACCAGAAGCTTCACTGAGAAAATGATGTTTATATTATGACGAGTATGACTCAGCTAGACTCGAGTGTTGGGGGAAGAACAACATATGCAAAGGCCCAGAAGAAGTGAGAACACGGCATATTTGGGGATGCTCACAAAAGCTAAGTCAGTATGGCTGTGTGTGTTACTCTAGGGTTAGGGTGGGGTACTCAAGGATGACCCGAGATAAGGCTAGAGAGGAAGGGCCAGGTCACATAAGATATGTTCGAGAATCTGTCTCCCTCCCTGCCACCAAAACCTTGTCAATAGAAAGAGTTTGGACCATATCCTGGGATATGCACCAAACTATTAAAGGTAGCTTTCCCTGGGGAGTGAGAGTGCATAGAGGTGGAGGGATTTCACTTTATTAAATATTCCCATGCTGGCATGGTGGATGTTTATTTTTACAATGCCATGCATTATTTCTGAATTCAATTTTTTTTTTTTTTTTGAGGCAGAGTCTCACTCTGTCACGCAAGCTGGAGTACAGTGGCACTATCTTGGGTCACTACAACCTCCACCTCCCGGGCTCAAGCGATTCTCCCACCTCAGCCTCCCGAGTAGCTTTGATTACAGGTGCGCACCACCATGCCCGGCTAATTTTTTGGTATTTTAGTAGAGATGGGGTTTTACCATGTTGCCCAGGATGGTTTCAAAATTTTTAATTAAATAAAACAAAGGAGAAGAACAGGAAGCTGCGGCAATAATAAGGTGGCCTGAATTAGAGTAATGATAGTAGCTATGGGAAGAAGTAAAATATAATTAGTAAAACAAAGATCTTGGTGATGGCTAAGGGAGACTAAGGAATTAAAGACAACTAGATTTCTGACGTGAACTAGTCCCAGCTACTCGGGAGGCTGAGGCAGAAAAATTGCTTGAACCTGGGAGGCGGAGGTTGTAGTGAGCCGAGATTGCGCCACTGCACTACAGCCTGGCGACAGAGCAAGACTCCATCTCAAAAAAAAAAAAAGGTCTTAAATCTACAACTCTGGAGAAAAAAACTAAGTTACAAAAGGAATGCAGATACTCTCAGCATACATATGGTAACTGATGCTCAGGTGTATGTACAGAGTTTAAAAAAACTGGAACAGAAGCTGGAAGGATGGCAATATCTAAAACTGAATTTCTTAGACTATGTGTGGTCTACCTGCATTATACTCTCCCAAGGAGTTTGATAAAAATGTAGAATCCTTCGCTTTACCACCAACCTACTGAATCAGATACTCTGGGTGTCTTGGAAATCTGCATTTTAAGCAAGCAACTCCCAATTCCCCAATTATTTTTGTACAAGGTAAAGTTTGAGAACTACTTATCTAAAGGGTGAGTATGAAAAAGAGCAAGGGCAAAGAAACAAAAACAAAAACAACAAAGTTAAGAAGGAGATGAGCTGGCCAGGCATGGCGGCTCATGCCTGTAATCCCAGCACTTTGGGAGGCCAAGGCAGGTGATTGCTTCAGCTCAGGAGATCAAGATCAGCCTGGGTGACATGGCAAAACCCCGTCTCTACAAAAAATACAAAAATTAGCTGGGTGTGGTGGCACTTGCCTGTAGTCCCAGCTACATGGGAGGCTGAGGCGGGAGGATCACTTGAGCCCAAGAGTTCAAGTTTACAATGAGCCATAATCATGCCACTGAATTCCAGCCTGAGCAACATGGTACAACCCTATCTCTACAAAAAATAAAAAAAAACTAACCAGGTGTGGTGGTATGCACTTGTAGTTCCAGGTACTAGGGAGGTTGTGGTGGGAAGATCACTTGAGCCTAGGAGTTCAAGGTCACGGTGAGCTATGACGGTGCCACTGCACTCTAGCCTGGGTGACAGAGTGACCTGTCTTTAAAAAATAAAAAACATTATGGCCGGGCGTGGTGGGTTCACGCCTGTAATCCCAGCACTTTGGGAGGCCGAGGCAGGCAGATCACCTGAGGTCAGGAGTTTGAGACCAGCCTGACCAGGAGAAACCCTGTCTCTACTAAAAATACAAAATTAGCCGGGCGTGGTGGTACATGCCTATAATCCCAGCTACTCAGGAGGCTGAGGCAGGAAAACCGCTTGAATCCAGGAGGTGGAGGTTGAGGTGAGCCGAGATCACGCCACTGTACTCCAGCCTGGGCAACAAGAGCGAAACTCTGTCTCAAAATAAATAAATAAATAAAAATTTAAAAAATTGAAAAAGTGGGAAAATTATTTAAAGTTCTAATTTATTTCTGTACATTTCCAAGCTCCTCTCACTGCCCTACAGCATAAACAAAGTCAGAATCTCAGTAATTTATAAGAAGAAAAATAATAGTGGACAATATCTGAAAAAATGGACTGAATGAGAATCATTTTGAAGCAAAGGTCTTGGACAAACTGCAAAGGTTTGGCAGATGCCTAGCAAATTAGTGAATAACCACCATGACCTCTCCAGGTGTAACTAAATCCTGGAAGTGTATAAACATAGAAACAGTCCTTTATGACAAAAAAAGATGAGTTACTTTTGAAAAGTACAGAAATAAAGCTGTCAGCTTCACAGTGCCATATGGATGCTCTCTCCCAGATTAACCAAATTACTTAACATCAGACCAAAATTAAACCAGGCCTTCACTTACAAGCTATTAATGGCTGGGCACAATGGCTCACACCTGTAATCCCAGCACTTTGGGAGGCCAAGGCAGGAGGATCGCTTGAGGCCTGGAGTTTAAGACCAGCCTGGCCGACATGAAGAAACCCTGTCTCTACTAAAAATTCAAAAATTAGCCAGGTGTGGTGGTGCACACCTGTAGTCCCAGCTATTTGGGAGGCTAAGACAGGAGAATCACTTAAACCCAGGAGACAGAGGTTGCAGTGAGCCAGAATCACACCACTGCACTCCAGCCTGGGTGATAAGAGTGAGACTCCGTCTCAAAAAAAAAAAAAAAAAAAAAAAAAAGAGGATCTGTACTCCGAAGATACCGGCCTGACCGGGGGACAAAACGATTAAGTAAATGCCGAATGAACTCACACTTATTTAGGACCCTTCCACACCCACTTACCCTGAATCTTAAGTTACCACAAAACATTCTATGGAGATAAAGCAAACTGGAAAAGAAGATACCTTTACTTCATTATTTTCATTTTTGCTTTTATGTTTCTTTGTAGTCCTTCATTTGTAAGTGTTATGAGAGGAAAAAAAATCTACTGAGTACAAGGTGCTCACTTGCATGCTACTGCAGACTAATCCATTTTTACTTACTATTGCCACGAAATGCCACACATTAGTTACACGACTTTGAGTGACTTTCTCTCTTAGGAGTTGTACTACATAATCTTTAAGAATGTTTTCCAAATCTGAAAGTCCACAGTTCTAAGTAAGATTGGAGAAGAGGGAAATAGTGACAAAGAATACGAATATTAAAATGTATAAGACAGCTGATACAGATGATACTCTTAATTTACTTAAATTTTTAGCCCTCCAATTATGAAGAAAAAGAATATCCAGAGGCAGAGAACTCAGTACTAGCAATACAACTTCTTGATTCAGTAAGGCTACAACTAACAAACTGGTAACATTTCAAGAGTTTCTCTGTTAGCTGCTACCTAGAGCATGGAACATATATTTTTTTCAACAAAATGAAGTGCCATAGAGTGGTTAGGCTCTTAGGCAAATTCACAAGTTTAACCTTTGATGCAAGTAAATTACCAGACACTGATTAAAAAATAGAAAATAGAATACAGAAAGTAGATATTGCCAAACTAGGGATTAAGCAAAAACAACATCAAAATGAAACAACACAAAATTTATCTTGAAACCTATTTTTCAAAAAGTCAACCAAAAGAGCCACAGGCCTGATTACGCTAGTGCTCCTTTTAGTAACTAGATTATAATAGCTCACTTCTTAAGTCCATGGGGTCGAAGTTAAGGACCCCTGCTTAAATAAAGTGAGATGGGCTTACTAGGTTTCAGGTACCAGCGACAGACACTAGGGCATCAGAGGTATGTCAAAGCCCAAAGCTAGGAAAACAGCACAGAGCGGAGAGGAGAAGAAGACGGGGTTTCTCTTAGCCTTCCCCTGACACCAGTGGAAAAGGAACTTAGTGATTGGAATGTTCTCTCCACATCCCAGCTCCAGGATTCCCTGGACCATATTTGGGAATTCAGTGGCAGCTCAGTAAACATAACCTAAAAATTGGGGAAGGTATGCTTCCTAGCTGAGGCAGGGATTGTGAAATGCAACAACTTGCTGGGCATGGTGGCACAAGCCTGTAGTCCCACCTACTCAGGAGGCTGAGGTAGGAAGATCAATTAAGGCTGCAATGCATGGGAGTAACCATGCACTTCAGCCTGGGCAATAAAGAAAGACCCCCATCTCTAAAAGAAAAAGAAATAATTCCTTTAACCATCATGCCAAGTAATGGACACCAGCTGCTGCCTGCAGCAGCCCCAGCTCTGACTGTGAAGAGGTTGCCTGCAGGAATGTATGCTCCTTGCTCTTACTTAACCCCCTTTTCAACCCACCAAAGGATGTACCATTTCCAATACATACGCATGTTGACAAGTCTGCGGTATGTAACTGGTGGGTGCCTATCTTTATTGTCTGCTAAACCTTGAAATATAAAAAATCAAATGAATTTTCATCTCTCCTGGGAAAGACTCCTTGATGTACTTAAAAAGTTATAATGGCCGGGCACAGCGGCTCACGCCTGTAATCCCAGCACTTTGAGAGGCCAAGGTGGGCGGATCACAAGGTTTGGAGTTTGAGACCAGCCTGTCCAGTATGGTAAAACCCTGTCTCTACTAAAAATACACACACACACACACACACACACACACACACACACACACACACAAATTAGCCGGGTGTGGTAGTGCATGCCTGTAATCCCAGCTACTCGGGATGCTGAGGCAGGAGAATCACTTGAACCCGGGAGGCGGAGGTTGTGGTGAGCCAAGATAGCGCCATTGCACTCCAGCCTGGGCAACAAGAGCAAAACTCCATCTCAAAAAAAAAAAAAAAAAAAGTTATAATGATGGTTGGACAATTCAGATTTTTAAGTCATAAGTACTTCTTTATGATCACTGTGGAAAACAATGACCCATATATCTAATCTGGGTGTGTTTAATATTAAAGGTTCTCAAAAGGTATGTACCACTCTAATTTTCTAAAAGCTGTTAATCCAGTTAGCCCTTAGCCCTTTGCCTGGTAGTAGGTCACTTTAAAACTGAAATCACACTTATGCTCTCATTCAAATATTGTAACCAAGAATAAGCAGCAAGAATTTGGTATGTCAGGACAAAGTATACAGATGGTCCCCACCTTTCGATGGTTCAACTTATAATTTCTTGACTTTACAATGCTGCAAAAGTGACATGCATTTGGTAGCAACTGTACTGAGTGCCCATATAACCATTCTGTTTTTCACTTTCAGTGAAGTATTCATGAATTACATGAGGTATTTTGATACTTTATTGTAAAAGATGCTGTTAGATGATTTTGCCCAAATTTGGCTAATGTAAGTATTGTGAGCACGTTTAAGGTAGGTTAGGCTAAGCTACAATGTTTGGTAGGTACATTAAATGCATTTTTGACTTACAGTATTTTCGACTTACAATGAGTTTATCAGCACATAACCCCTTCATAAGCTGAGGAGCATCTGTATATACTAAGCTTTTAATTATGTTTCTGAATGTACAAATCTGCAATATATATGGATTTCATACACTAATGTGATCTTTCAAGTCCTTAAGTACAGTATATACAAATATTATAATTAATCACGATCTAAATTGATAGTTTGGATTCTACCTGCATACAAATTATGGCCAGGAAGGGAAGCATGGGTCATGCACAATCAGCTATCAGAGTGGAACTCGGCAGCTCACCACAGCACCCAATTCTTTTACTTTATTTATATGTGGTGCCTTTTCTTCAGATTAAATCCAACTTTCCTCCCCTGGCCTCTTATTGTTACACTGCAGACACCAACCTTATTTCTTCTGGCATAAAATCTTGTGGCTGCCTGAACATAACATTGTAAATGTTATGTATAGCAAAGTATTGGAAAATTCAATGAAAAGGATCACTTAAAAAGTCATGTAATAGAGAAATCTTGCTTTTTAAACTTTAAGCCTAATTACTTAGCTCAGCAGTGACTTGGCAGAGATCCAAAAGATTCTTCAGCTCTTCCCTGCTTCTCTGAGGCAAGTTTCCAGTAACCCCTGCCTTCCCCCATTAATACATATGTATCCAAAGTGCAAAAAGAAGGAATTTGTTAAAAAAAAAAAAAAAATCAGACTCTACTTTCCCATTGCAATGTTAAGTATATACATAAAACATTTCTACCAGCTTTCACTTTTTAGATGGGCTACTTTTTCAGCTGAGTGGTAGGACACCAAAATGGGAAGGAGAAGTCAATGTCATAGAGTATAAATAGCTGTGGCCAAAAACAATATTGCAGAAGAGCCAACAGGAGAAAGGCTCCCCAAAATGCAGCAGGAGTGACTTAATTCCACGTCTTCATAGAGACCTCAGGGAAAACCACTATCAAGAAACAAAAGAAGGGTGGAAGCAACCAGCACTCACATATGGTCTTACAGTGTTTTCTTGGGTTTCTGAAACACATACACATATATTTAAAGTCTCAGATAGTATGGCAATGAAAAGGAAACTGTTCTTTATGTATGTCATATAGAAAACGTTACCCAATAGGAACACGGTCTTTTCTTAGATATGCTGAAAACCACTCATGAATACCTAGGCGGATTTTTAGTTATACTTAACTTACTTGAGATAGAATTTGCAATTACATTACACGGCAAATCTAAATCTAAACCTCACCTTAAACGTTGGAATGTGTTCCTATCATGATTCATTACACACAATCCAAAGGACCAGTAATTTCCCACCACACTAGTTAAAACGTTTTAGATCAGTGGGCTAAATTGCATGGGGCACACAATTCACTTTCTAAATGTTTGCTAGACACTTCAAGATTGTCCTCAAGTGTTCGAAGTCAGTAAGTTTACCAATATTCTGTAGCGGAACACACACACGCACTCGTTAGGCATCAGCAGCATTTACAAAACGCAGGCAATCATAAAGTTATATAAGAAAAGCAGTCTCGCCTCTGAGGAATTAGTTCAGGCATACAAGAATCCAGGAAATCGCATATCCTCCATGCGAGGCTGGGTCACAAGAACTAGGTAAAGAAACAAAGCAAAGTGCACTGGGAAACGAGGGCAGTAACAGCTGAAAAGATGCAGGCAACGCCACCAGCGGCATCTTCAAGCATTCCTTCTGAAGGGGAGTGTTTCTATGTTGTTTCTAATGAGCCACTGCTGACCTGAGTAACGGTACAAGCTGAAACCAACACAACCAGAAACGAAATCCACCATGTGGTAGACGAGACTAGGGGAGCAGCACGAATGGTCCACAGGCTAGGGGTCCAGAAGCTGTCATACCATGGGACTCGCGCACACCCTGGAGCTGCCACCTGCTTTCTATTTCCTCGGGGAGGGCCGGTGACGCGTGAACCCGAGAGGCACCAAAGGCAGGAATCCTGAAATCTGTGATTTCTAAACCCCGAGCTAAAAAAAGGTCCGTAGGGCCCGTCTCCCGCAGCTGGGCGACTCTTCCCCACGCGGCGCGCGGCCCGCGAGGTGGAAGGGTGAGAACTTCTAGGGGGCCAAACGAGGACCAGGAGACAAGTGGGGAGCGGGAAGTGCCTGCCTGGTCCGAATGCAGGGAGTCCGAGGTCGCGGTGCCACCTCCCTGTGAGGGTAGGCTGGGGGCGGGGCCGCGCGGAGCCCAACAGCCAGGGGCCAAGCAGGGTAATCCCCCCGGGGCGAGGGCGGGCACGGGAGAAGAGGGACGCCCCGGCCGCTACCTGCTGCTGGATTTTCCCGTCCTCCGTGACGACCCAGTGCGTGGTGGCGAAGGCCCCTCGTGCCGCCACACTCAGCAAGGCGGAAAGGCTGAGGAGCCAGCCTGGGCCGGAGCAAGGCGGCAGCTCGTACCGGCCACGAACCCCTACTGCCGCCGCCATCTTGCCCCCCCGGCCGGGCCGCTCACACCGGAAGCGGAAGCTAGTCTCCGGCGCCCGCCATCTTGAAGAGGTCGGCCCTGGAGGAGGAGCAGGAGGAGGAGCCGAGAGGGCGTAGCTCGCTGACTACCAAGTTTCCTCCACCTCGGTTTTGGCGGCCAGGAAGCGCGACCTTCGGCTACTCTCCCAGCTTGGCTTCAGGGATGGAGACCGCTTTTTAGTTATTGTTTTTCTGTGGGTGATACGATCTCGGAGCGTGGGAACCGGAGGGAGACAAAAGCAGTGGCTTAGGTGGCGCTTAAGCAGAAGTGAAAGGACTCAATTTTATTGTTTTTTAAATCTTTGTTTTTTCGTTTTATTTCTGGTAGATAGTTGGGGAACAAAAGGTGTGCTTTCGAACCACCTATGGGAAGAGAGGTGTTGCTTTTATTCTTAAAGTCTCACAATAGTGGAAGCTTCAGAATGGAGACGGTTGTTAGTTTAGGGCACCGCTGTCCAGTAGCACTATAATGCGAGCCACGTGTGGAATGTAAAATATAGAGGGAAGTAACCCTACTAGTACATTTTATTTAACTCAAAGTACACAAAATATTAATTCAATGTGGTCTGTACAAATCATTGAGATAGTTTAGTTTTTTTTTTTTTAACTAAGTCTTGGAAATCGGCATGTTACACTGACAGCTTATCTAGTCATATTTCAGGGGCTTAATACCCGCATGTGGCTAACGTACTGGTCAGCACAGGTCTAAGCTAGAGGTCTAGGTCTGGAGACCAGAAACATTGGCATCACCTGGGAGCTTTTTAGACCTGCACATTCTCGGCTCTTCTCCCTCTCCCCCGCAACCTGCTGAATCAGACTACATTTTAACAATAGCCTCAGGTGACTGGTATACATATTAAAGTTTGAGAACCACTTTCTTCTAGTGAACCAACAGGCAGGCAGGCAGGCGTCAAGCTTGGCTGCCAGCTTCTTGCTAGATATGTCATTTTAGGTCTTTCAAGATTGCCCTCTGTGTGTGTTATTTAAGGTTGGTATGCTTTTGGTTTTCTCCTTGGGAAAAGAAGGATGAGAATATTGTTTAACCACTTCTCTACACAAGTGTATGCAGGAGAGCAGTTGCTAAGTGTTTAAACACCACGCTATAGAAATGTAGAAACAACCACAGCATTGGTGTTTTTTTTTTCTTCATTCCAGGAACAGCTTTTCTTAAAGGCCTGAAGACTGAACATTCATTTCATTAAAAATATATGGCTTATTTGCTTTTTGCCTGGTACTCTGATAGTCTCTGGGTATGGAAATGTAACCATTGGGCAGTGTGCAATATAGTGAGATATTATTGGCAGGTTAACAATTAAAATACAGGATAATGGGGGTGTATGAATGCATATGTACAGGAGAGAGCAACCAACCAGGTGAAAAAAAGGTTTGGAGCTCAGGTGCTGGTTCAGGCAGAATAATAAGTGAAAAGGTGAAGTTGGCCGGGCGCGGTGGCTCACGCCTGTAATCCCAGCACTTTGGGAGGCCGAGGTGGATGGATCACTGAGGTCAGGAGTTCAAGACTGGCCTGGCCAAGATGGTGAAACCCCGCCTCTACTAAAAATACAAAAATCAGCCGGGCATGGTGGCGGGCACCTGTAATTCCAGCTACTTGGGAGGCTGAGGCAGAGAATTGCTTGAACACGGGAGGCGGGGATTGCAGTGAGCCGAGATCACACCACTGCACTCCAGCCTAAGTGACAGAGCGAGAATCCGTCTCAAGAAACGAAAAGGTGAAGTCAGTGGCATGTTTTAAGAGTTTCTTGGAGTTTAGACATAGGCAATAGGGAGTGTTTCAGAATTTTAAAATAGAGAAGTGGCAAATGATGGAATCCCTTTTGTCTCAGCATCTTATTTTTGGGGCATAGAGGTCAACCCTATTTCTTGTGTATAAAGCTGACATCATCATCATCTAACATTTCTTGAGTGTTTAATACGTACTGGGTCCTGTACATGCATAGTTCCTATTAATCGTCACAACTTACCAAGCTCTGGCTAGTTAAGTAAGTTGGCCAAGATCATATTGCTAAGTGGTAGAGCTCAGGTTTGGACTCAGATCCACCTGACTCTAGATCTGAGAGCCTGAGAATGAATGAATGTTAGTGAGGAATTTGAGAAAGGCCCCAGCATCACATATTTTGCTATCAGCAATTTCTTTGACCTTCACAAGTTAACCTCTAAAGGGGTGGAATTATAGCTTCTATAGCTTTATTATACCACCTATTTTCTGTAGATGATAACTCTTATCTTTTGGGATCCTGTATTAGTTTTCTAATGCTGTGTAACAATTGCCACAAACTTAGCTTAACACATTATCTGACAGTTTCCTTGGGGCAAAAGTCTTCTGCTGTGGTGTGACTGAGTTCTCTGCTCAGTGTCACAAGGCTCATATCAAGGCTGCAATCTCATCTGAGGCTTGGGGTTCCTCAGTCAAGCTCATTCTTCAAGTCCTTGGCAGAATTCAATTTATTGCCAATGTAGGACTGAGGGCTCCATTTTCTTACTGGCTGCTGATTGTGGCCATTAACATTGAGGCTACCCACAGTTTTCTGCCATGTGGCTCTCACAATGGCAGTTATTCCTTGAAGGCAAGCAGAATATTTCCACTGCTGAAATCTCTTGAATTCCTCTATCTCTAAGCCTAGACTTAAAGGGCTCATGTGAGTTGATAAGGTCTATCTGAATAATATCCCTTTTTATTCAACTGATTAGTAACTTTAATGCCATCTGCAAAAATTTCGTTTGCCATATAACATTATCTTAGTCCATTTTGTGTTGTTATAACAGAATACCTAAAGCTGGGCAATTCATAAAGAAAAGAGGTTTAATTGGCTTATGATTCTGGTGGCTGAAAAGTCCAAGATTGGGCAGCCGCATCTGGTAAGGGCCTCACGCTGCTTCCACTTAGGGAGGAAAGCAGAAGGGGAGTGGGTGTGCATAGAGATCACATGTTGAGAGAAGCAGCAAGAGAGACAAATCAAGAAAGCCAAACTCTTTTAACAACCCACACTCGAGAACTAATTCATTCCTGAGAGAGCAAGAACTCACCTCCCCCCCCACCACCGTGAGGGCATTAATCTGTTCATGACAGATCCACCCCCATGACCCAGAAACCTTCCACTAGGCCCCATCTCCCAACACTGCCACATTGGGTACCAAATTTCAACATGAGTTTTGGCGGCCCTAACCACATCCAAACCTATGATCACAGGAGTGATATCGTATTCATGTTTTACCCACATAGTCAAGTTAGGAAATTTCCCCCTTTTCTACTCTATTAAGGTGAAATGGACAAAATTGTATATATTTAGTGTACAACATGATGTTTTAATATACGTAGGGGAGATTTTATGCGGGCAAGGACCATTGGGTATCATCTTAGAATTTTGCCTACCACAGATCTTGACTGCCAAGTACCATTCTTCTAGTCTTTCACTGAACTGTTTTAAGTATCACAGACTAATTTAGACATACTTTTGCTCCTGTTCCCTGCCTAAAATCCTTTCCTCATGCTGCTTTCTCAAATCTATTTAAGATACAGTTGAAATCCTAGCCTGCAAAAATGTCTGTCAACTTGTTTGCCACCTCTGAATTCTGTCAGTAATATGACAATACTATGCTGCTTTGTGATATTATTTTATAAACTTTGAACAGCCAAACTCTTGAGTGGTTCTTGCAATAGTTCTTAGTTCTAATCTGGTGAGGCAGAACACTCAAACAGTAAGTCAGGCAAAGCAAATTTTTTACAAATAGGCAGCAAAGATACACAGAAATGGAGGATCCATGGTTAGCTGATCCCATGGCTCAGGAAAGCTGCTTAGGGCAGATGGAGCCTCATCTGCACATACCCCATGTTGCAGCACAGATGAGGGACTCCAAAAACACTTTGGGTTTTATACCCTGGGTGTAACTGAGATTGCTGAGTACAAGTGTTGCAGAACATCCTGTTTTAGGAAAAATGAGGACGCAGCCCAGGTTGTTCTGGAAGCTTCCTCCTTATCTCAGGATGTTGCATTCTCAGTACATTCTGCCTGAAAATTGCAAGCAAGAGGGGGAAGAGCTGGCATGGCCAAGGCCATCCAGGGACCTGTCATCTTGCAATTCTATAATTACCTACACTAGCAACTGAGGGCAGGAAGCATTTCCTATACTAACATTTTTATCTTCCTTGGAACTTCTGTGCAAAATAGTTTGTTGACTCAGTTTTTTAGCTCCCCCAAATGTAGCATTCCCATTTTGTGTGAATAAAACAAAAAACTTAAATAAAATTGTTCCTACTAATTTTCTACATCCAGATCACTTGTCACCGTTCTTTTATTCTGTTGTTCTAAGATCTGATGTTTCTTTTTTCATTATACTTTTCCTCTTCGATGAAATTTATAGAAATACAGGATGGCAGTTGACAAAATTGCTGATATCTCAAATTGTGATTCAATTGTTAGTTCAACGAATGATAGGCAAGTCCCTAACTGCATGTAATTTAGTCTTTCAACATATTTTAGCAAATAGGTCTTTTATTTACTATTACTATAAATCATAGAATTCTTGAAGTTATGAATTAGAATTCATTCTGTTGATAGAATGAATGATCTTTCTGGATTAACGTCCTCCCTTGGGCCACCTTACCTGAAAATTGCAAAGGATTTACATACTGCCTATTCCTTAGAGAAAATATTTAAGATATAAATACCCCTAGGGAGGAGGGTAACACTCTGGCTTACATTCTGTTATCTTTTGCTTTGTAATAAAACCAATGTAAGTCTTAGAGGTTTAAATTTTAAGCCTTAAAACATGATTTATTATTTTTCAGTTTGTTGGACTCAGCTGGGTGGTTCTTCTGCTACTCCTGGTGTTGGCTGGGGTCACTCTTAAGGCTGCATTCAGCTAGGAGCTCAGCTGAGGCTGAAATGTTCCAAACTGGCTCCACCATGTCTGGTGCTTTACTTGGAGTGGTTGAAATGGCTGGGGGTAGCTGGGCCTCTCTTAGACAAGGAGTTACATAGACTTCTTACAGGGTGGCTCAGGGTGCTGAAAGAATAAAAGGAAGCTGCCAGGCTTTCAGAGGGTCAGGCCCCAGAAGTGGTAAAGCATCATTCTGCATTCTCCTGGTTAAGGAAAGTAACAAGCTTAGCCCAAATTCAAGTGTGGATGGACACAGATTTATCTTGATAGGAGAAACAGCATGTTTGAGTAGGAATGGAAGGAATTATTGGCATCCTACTATATATAATTCTTTTTTTTTTTTTTTGAGCTGGAGTCTTGCTTTATTGGCAGGCTGGAGTGCAGTGGCACAATCTCGGCTCACTGCAACCTCCGCCTCCCAGATTCAAGCAATTCTACCTCAGCCTCCCTAGTAGCTGGGACTACAAGTGTACGCCACCACGCCCGGCTAAATTTTGTATTTTTAGTAGAGACGGGGTTTCACCATGTTGGTCAGGATGGTCTCGATCTCTTGACCTTGTGATCCACCCACCTCGGCCTCCCAAAGTGCTGGGACTACAGGGGGTGAGCCACTGCGCCTGGCCATAATTAAGTCTTTAAGAGTAATTTTGAGTTGGTTGGAAGCAGGGTGGAGGGGAACAGGTTGGAAAGGAGCCTGGTTATAGCAAGAAGGGTTTTACATGTGTAACTCTTCAACATCAATATGCACGGTGAGCGAAGAGGATTTTTAAAAGGGAGGCAGAGGATACCTAATATAGTAATTTCATTTAGAAATCATTTGTCAAATAGATCAGGCAGTGTGAAGTATGAGGGCTACCATGGATGAGACCAAGGATTCAAACTCAGAGGGCTGCTCTGAGGATAGCAAGATAGTCATCTTAGGTTTTTATTGGTATGTTAATTTCATATTAGTTTAAGCTTTAGTTTCAATCACACTGATTACAATGATCTCTCTCCTGCTGTTTTTTACCCACCTACTGAGGAAGCACATAATAGGTAGTCCTGTAACCAACTGGAGAGGAAAGGTGTCCCAAGGAGGGTCAAATTTACTCAGACCTGAAGCAGCCAGATAAATGGGCAGAATCAAGGAACCATGATTTTCCAGAGGAAAAATTCCTAATGTCAGAAAGAGTATGGTGTTAACTTTCAGTTTACTGAAAGCAGTTCACTATTGTAGTAGAGGATGAACTTAGGACTTCTGAGGTCAAGGTTAGGAATCTAAGACCTCCGAGATAGCCCATTCTCTAACACAGCTTGGCACATTCTTAAAAGCTAAGTGTCCTACACATTTTGTTGCCTCGATCTCAGTGCTCTTCCTTGAGGTCTTCACGAGGCTGGCTTGGTATCATTATCCAGGTCTCACCTCCAATTAGTCACTCAGAGGCTTTTTTCTGACTATTTTATCTATACTAGCTGAAGCATATTAGAATGCTTCAGTACCCTTATAGCACTTACTACTCTGGTACAGGCTTAAGTTTGTCAGGATCTGCATAAGAGAATGTAAACTCCATGAGTTTGCCTGTTTTGTTCACCACTATATCCCCTAGGCTTAAAACAGTGCCTTCAACTTATTATGAGTTGAAAGCTTACTATGTACAAAACACTGTTCTGGATGCTTGGGATTATGAATGAACAACATGCAAAAATCTTTACTTTTGTGGCACTTTAGCCACATATTCTAGCAGTAGGGGACAGAGTAAACAACATACAAGTTGGTAAAACTGGAGAGCATATAGTAGGGTAAGTGGGTCTGGAGTCTTGGTGGGGTGGAAAGGGACATTGCAGTATTAGATAGGATTGAGTAGGTTAGCTTCGAGGATTTGAAAAAGGAGTTAGATGTGTGGATATAAGGAATACTGATGGGGGAGGAGCCAAGATGGCCGAATAGGAACAGCTCCGGTCTACAGCTCCCAGCGTGAGCGACGCAGAAGACGGGTGATTTCTGCATTTCCATCTGAGGTACCGGGTTCATCTCACTAGGGAGTGCCAGACAGTGGGCGCAGGCCAGTGGGTGCACGCACCGTGCGCGAGCCGAAGCAGGGCGAGGCATTGCCTCACCTGGGAAGCGCAAGGGGTCAGGGAGTTCCCTTTCCGAGTCAAAGAAAGGGGTGACGGACGCACCTGGAAAATCGGGTCACTCCCACCCGAATATTGCGCTTTTCAGACCGGCTTAAAAAACGGCGCACCACGGGACTATATCCCACACCTGGCTCGGAGGGTCCTACGCCCACGGAGTCTCGCTGATTGCTAGCACAGCAGTCTGAGATCAAACTGCAAGGCGGCAGCGAGGCTGGGGGAGGGGCGCCCGCCATTGCCCAGGCTTGCTTAGGTAAACGAAGCAGCCGGGAAGCTCAGAACTGGGTGGAGCCCACCACAGCTCAAGGAGGCCTGCCTGCCTCTGTAGGCTCCACCTCTGGGGGCAGGGCACAGACAAACAAAAAGACAGCAGTAACCTCTGCAGACTTAAATGTCCCTGTCTGACAGCTTTGAAGAGAGCAGTGGTTCTCCCAGCACGCAGCTGGAGATCTGAGAACGGGCAGACTGCCTCCTCAAGTGGGTCCCTGACCCCTGACCCCCGAGCAGCCTAACTCGGAGGCACCCCCCAGCAGGGGCACACTGACACCTCACACTGCAGGGTATTCCAACAGACCTGCAGCTGAGGGTCCTGTCTGTTAGAAGGAAAACTAACAAACAGAAAGGACATCCACACCGAAAACCCATCTGTACATCACCATCATCAAAGACCAAAAGTAGATAAAACCACAAAGATGGGGAAAAAACAGAACAGAAAAACTGGAAACTCTAAAACGCAGAGCGCCTCTCCTCCTCCAAAGGAAGGCAGTTCCTCACCAGCAACGGAAAAAAGCTGGATGGAGAATGATTTTGACGAGCTGAGAGAAGAAGGCTTCAGACGATCAAATTACTCTGAGCTACGGGAGGACATTCAAACCAAAGGCAAAGAAGTTGAAAACTTTGAAAAAAATTTAGAAGAATGTATAACTAGAATAACGAATACAGAGAAGTGCTTAAAGGAGCTGATGGAGCTGAAAACCAAGGCTCGAGAACTACATGAAGAATGCAGAAGCCTCAGGAGACGATGCGATCAACTGGAAGAAAGGGTATCAGCAATGGAAGATGAAATGAATGAAATGAAGCGAGAAGGGAAGTTTAGAGAAAAAAGAATAAAAAGAAATGAGCAAACCCTCCAAGAAATATGGGACTATGTGAAAAGACCAAATCTATGTCTGATTGGTGTACCTGAAAGTGATGCGGAGAATGGAACCAAGTTGGAAAACACTCTGCAGGATATTATCCAGGAGAACTTCCCCAATCTAGCAAGGCAGGCCAAGGTTCAGATTCCGGAAATACAGAGAACGCCATAAAGATACTCCTCGAGAAGAGCAACTCCAAGACACATAATTGTCAGATTCACCAAAGTTGAAATGAAGGAAAAAATGTTAAGGGCAGTCAGAGAGAAAGGTCGGGTTACCCTCAAAGGGAAGCCCATCAGACTAACAGCGGATCTCTCGGCAGAAACCCTACAAGCCAGAAGAGAGTGGGGGCCAATATTCAACATTCTTAAAGAAAAGAATTTTCAACCCAGAATTTCATATCCAGCCAAACTAAGCTTCATAAGTGAAGGAGAAATAAAATACTTTACAGACAAGCAAATGCTGAGAGATTTTGTCACCACCAAGCCTGCCCTAAAAGAGCTCCTGAAGGAAGCGCTAAACATGGAAAGGAACAACCGGTACCAGCCGCTGCAAAATCATGCCAAAATGTAAAGACCATCGAGACTAGGAAGAAACTGCATCAACTAACGAGCAAAATCACCAGCTAACATCATAATGACAGGATCAAATTCACACATAACAATATTAACTTTAAATGTAAATGGACTAAATTCTCCAATTAAAAGACACAGACTGGCAAGTTGGATAAAGAGTCAAGACCCATCAGTGTGCTGTATTCAGGAAACCCATCTCACGTGCAGAGACACACATGGGCTCAAAATAAAAGGATGGAGGAAGATCTACCAAGCAAATGGAAAACTAAAAAAGGCAGGGGTTGCAATCCTAGTCTCTGATAAAACAGACTTTAAACCAACAAAGATCAAAAGAGAAAAAGAAGGCCATTACATAATGGTAAAGGGATCAATTCAACAAGAGGAGCTAACTATCCTAAATATATATGCACCCAATACAGGAGCACCCAGATTCATAAAGCAAGTCCTGAGTGACCTACAAAGAGACTTAGACTCCCACACATTAATAATGGGAGACTTTAACACCCCACTGTCAACATTAGACAGATCAACGAGACAGAAAGTCAACAAGGATACCCAGGAATTGAACTCAGCTCTGCACCAAGCGGACCTAATAGACATCTACAGAACTCTCCACCCCAAATCAACAGAATATACATTTTTTTCAGCACCACACCACACCTATTCCAAAATTGACCACATAGTTCGAAGTAAAGCTCTCCTCAGCAAATGTAAAAGAACAGAAATTATAACAAACTATCTCTCAGACCACAGTGCAATCAAACTAGAACTCAGGATTAAGAATCTCACTCAAAGCCGCTCAACTACATGGAAACTGAACAACCTGCTCCTGAATGACTACTGGGTACATAACGAAATGAAGGCAGAAATAAAGATGTTCTTTGAAACCAACGAGAACAAAGGCACAACATACCAGAATCTCTGGGACGCATTCAAAGCAGTGTGTAGAGGGAAATT
This sequence comes from Homo sapiens, assembly GCF_000001405.40. Lineage (NCBI taxonomy): Eukaryota > Metazoa > Chordata > Mammalia > Primates > Hominidae > Homo > Homo sapiens. Next base: position 43,349,235 of record NC_000011.10, on the reverse strand, counting down.
TATAGCACTAAATGCCCACAAGAGAAAGCAGGAAAGATCCAAAATTGACACCCTAACATCACAATTAAAAGAACTAGAAAAGCAAGAGCAAACACATTCAAAAGCTAGCAGAAGGCAAGAAATAACTAAAATCAGAGCAGAACTGAAGGAAATAGAGACACAAAAAACCCTTCAAAAAATCAATGAATCCAGGAGCTGGTTTTTTGAAAGGATCAACAAAATTGATAGACCGCTAGCAAGACTAATAAAGAAAAAAAGAGAGAAGAATCAAATAGACACAATAAAAAATGATAAAGGGGATATCACCACTGATCCCACAGAAATACAAACTACCATCAGAGAATACTACAAACACCTCTACGCAAATAAACTAGAAAATCTAGAAGAAATGGATACATTCCTCGACACATACACTCTCCCAAGACTAAACCAGGAAGAAGTTGAATCTCTGAATAGACCAATAACAGGAGCTGAAATTGTGGCAATAATCAATAGCTTACCAACCAAAAAGAGTCCAGGACCAGATGGATTCACAGCCGAATTCTAGCAGAGGTACAAGGAGGAACTGGTACCATTCCTTCTGAAACTATTCCAATCAATAGAAAAAGAGGGAATCCTCCCTAACTCATTTTATGAGGCCAGCATCATTCTGATACCAAAGCCGGGCAGAGACACAACCAAAAAAGAGAATTTTAGACCAATATCCTTGATGAACATTGATGCAAAAATCCTCAATAAAATACTGGCAAACCGAATCCAGCAGCACATCAAAAAGCTTATCCACCATGATCAAGTGGGCTTCATCCCTGGGATGCAAGGCTGGTTCAATATACGCAAATCAATAAATGTAATCCAGCATATAAACAGAGCCAAAGACAAAAACCACATGATTATCTCAATAGATGCAGAAAAAGCCTTTGACAAAATTCAACAACCCTTCATGCTAAAAACTCTCAATAAATTAGGTATTGATGGGACGTATTTCAAAATAATAAGAGCTATCTATGAGAAACCCACAGCCAATATCATACTGAATGGGCAAAAACTGGAAGCATTCCCTTTGAAAACTGGCACAAGACAGGGATGCCCTCTCTCACCGCTCCTATTCAACATAGTGTTGGAAGTTCTGGCCAGGGCAATCAGGCAGGAGAAGGAAATAAAGGGTATTCAATTAGGAAAAGAGGAAGTCAAATTGTCCCTATTTGCAGATGACATGATTGTTTATCTAGAAAACCCCATCATCTCAGCCCAAAATCTCCTTAAGCTGATAAGCAACTTCAGCAAAGTCTCAGGATACAAAATCAATGTACAAAAATCACAAGCATTCTTATACACCAACAACAGACAAACAGAGAGCCAAATCATGAGTGAACTCCCATTCACAATTGCTTCAAAGAGAATAAAATACCCAGGAATCCAACTTACAAGGGTTGTGAAGGACCTCTTCAAGGAGAACTACAAACCACTGCTCAAGGAAATAAAAGAGGATACAAACAAATGGAAGAACATTCCATGCTCATGGGTAGGAAGAATCAATATCGTGAAAATGGCCATACTGCCCAAGGTAATTTACAGATTCAATGCCATCCCCATCAAGCTACCAATGACTTTCTTCACAGAATTGGAAAAAACTACTTTAAAGTTCATATGGAACCAAAAAAGAGCCCGCATCGCCAAGTCAATCCTAAGCCAAAAGAACAAAGCTGGAGGCATCACACTACCTGACTTCAAACTATACTACAAGGCTACAGTAACCAAAACAGCATGGTACTGGTACCAAAACAGAGATATAGATCAATGGAACAGAACAGAGCCCTCAGAAATAACGCCGCATACCTACAACTATCTGATCTTTGACAAACCTGAGAAAAACAAGCAATGGGGAAAGGATTCCCTATTTAATAAATGGTGCTGGGAAAACTGGCTAGGCATATGTAGAAAGCTGAAACTGGATCCCTTCCTTACACCTTATACAAAAATCAATTCAAGATGGATTAAAGATTTAAACGTTAGACCTAAAACCATAAAAACCCTAGAAGAAAACCTAGGCATTACCATTCAGGACATAGGCGTGGGCAAGGACTTCATGTCCAAAACACCAAAAGCAATGGCAACAAAAGCCGAAATTGACAAATGGGATCTAATTAAACTAAAGAGCTTCTGCACAGCAAAAGAAACTACCATCAGAGTGAACAGGCAACCTACAACATGGGAGAAAATTTTCACAACCTACTCATCTGACAAAGGGCTAATATCCAGAATCTACAATGAACTCAAACAAATTTACAGGAAAAAAACAAACAACCCCATCAAAAAGTGGGCGAAGGACATGAACAGACACTTCTCAAAAGAAGACATTTATGCAGCCAAAAAACACATGAAAAAATGCTCATCATCACTGGTCATCAGAGAAATGCAAATCAAAACCACTATGAGATATCATCTCACACCAGTTAGAATGGCAATCATTAAAAAGTCAGGAAACAACAGGTGCTGGAGAGGATGTGGAGAAATAGGAACACTTTTACACTGTTGGTGGGACTGTAAACTAGTTCAACCATTGTGGAAGTCAGTGTGGCGATTCCTCAGGGATCTAGAACTAGAAATACCATTTGACCCAGCCATCCCATTACTGGGTATATACCCAAAGGACTATAAATCATGCTGCTATAAAGACACATGCACACGTATGTTTATTGCGGCATTATTCACGATAGCAAAGACTTGGAACCAACCCAAATGTCCAACAATGATAGACTGGATTAAGAAAATGTGGCACATATACACCATGGAATACTATGCAGCCATAAAAAATGATGAGTTCATATCCTTTGTAGGGACATGGATGAAATTGGAAATCATCATTCTCAGTAAAATTATCACCAAACACCGTATATTCTCACTCATAGGTGGGAATTGAACAATGAGATCACCTGGACACATGAAGGGGAATACCACACTCTGGGGACTGTGGTGGGGTGGGGGGAGGGGGGAAGGATAGCATTGGGAGATATACCTAAGGCTAGATGACGAGTTAGTGGGTGCAGCGCACCAGCATGGCACATGTATACATATGTAACCTGCACAATGTGCACATGTACCCTAAAACTTAAAGTATAAAAAAAAAACAAAAAAAAAACCAATAATGTGTCAGACATGATACAAGATGATTTAAATAAAAGACCTCTTTAAATATAAAAAAAAAAAAAATAAAATAAATAAATAAATAAATAAAGGAATACTGACAAGAGGGGGTAGCTAGCTAACGCAAGGGCTGTAAGGCAGGAGGATGTCTTTGGCCTGCATGAGGCTAACTGGCTGCAGCAGAGTGATCAAGGGGAGGGGAAGAATAGCAGCTGAGGTCACAATTAAAAGCCATGGTAATGTTTTTGGTTACTATTCTGAAACGGGGAGCCAGTGAACAATTTCTGGCAGAAAAGTAGATGTCTCTTTGCTGCTGGGTTTCAAGCAGATTGTAGAGTTAGGTGTAACGGCAGGGAGATCAATTAGGAGGTTATTACGAAACTCTAGGCAAGAAATAATGGGGAAAGAAATTTGGCATTCCTTAGCATATAGATAGTATTTAAAGCCATAGGCCTGGAAGGCCGGGAATGGTGGCTTATGCCTGTAATCCCAGCACTTCGGGAGGCCGAGGCTGGTGGATCACCTGAGGTCTGGAGTTCGAGACCAGCCTCGCCAACATGGTGAAGCCCCGTCTCTACTAAAAATACAAAAAATTAGCTGGGCGTGGTGGCGGACACTTATAATCCCAGCTACTCGGGAGGTTGAGGCAGGAGAATCGCTTGAACCTGGGAGGCAGAGGTTGCGGTGAGCCAAGATCACACCACTGCACTCCAGCCTGGGCAACAAGAGCGAAACTCTGTCTCAAAAACAAAACAAACAAACAAAAAAAACGCTATAGGCCTAGATGTGATCACCAAGGGAATTTAGTTATCTTATCCTGATCCACTTAAACCCCAGCTTTCAAACACTCACAACCAACCTTAGTGCTACTTCAGGAATATTTTCATAAAGGCTGGCAGTTAAATTACTAAGTTCCAACTTGCTTTGCACATTATCTGAAGATAGAAATGATTTACTTAATGATGATTTGGCAATTATCTGATGTTTTGCTTTAATAAAAAAAAACCAAATCCTTTTTTTCAGATTAGCTCCTAAAAATAAATTCAAATAAAAACTTTCAAGGATCAAAATTAAAGATGATTTACAAAATTATATCAACACTGAACTCCTCATGGGCCGGGGGCGGTGGCTCACGCCTATAATCCCAGCACTTTGGGAGGCCAAGGCGGGTGGATCACGTGGTCAGGAGATTGAGACCATCCTGGCTAACACGGTGAAATCCTGTCTCTACTAAAAATACAAAAAATTAGCTGGGCGTGGTGGCGGGCGCCTGTAGTCCCAGCTACTCAGGAGACTGAGGCAGGAGAATGGCATGAACCTGGGAGGCGGAGCTTGCAGTGAGCCGAGATTGTACCACTGCACTCCAGCCTGGGAGACAGGGCGAGACTCCGTCTCAAAAAAAAAAAAAAAAAAAAAAAAGACTGAACTCCTTGAAGGCAGAGAGCAGTTCTTGTCCATCTTTATATTTTCAGCCTATTGGCACAGTAGAAGCAATCAATAAATGTTAATAACTATCCAAGAATCTGAAGTTACCATAATTATAACACATCAAGACACAAAACAAAATTACAAAAGGAAATTTATTTCAAAAGCATAAGGGGACATTTACATTTAAACAAGATGATAAACAGGTGTCTTGCAAAAGAAAAAAATCCATGGCATTAAGTTTTTCATTCAAATTCGGAAGCAAAAATAACCTAAGTTGTGCACTATTGCCTTAGGAAAGGGAAGGGGAAGGGTGAGGGATAAGGGAACAGTCAACTCAGTATCAAACTTGAGAAAGTAAAGTCACTTCTGCTCAGTTCTGAGTTTACAAATATGCTTATAAAGACAAAAAGTGGTAAAATTATATTTAATGTTCAAATTTATTTAGCTGTAGTCTCTATAATTTCTGTACTTGAAATGGCTTTGGGCCACTGGCTGATCTATCTCTGAGGTCCAGATTAGCTGGTCAGTTTTCAAATGGCAATTTTATATTCCTTTGTTCAGATTCCAAGGGAGTTTAGGTTCAGCTCATGGTCTTTTGGAATGTTTAGAGATTATTGCCACCACTCCATAGCCAAGCTGACCAACTTTTGCTCACTTGTATCATTCTAGCCTTTCAGAACTATTTTCCCCATACACATGTGCAGTAATTCTAATAAAGGAGTTTTGCTTCTTCTGCAGTGTAGAGGTAATGGTAATGAAGACACCTGCATTGGAATCACAAACTATTCCTCAGAAAAATACATCAGACTACTAGAAATGTCATTCAGGCAGTTGATTTGAATAGCAAACTTGGGGAGGGAAGATTAACTGTGAAACAAAAATATACGAAACATTCAAATGCAGAACAAAGGGTCTATCCTACTAAAAATGCCCATGACATTAAACACTCCACAAACCCCCCATCTGTTGTTTTAACCTAAAAATTCTATTGGCTAACTTATACAATAATTTTGATTAATAACCTGAGAAGTTAAAATCTTGAAAGTGGCAAAAGCAAACCGAGAGAGCATCCCTTACTTATTGGTACCATGTTATCAAGTCACTTTTTCTGGGTAGCCCTGGTTATTAAATCTCCAAATTGTAAATTATACCATCTCTTCCTGTAGAAACCTGTATGTACATCAGATTCAGTATTTTGGTTGTTATTTCACCAACAGCAATTCCAATTTATCTTTGAAAATGCAGCCTTTATTCTTAGTTTTAAATAACAATAATCATGTAAGTGCAACTAACTTAGAATCCCTTGCTACTGGGAGTAAAAACCTAAATAACAAGTTAATAACGGATTCAGCCTCAAAAGGATAATCACCGTGTCAGACTACCCGTTCCTGGAATTTAAAAAGTGATTTATGTTGTGTAGTCAAGTTTCACAGCATGCATATATATATATATACACACACACACACACATATATGCTTATGTATGTATGTATATTATACATACACATTTCTATTCAAATAGTAAGATTCCATATTCAAAAGTTTGTATCACAATATATGGAAAAGAATTAAGTAGGCGGTGCAAAGCAACTTACTTTCTCCTAAAAATGTAATGTCATTCCTATATTTTAAGAAAGCTATGTAAGTATTTTGCTTTTATGACACTAGGTAGGAATGCTGCACCACTGCCCAGCAGCTTTATTAAACAATTAAAACAAAATGTTAAGATTGACCATTACTCTTCTCCATATATTGGGTAAAAAACTAAGAGGGAAGAGGAAAATCAGTAACCTTTCAAAACTGATGATCTTTATCAGCAGAACTAGACTGAATTTCATTACATTTTAGAATGAACAGCTCTCAACAACAAATTATCAAGATGTTTAAAAGATTCACAATTTGAAGTCTGAATAATGATACTGCAAAAACAAGTCAAGATTGCAGACAAAGCATCCAAAAATATCACTGTGGTTTTACCTTGGACACAACCATGGTCTGTTACAAAAGTAGGTCATACATACAAAGGTATAAAGAACATTAAGTTTTTAGCTGAAGGCAGCAGTCTGTTTAAAGGGACATCCCCGGCAATCCAATGAGTAGTAGAATTTAAGTATATTAAGCTCATGACAATGCTGAAGAATGCTGATGTCTTATTCAGTAGAGTCTTCCCCGACTACGATTTCCTCGTGTGCCCCAACCTCGGCCACCTCTACTTCCCCTGAAGGCTCCTCTCTGCTCTACGAAAAAGCGAACAAGGGTTTAGGTCTTGCTTAGGATTTCATGGTGCAGCAAACGCAGAAGAAACGTAGCTCATAACTCTGAATACAGCAGTAGGCCCTATAAGAACAGAACTAATATTCTGCTATTCAATCTACAAATTTAGCCTGTACATAAAACAAGAACAACATATATACTGAAGCACGTAAGGCAAGGTACCGACTACATTCATGGTAGTTGCTTAATTAAATGTATCCCAGTAACAAAGTTGTTTCAAGGTGATGTTACGATAACTACACTTTTTTTGGAGGGTCTTGCTGTGTTGCTCAGGCTGGAGTGCAGTGGTGCGTTCACAGTTCACCATAACATTGAACTTCTGGACTAGAGTGATCTTTCTGCCTCAGACTCCCCAGTAGCTAGGGCTACAGATGCACACCACCATGTTTGGCTATTTTTTTTTTTTGTAGAGACAGGTCCTCATTTTGTTGCCAGGCTGATCTCAAACTGCAGGCCTCAAGGGATCGTCCTGCCTCAGTGCTGGGACTACAGGTGTGAGCCACTGTGCCCAGCCCGTACACTTTTTAAAAAACTTAATTCTTCAAATTCACGAATAATAATTCTACATATTCGTGGGGTAGAATACTTTGATACAAAGAATGTACAGTTATCAGCTCAGGGTAACAAGCATATCCATCATCTCAAACACCTATAATTTCTTTGTGTTGGGAACATTCAATATTCTTCTATTTTAAAGTATATATTAACTATAGTCATGCTATAGTGGTACACAACACTAGGGCTTATTCCTATGTTATTTTGCATCCTCCCACAAATCTCTCCCTATCCCTTCCTTCCCCCTATCTTCTCAGCCTCTAGTATGCGCTGTCCTAATTTTTACTTCTATAAGATTAACTTTTTAAAACTTCCACATGAGTGAGAACATGCATTGTTTAATTTTCCATTGCTGGCTTATTTCACCTACTATAAAGTCCTCCAGTTCCTTCCATGTTGCTGCAAATGAAAGGACATTCTTTTTTTATGGCTGAATAGTATCCCATTGTGTATAATACCACATCTTGTTTAGCCATTCACCTGTTGATGCACCTGTTGATTCTGGGTTGATTCCATGTCTTGGCTAATGAATAGTGCTACAATAAACATGGGGGTGCCAATGTCTGACTTTTAATCATATGTAAATGAGATAAAATCTCTTCCCTGAACTTCCAACTTACTCATTGTGGTTTTGATGTGCATTACCCTGATGCTTAGTGTTTAGAATTTTTTCATACATTTATTGGCCATTTGTACGTCTTCTTTTGAGAAATGTCTGTTCAGATGATTTGCCCATTTTTAATCTAGATTTGTTTTGCTATTAAGATGTTTGAATATCTTCTATATTCTGAATATTAATCCTCTGTTGCATGAGTAGTTTACAAATATTTTCTCCCATTCTGTAAGCTGTCTTTTCACTGTTGATGGTTTCCTCTGCTGCACAGAAGCTTTTTAATTTGATATGATCCCATGTTTTTGTTGCCTGTGCTTTTAGGTCTCAGTCATAAAATCTTTTCCCAGACCAATGTCCTGAAGTGCTTCTTGTTTTCTCTTATGGTAGTTTTATTGTTTTAGGTCTTACATTTAGGTCTTTCATCCATTTTGAGTTGGTTTTTGTACAGGGTGGGAGGTGCGGATCTAGTTTCATTCTTCTGCATATGGATACCCAGTTTTCTCAGCACCATTTATTGAAGAGACTGTCCCTTTTTTTTTTGTCCCTCCAATGAGTATTCTTGCCACCTTTGTAAAAAATCAGTTGGCTGTAGATACGTGGATTAATTTCTGGTTCTCTGTTCTGTTCCATTGCTCTGTATCTATTTTTATGCCAGTATCAGGCTGTTTTGGTTACTACATTTTTGATTTATATTTTGAGATCTGGTAGTGTGATAACTCCAGCTTTGTTCTTTTTGCTCAGTATTGCTTTGGCTATTTGGGGTCTTGTGGTTCCATATAAATTTTAAGAATTTTTTTTGGTGGCAATTTCTGTGAAGAATGTCAGTTATTTTGATAGAAGTTGTATTGAATCTGGAGATCACTTTGGGTAGCATGGTCATTTAAAATATATTAATTCCTCTAATCCATGAGTACGGAGTGTCTTTCAATTTGTTTGTATCTCCTTCAATTTCTTTCATCAGTGTTTTGTAGTTTTCCTTGTATAGAAATATTTTACCTTCTTGGTTAATTTATTCCTAGATTTTTTTCACAGCTATTATAAATGGGGTTACCTTGATTTCTTTTTCAGCTAGTTCACTGTTCATGCATAGAAATGCTACTGATTTTTGTATACTAATTTTGTATCTTCTAACTTTTCTAAATTTATCAGTTCTATGAGTTTTTTGGTAGAGTCTTTAGTTTTGTTTTTATATATATAACATCATGTCATCTGCATAGAGAACAATTTGACTTCTCCATTCTAGTTTGGATGCCCTTTATTTCTTTCTCTTATCTACCTGCTCTGGCTATGACTTTCATGACAACTTCTTAGTTCTTTATTTATTGTCTATCATTACTAAAGGTAACTCATATAACTATGAAAAATATCTTAAATTATCAATAATCAATTTCGAAAATCAGGTTAGACTACAAAATGTCCCTTTGAATGCAATAAATATGCAATTTTTGTTTTGATCACAGTATTTCACGCAACTGGACTCACACAAATGTAGATCTAAAGGCTGAGTTTTTTTCACTGCTTTATCAGCTACATAAGCTTCTCAGAATACTGCCAAATAGGTGCTATGTGTGTATGTGCGTCTGAGTGTGTTTCAGCTACTGATATAAACTAAGCATATCTTTTGCTGAAAAATCAAGTCACTTGTGATGTACAGAACAAGAGTCTCTCATCCATTGGTCAGTCACTTTTATAGCCACAGAGAAATGGTCCTCAAAGGTGTCGTCCCATGAAGAAAACTGATCGAAGTTATCACAAGGCTGGACTTTTAATCATATGTAAATGAGATCAAATCTCTTCATTAACTTCTAAACTTCCTCATTATAGCAATCTTGTTAGCAACAATAGAGAGAGCTTGGTTTTGCTGTTTTTGATCCACAATCTTGGAGGCTTGAAAAATACCTTTTCAGTCAATTTTGCAATCAATTTTTTTGCCATTATGTCTTACTAGGGTGATGTCTTGATGTCTTTTTTGACCCCCCTTTCTGCAGAAAGAAAAGTAATTCAATTCTGAGACAGGAAACTCACTGGACCTTTCCCCAGTTTGGCTAATATTTATCTGTATAATAGAATGGGTCTGATTCAAAGTCACCTTCTTATGCCATGACACATTTTTTTACAAGCTGATTAGTATGCAAACCATTTGAAAATGAAATCATTGTGTTTATTATCCTAGTGAACACATTCAGAAAATCAGAGGTGGTTTCTCTGAGGGCAAGATGCTCCCAGAGACAGATGCAGTAACTATGGGAGCATTAAGGTAGTGCAGTAGCCTTTTGTGGGCCATGACTTCTGCATTTTTGACTGTTTAGACTTAGAGCCATCTATGCAGATGCCTGCACATTTCACCCTATCATACTCATTATTCACACCAACACACTTAACACTGTCATAGATACTATTATTAGCTTTAAGCTAAAAGACTATTACAATCCACTCTTTCAATTTTAATATGAATTCAGGTTACACTCTATTCAGCTGTACCTAATGAGGAAATTAAATACACTGTATGAAGGTACTATTTGACGTAGTTATCTTTTCTATATTGGCAAATGCTTTTTTTTTTTTTTTTTTTTTACCTCCAATTGATACAGCCATTTCTATAGTACAGAGATTCACCAAATTTTCTTCTTTTTGAAGAGCTTCATCCTAAAAAATACTCTGCATTTTCATGATCTTTTCAATAGTTTCAAGCTTACATTTTTTTTTTAATTCACTGCTCCCAGTTTAAATTAAACTTTAAGGATTATTTTTATATTCCAAAAAGTAAAGAACACAAGTCACAAAATGTAGAACATTTAGTACTTTTAGGTTACTGGGGAAACTTTGTGCACTGGAAGGAAAACTAAACGTGGGTATATGTTTATGAATGCACCGGGAAGTTGAACTAATTTGTGAGAACCAATACCATGTTTGTAAAGCAAAAAACAGAGACATTGGTTAGTAAAGCAATAAACTTGGATACTGAGAACTGCTTTTGTTTCAACAGGTGAAATAAAGTCAAGCAAATGCTTCAAATTTTGTTGTGAGAATACCTATGACCTGATCACATTAAATTCTCAAATGTAAAATAATTGCAGAAATTCACTCTTCTTTCTAATAAGAAGAATCAGATTTTAGTTTGCTTTTGCATGTTTACTTTGCTTTGCCCTTCTGTTATTTTGAAGACTGGGAATAACTGAAGTTGTGACTCGTGGATGTTTGTCTTGAGTAAAACTTTGCTTATGTTTCTCATGTTGACAGTTTTTTTGTGTCTTTTTAAAAAACACTGTATACAATCTAAAGTGTTAGATTTTTCACATTCTTTTTCCACATGCATTATATCACCTGATTCTCACTATTGAGCAGGCAATGAGTTTTACACAATAGAATCTTCATGTAAAATCAAATTGACTTGTCCAATAAAAAGGAGTACAATTCTTGTATTGCCATAGCTATTGATTACTTTCATTAAAGCCATTCTCCCAGTATCTGAGATAACTTTTGATTTTAAGAATGGTACTGTTAGACACATTAAATCATACAAGTGACAGAGAACAACATGTGATTCAACCAAGTAACGGAGAATCCTTTCCCCTTACAAAATACTTTCACAAATATTGTTATTAGAAGGCTGTAAGAGCTCTTACCTCATTTTTCAGATAAGAGGCAAGGAGATGCACATTTACATACTGTTATGTAAATAAGAGAGTTCAGTGATCATCCTTAAAGTAAAGGTGTCTCAGAGTCTGGAGGGGAAGGGTTCATTTCAGTCTAAAATTGGCTTTCTATATAATCTGTTTGTTCAGACATTAGAAGAATTCAACTGTTATAGAAGTAATTTAATGTTACAATTCTCTCACCTTGGAAACAAAATTACAGATATTATATGGTTCAGAATCTACTTTTTTTTTATTTTAAGAGACAGGGTCTTGCTTGGTCACCCAGCTGGAGTGCAGTCGCACCATCATAGCTTACAGTAGCTTTGGCCTCCTGGGCTTCAGCAATCCTCCTGCCTCTTGCCTCCTGAGTAGCTGGGACTATAAGTGCGTGCCACCATACCCAACTAATTTTTAAATTTTCTTTGTAGAAATGGGGTCTCGCTTTGTTCCCCAGGCTGGCCTCGAACTCTTGGGCTCAAGTGATCCTCCCACCTCGGCCTCCGAAAGTGTTGGGTTTACATGTGTGAGCTACCATGCCTGCCTAAACTTTGTCTTTTTTTTTTTTTTTTTTTTTTTTGAGACGGAGTCTTGCTCTGTCGCCTAGGCTGGAGTACAGTGGTGCGATCTCCACTCACTGAAAGCTCCACCTCCCAGGTTCAAACCATTCTCCTGCCTCAGCCTCCAGAGTAGCTGGGACTACAGGCGCCCGCCACCACACCTGGCAAATTTTTGGTATTTTTAGTAGAGACGGGGTTTCACCCTGTTAGCCAGGATGGTCTCGACCTCCTGACCTCGTGATCCGCCTGCCTCGGCCTCCCAAAGTGCTGGGATTACAGGCTTGAGCCACTGCCCCCGGCCTAAACTTTGTCTTCTTAAGCAAGGTAAGGAATTGACCTGATATTTCTCTCCATTCTTTTAAAAAAAAAGATCCATGAGGAAATAAGCCAATGAGAGATAAACTTTACTTTTGATTCGACAGCCGTGGGAGAGGATGGACTGGTATGAAGCTCTCCTGGCTCTAATGGCTAAAGGGGAATAGGAAGCACTGATAGGAGGATTGCATTCTGGGCAGAGGGAGAGACTGCAATAGAACACATCTTCCTTGCTAGATGATGCCTGAACATCTGACTCCACTTCTGTTATTTCTTTTTAACTAGCTACAGAAGATGGGAGTATAGGCAGCAGGCTGACTATGTCCAAGAAAGAGCATTTATACTATCTCTCAGAAGCTATACCCATCCCTGAGGGAGAATGCACAGAATGCCTTGCCTTGAAGCTGCAACTGGGAAAGCATGGAAAGAATGGTTCTGTCAACTTATTTTGTTTCTGTTGGTTCCTCTGAATACAAGAGGCATATTTTTCTTTAAGTGCTTACTGTTTAATGTTGCATGTTCAATACAGTCAGCCCAGAAGGGTGAATGAGAGAGGAATGGGATAAATCATTTCCTCAACAGCCCTAGTTCTCCAAGCTAATTCAGAAAAGTCATTGGATAGAACCATGACACTGTATATAATTACTAATTAAAATAAAGTATAACACAATTTCTGCCTAATCTCTCATATTCCTTGTACCCAAACGGAAACGCTCACCATAATTAAAGTTGCCCAAATTGCTGCTATATTTCCCACTGGGAGGGTTATAAATCTGCCTGGCATCTCTTTTTGGTCCTGCTGAAGATTTCTTGGGTGGTGAACCTGAAGTTGTATCTTCACTGGCTCTCTTTTGCCTGTAACAATAGGAAGAAGAGCAATTCAAAAACATTCTATTAAGCCAAAAGCTATCAATACATTTATAATTTAGCATATCAGTTAGGAAAGACATCCTAAAGAGGATAATCTCATCAGAAAAAAGGAATTAACATTTGATGTCATCAAATTAATTATAGTTTGGTTATGCAGACAATGTCAGAAGGCATTTACAAGCCTTTAAAATAATCTGAAATATGTAGCTTCACAGACTTACATGCAAGTGACTCACTTTACAAAACCTGTCAGAAAAAAATCTAGTTTTGCTACAGGAATACAAGTAAGGCTGAAAGTTCCAGCGTTGCCTCCCACCAGTTTATTTTTACAAATATTGAAATTAGATTTTACATTTTAAGTCATATTTCTAATAGTCATATTTAAACATGCTATTATGAATCATTTAACATTGCACCCTTTTGAACAGTAAATGTAACTCGTATTAAGTTTTGATAACACTTAAATCTCTTTTAAATATATTTCTTACCCAATCTCAACCTTTTGTACAGGTTTCCAGGATAGTGTTACTGTGCTCTTATAAGAAGGAGGAATGTGGAAGAGATCCTGCAGAGACAGAAATCAGGCAAGAATTCTAATGTATTTGTTGGTGGCAGGGAGTGGTGGTGAGGGTAGGAAACGAAGACAGATCTTAAAGATTCAATTTAGGAGACAGAGCTTACTGCAACAGAAAATTAAACAGGAACAATTTTGTTTACAAATCACATGTATTACCTCATTAACATAATTTTGTGCACATAACAAACTGTAGTGTAGCTAATTTTTTTCTAAATGTCAGTATACATTTCAGGATAAAATATATCAATATTTATCCACTTTAATAAACAAAGTCAGCAAATAAGTTTTGTTTCGGTTTGTTTTTGCACAGATGCAGTCACCATGGTGCTTTAAGGAAAATACAATGGTGCAATCTGCATGTGCTTTTGCAAATTTTTAAGTGGTTCAAAATTAGAAAAAAATCTAAAGCTTTACTGCCAGCACCATAGGAAAAGTAAAAACAAACAAACAAAAAAAACCACTAAAACTCTGGCTAATCATGTTTCCCCGTGCCCTATGAAATATCTATAAATTATTAATAAGGCAAAAAAAACCGTGTAAGATTTAAATACCGAGTGATCAAAGTGGTAGGAATGCAAATGTTTGCTGAATGTGTTAAAATAACCTGGAATTCAAATAATCTAACCTGATAATATCCTCACAACTGAATAAATTGCTAAACACATTTATTCTTAGTAATACTCTTACCAGCTTTACCTTGATTTTTTGTATATAGGTAAAATTCAATAAAAGTAAACTTTTCTCCCAGTTAAAATGAGTATACTAATAAAAAATCGTCCCTGGTATATAAACTTAAGTCCAGCGTACTATATAAAGTAGGGAATTGGCCAATGCAACATGCTTTGAATAAAAAATGCTTGAGGTTTCTAACTGGAGTGATTTTGCATATTATAATGTTAACTGAAAAAGGGACCACATGAAGAGGAAACGGCAAATCTTCAATTATAAACATGTTAAATCTCAGAAGACAACAGGAAAATGGCGTATAGTTTGGGGATTCATTAAAATAAAAATGAAGTTGTGAAATTAGATGAGTCTGCCTGGTAGGTAAAGATTGCAAGAAATGTCAAGGATGGATTAAAACATACCTATGTTCTCCCAAAAACAAAAAATTTATCATGTCACATACTTCTACCCAACTTAAAAACATTTCAAGATTTTCAGGTAAGGCACTTGTGATACTATGTAATATATACAGTTTGCCCACTGTGCCCATGGTTCCTGCATCTGTGGATTAAAGCAACTGTGGATGGAAAATATTCAGAAAAAAACTGCATAAAATTCTAAAAAAGCAAAACTTGAATTTACTATGTTGAATCCTCGAGAATGAAGTGATGTGTAGGTACTGTATTAGGTATGTAAAAATAAAATTTCAGGTTCTCCCAAATTTATTACACCAATGGGAAAAGTTAACTCCTGGAAACCGACTCATGGCTGTTTTCTTCTCTGATGCATGACCGTTGCCTTCCTGACCTTTGTGTTGAGATTGCATGAACCAGAGTCTACTCTTTACTTAAACCTAGACTAAATGAGGGAGATAGAGACCACTGTGACTGTTACCTCTTTACAATAAAATGTTAATCCTCTTAGAGTGTAATCAATAGTAGCCAATCATGTATCTATCTGTTAATCAATAGTAGCCAGTCATATATCTATCTGTATTAATGTATTAATAGTAGCCAGTCATATATCTATCTGTATTAATGTAATCTATCTGTATTAATGTAATCAATAGTAGCCAGTCATATATCTATGTTAGCCTTTGTATAGAAAATGTCATTCTTTTTAGCACCTCAGTTTATGCCTGTATCAGTTTTTGCCCATATAAACAATCCTCATTTTTCCCCATACTAGGAGCACTGACCAGCATTCTTTGGTGTAATTCTGCTCCCCAGATGGCCAATCTCACACTTTATACCTAAATAAACTCTTTTAATTGGACCCTGAGACTTTTAATTATTTTAAGTTGATAAGTATGATAAGTAATCTAGAGATGCTTTAAAGTATAGGGGAGGGTTTGTGTAGGTTATACGCAAATACTATGCCATTTAATGAGGGTTAATCTGAGGGTTTTGGTATCCATGGGGGTCCTTCAACCAATCCACTTTGGATACAGAAGGCCTGTATTGACTGCATTTTGGTTTTTGTCCATGATTCCTGGCTCATAGCTCCAATAATTCTTGAAATTTCCTAAGTGACTAGAGCAATATGAATATCTTTTGCTAAAACATTTGGCCCTTTGTTACTGTTTCCTGAAAAGTTCCAGAGCAATAAAGGTGAAAGACAATCTTTTATTTTTAAGAAGCATCTTTCAACCACACCTGAGTTTATATTAATGAGGTGATTTTTGGAAAGTCTCTAGATAACCACAGGATGGGGGAGCTGACTGCCTGGGGAACCAACCACATACTTACAGGGTCGGAACTCAGTCCAACCCCACCTCCAGGGAGGAGAAAGGGGCTGATTTAACACCAATAAAGGTTTATCTATCACTGATGGCCAATGATTTAATCAATCATGCCTATGTAATGGAGCCTCCATAAAAACTGAAAAGGACTCTGTGTGTGTGTGTATATGAGAGTGAGGGGGGTTGGGTGTTCCAGGATGGAATATGAACAAGAACACACCCACGTGCTGGGAGAGTAGTACACCCCAACTCCATAGGGATGGAAACTCCTGCACTCAGGACTCTTCAAGACCCCTCCCTATGTATCTCTTCATCTGGCTGTTCATATGTATCCTTTATAATAAACCAGTAAACATAAGTAAGTGTTTCCCTGAGTTCTATAAGCTGCTCTAGCAATTTAACCAAACCTAAGGTTTGGTTAAATTGTGGGAATCCCCATTTATAGCCAGCCAATCAGAAGCATGGGTAAAACAACTTGGAGCTTGCAACTGTCATCAGAAGTGGTCTTGTGGGACTGGGCCCTCAACATGTGGAATCTGATGCTACCTCTAGGTAGATAGCGTCAGGACTGAATTGGAGGACACCCAGCTAGTATCCACTGCAGAACTATTTACTTACTTGATGTATGGGGAATAACTTCCACCCATCTGGTGTTAGAAGTGCACTGTGAGAGTATAGCAGGAGAAACTGACTTTATTCCTATATTCACAGAGCACTCTACACACAGGTTGCTGACCCTATTCATCTCTCTTTCCCCTATACCTTCCTTTAGATAACTTACAGATTCTTGAAAAGAACATTTTCTCATCTGCATGCAGGTAATAAGCATTTGCTAAGTTTAAAATGTTCTTAACACATTGTATATTCAACATAGACTTGTATCAGCGGTTCAAATAAAGTCAAATCTCACATTTTTATATATGAATTTACTATGCAAAATAATTATTTGTATTTAAGATTTGTAATAAATGGCAGCTATTGGAAACATTTCCTTAGGAGATTAGTATAATATTCTTACCTCTTCTGTGTTTAATGCCTTTTCAGTTTTCTACTTGGCACTATGATACTCCTTCCTCAACATCTAATCACTGCTGCTTTTTCTCAAATGCTTCCCTCTCTCTTCTGATACAAACTGCAGCTGACCCTTGTACAACTTGAATTTGGACTACATGGTCTCACTTATACGCAGATTCTTTCCAATAAAAGTTACACCTAGTGTGCCTGCCTCTCCTTCCACCTCTTTTGCCTGCTACCCCTGAGACAAGACCAACCCCTCCTCTTTCTCCACCTACTAAATGTGAAGACAACAAGGATGAAGACCTTTGTGATAATCCACTTCCACTTAATATTTTCTCTTCTTTATAATAAAACATTTTTTTCCTGCAGCTTTATTGTAATACAGTACATAATACATATAAAAAATGTGTTAATTAACTGTTTATGTTATTGGTAAGGCTTCTTGTCCACAGCAGGCTATTAGCAGTTTTTTAAAATGATTTTTTATAAAGCCAAATTTAGCATTGGCAGGGGGGTTGTATACCAATTTTGGTGATGCTAATGTTAATAAGTTCTGATAACCCACTACCATTGTACCAGCCAGTGGTTGTTTTGGGGGAGTCAAAAGGTATACATGGGGTCCGTATCCCTAAGCCCTTCATTGTTCAAGGGTCAACTATAATTATTCTGTATCATTTTTACATTAGCTTTAAGGCATACTAGTCCCAATTTTTGTTACTGGCAGGCTACTGCTCTAGGTGTTACAAATACTGTTTCTTTTTCCCATCTGGCACAATACAATTAAGCTGTAACTGTATTGTATAATATAATACAAGTGATGGCTACTTTGTGATTTTTTTCTGGTTCTCTCAGGTTATTATTTTTGTTTAGGCTAGCAGATACTTGGGAAGGGTAAACAGAATTGAAAAGTAATTATGGCTTAATGGAAAGGTATACCCTAGCCTACAGTACAGAAAGCTCTCAATTTATTACATAGTCAAGTTTATAAAAAACAAACACAGAAAAACATTTCATTGTGCTACATACCACATGTCCATTCTTAAGAGTAAGCAGAACAGGGATTTACTGGACATTCAAAAGAACCCAACAGCTAATTAAGACCACTAGAACTTAAGTCGCTGAAATTTCTGAGACTGTATCTATCTGTTTCAATGCTTTGAGCCAGAAGAAGTTTGCATGCCTCCCTTTGTTGGAAGTATCTTATGCAAAACTTTTAAATAAATAAATGTATGATTTTATGGTAACTGCAGAAATGTCACTTGGTATTACAGACTTACCTTGATTAAAACATTGATATTGTTTGTTATTTTCAATGCAACGACTTTAATCTTGTTCTACAAAGGGAAAGGAAAATTAAGACAAATTGCCAATAACTTCTATGAGGCATAATCCATTCTGTCATAGAACTAGAGTAATTACACTTCTATCAGAATCACCTCTACAGTCTTTACAGAATTCCTTGGTTTAAATCTATAGATAATGCGTATTCCTATTGCTTGACTCTAAACAAATCTAGATGTAGCAAAGAAAGCAAATAATCTGTGTTCCCTTGACAGGTTAGAATGTAGCTAAAAAATGAGTAAGGTCACATGCACATAGAAGTTGTTTTAAAATAAATCAGTTTAAGTTATAGGAACATAATAAAAATCTAAAATATTTCATTAGGACTGGGATGAAGACTGTTAAATTAGGTGAGATAAGGGAAAATGAAAAACTCCCAACACAAGTCTATATAGTTTGGTATGGAACTAGCAGTTTATGAAATGTGAGCCAGTATTCTTACCTCTTCTGTTTTTAAGGCCTCACCCGTTTTACCCTGGAGAGCTAAGCGAAGTTGTCTGATATAAACTTGCAGGCCCCGTGCAAAGTACTGCAGCCTAAATGAAAATGTATTTGTTAATTAGCAATTCATCACTTCAATTTTGTTTTTAAACTCAATCTTATACTACAGCAAAATGATCCTAAGTGCAGAAATGGTTACATGACCAGTAAATTAAAGAAGAGAATTTTAAGTTGCTTGTTTCTGATTAAGAGCTTCATCAAGTATCAAACTTCTGCCTTACCACACAGTACAGGACAGTAACAGGTAACACATGGCTCAAGCATTTCAAAATTTAAAATGTGAATTTGTTAATGGAACAATTCAATAAGCAGTGTCTTTGTGAAAACTATTTACATTGACTTCTCCAGTGCTGCTTCTCCAGTAACACTAAGGTATTATTAATAACAACAGCTACAGTTTACTAATACCTACTATTTGCCAGGCACCATGCTAAAAGCTGTACATTCATTGTCTTATTAAATTCTTACAACTCTATGAGGTAGGTACTATTATCACTTAACAACTGAGAAAAATTTGGGGGAGCCAAGAGAGGTTAGGGTACCTGCCCAAGATCATAAAACAAGTAGGAAGAGCTAGAGTCCTTTACCCCCCATGGATTTGTTAAGTCATTTCTGTCTTTTAATTTTTTTTAAATTTTACTTTTACTGTTTCTTTTTTCAGAGACATGATCTCATCGCCCAGACAGGAGTGCGGAGGCATGACTGCAGCTGACCGTAACCTCGAGCTCCTGGGCTCAAGTGAGCCTCCCATCTCAGTGTTGCAAGTAGCTGGGACTACTGGTGTGTTACCACACTCCGCTAATTTTTTTAAAGTTATTTTTTATAGAGACAGGATCTTACTATGTTGCCCAGCTGGTCTCAAACTCCTGGTGTCAAGCAACCCTCCTGCCTTGGCCTCCCAAAGTGCTGGGATTACAGACGTGAGCCACCATGCCTGGCTCATTTCTGTCATATGTTTACAAACATGCCCATTTTCTGAACCCTCCAATCTGTATCACTGGGGTAAGGCAGGATGGGGAGCTCTCATAGAACAAAAGCAAAACCCAAGGAACTTCAGGATAGCTACCACCTTTGCCAAGGATTGAGCCACCTCAATCATATATCACCTGATTTTGAAATCTTTGAGCTTTTCTGCATTCAGTTTGGCTGTTAAGAAATCTGGAAGTTTTCGGCCCAACTGGTGAAAACTGTACAACAAACATTCCACATAACTGAACTGTAGCTTGGGTTCTTCATTACCAGCATTCTCTCCATTTTCTGCCTCTTCTGGAGGGAGGGGCATGTATTCCTAAGAGAGAAAAATATACAGATTTTGCAATCTGTTCTACATATTCAAATTATAAACAGATATTCAGGGAATTACAGTGCATGTTTTTAAGGCATGGAGCATTAAAAACTACCAAAACCAGACATTTGGATTTCTTTTTTACTTACTGGATCAATGCTCTAGCCTGTCAACGCTCCATATTAACCTGTTACAGCTGCTGTTACAGCTGCTATTATTAATAATGAAGATTAATGTAGCTATCATTTATTAGGCACTTACAGATAAAGGCACTGATGCTCTGAGAGTTAGGGTAACCTTCCCATGGTAACAAAGTTAATAAACTAAAGAGTCAGAATTCAATCTAGATTTGACATCAAATGCTGATGCTCTTAACAACTATACTATGCTTACTACAAAAATATTTTCTGAACGTAAGTCCATATTGTTTAAGTACTGACTCATTACAAGTGAAGTACTGCCAATGGCATTCAGTATCAGTGCTATAACAACCCAGTAAGTTACATCTGGACGAGTGCCAGATGTTGATGACTCAATTCATGCTAAGGACCTAATGCTTATCACTGTGTTAGTTATACAAATACATCAAATAAGAAAATCACTCAGTGATGCTGATAATGATTTTATCAGATGGCCTATTTTCTCCCTAATTATAAGAAACACCAAGATTAAAACAAAGTAGACAACAACATGTGGCCTAGGAAGCTAACAATACTTATTAGGATTATTGTTTAATTGAAATTTCAAAAACTGGTTCTTGTAATCTAGAAATTAATAATAAATTAGACTTTGAGCTATATACTGACTATCCCATAAGGAAAGGAAAAAGTTCTTACCAATAACTTATCAAATAGTTTCCTTAAATTTGTTTCTAGTTTTTCCATGTCACCACAAAATGAACTCATCTCCGCCAACAATTTCAATACCTAAAACACACAATTCACTATTACTGTTTTTTTGAATAAGCAAGGGTTATGAAATGAGAGTAATTCTAGATAACGATTTAAGACTTTATTTTCAATTATGTTTTCACAGAATCATAACATTTGAAATGGAAGAAAACCTTAGAGATAGATGCAGCCCAACATTTTACTGTGAAGGAAAGTAAAGGTCAGAGATTATGTGACTCGACAAAGTCACAGGGTGTAAGTGGCAGGGCAGACCCTAAAACCCAGATCCCATGATTTCCAATATATCTGTGAGAAGAAGTATGGAAAATAATACATACGACACTTTCTGCTACAGGTTAATGATTGTGCTAATTGCAAGGCAAAAATGATAAATATATTAACTATAAAGACACACTTAGTAAGAACTCTCAACAGCTAAGAACTAATTACTCATGGTTAAGGTGGGCCTCATTTCCTGTTAAATTTAGTCTCTGGATACTTACTCAAAATATTGGTAATGACCACTATTCTCAAGGTTCATTCCTGCATTTCCCAATCCCAGTCTGATGGGCCTAGCCCAGCACATTTGAAGCAAACTACCTTGTCAGTGCACAGTGAGATTCTTCTCTATCCCAAAGACCCATGAGGGAAATGGCACACGCATTTCCATATTTCAGTCCAATTCAATAATCACTATTGGGTGCTTGATTCAAAATCAAGTTTTGTGCCAGATTCTGGGGATACAGAGGTGAATCAGATTAAATGTAGGGAGAGATTATAAACAAATGTAAAGTATTACAGATGCTGTGAAAAAATGTTTACATACATTACAGTTGAGATACAAAGTTGGGAGGGGTAGTGAATTCTATTGAAGAAGGAATAAAGGATATTTTGTGTTAATCCAGTTTAAAATTGGCTCTGTCAGTTATGGATAGAAATGAATGAATTAAACACCTTATTTAAAAATATTAAGGCTACAAAAGTAGAGACTGACTATAATAAAACTACAGGTAAGGCTTTCCCATTGCAGCAAACTTTAATTGAATCCATGAAGCAGTCCTAATGCAATTAATTCTGGTCTAGGGAGATTACTGGCTGGCCATTACCAGACATTTAAACTGCTCCCTTAGAAATCGGATCTAAGTTAGTGGTTTACATTTTTGTTAAAATATAAGAATGCCTTATCAGTGCTAAAGCTGAAATTTTTGCTTACCTCCAACTGTATATCAAGACCTTCCACTGGGGTAGTCAAGGTACCGAGGTTAGGGAGAACCTGCTCACAGAAATATGTCACAAACCTTGTGGAATGGACATTTTTCTGTAAGAAATCCAAAGAAAATGCATTGTCGAAAAACAAATATTCGCTCAAATATTATAGCAGAATTTCATTCAATAAATGCTGAGCGCTACAGCATCAAGTATTCTGACTACAAATACGATATAGTGCACACCCCAGCATGCCCCAGATATAACCTCAATAGGTGATCTACGAAGGGGCTTCAATAAGTTCATGGAAAAATGGAATAAAAAGATAAAGAATAAAAAATATAAACTTTATTTATCAACATAAGCTCCATCAAGGTCAAGACACTTTTGCAGGTAATGATACCAGTCATCTCTGAACAACTGAGGGTCCTGGGAACTTAACCATGTCAATGCAGTCTTTTTTATACTATTAACCAAAGAAATGTGGGTGCCCTTTAAAGATGTTTTTTAAGATTAGGCAACAAAAAGAAATCAGAAGGGCCCAAATAAGGACTTTAAGGTGGATGCCTAATGATTCCTCATCAAAACTCTTAAAAAATTGTCCCTGTTTGATGAGAGGAATGAGCAGGAGCACTGTGGCGGTGGAGAACTCTGGTGATGCTTTCCTAGGCGTTTTCCTGCTCAATCTTTGGCCAACTTTCTCAAAACAAGCTCATAATAAGCAGACATTATTCTTTAGCCCTCCAGAATGTCAACCAGCAAAATGTCTTGAGCATCCCAAAAAACTGCCATAGCCCTTCCTCTTAACTGGTCTCTTTTTGCTTGGACTGGGCCCTTTTCACTTCCTGGCAGCCATTGCTTTGACTGTGTTTTGTCTTCAGAATTGCACTGCTAAAGCCATGTTTCACCTCCTGTTCCCATTCTTCAAAGACATGCTTCAGGATCTTGATCCCACTTGTTTACAATTTCCACTGAAAGCTCTGTTCTTGTCTGCAGCTAATCTGAGTGCAATGGTTTTGACACTCATCAGTAGGAAGTTTGTTAAACTTCAATTTTTCAGTCGGAATTGAATAAGCTGAACCAACTGAGATATCGATGATGTTGGCTATTGTTTCTGCTATTAATCATCGGTCTTCTTCATTTAGGGCATAAACAAGATTAAATTTTTCCTCGCAAATTGATCTGCTGCAATGGGCTTTGACGTTGTCTTGTCCCTTCTTAAAATGAGTGATCCATTTGTAAACTGTTGATTTCTTTGGGGACATTGTCTCCATAAACTTTTCATAAAGCATCAATGATTTCACTATTCTTCCACCAAGCTTCACCATAAATTCGATATTTGTTCTTGCTTCAACTTTAGCAGAATTCATGTTGCTCTGATAGGTGCTCTTTTCAAACTGATGTCTGACCCTTCTTAGTTCCTCAAACTATATCCTGTTCAGACATGTTATAAGTACAAGTTTATTTTGGTGAAAAATGTTTTGTAATCCATGCGTAGTTTTTTTTTTTTCTTTCATAATATGCATTTTCCAGGAACTTTTTGAAGACCCCTTATATACTTTACTGCAAAGTCATCTGGAGCATTGGAACATCTATACATTTTGATCTCTTCCTTGATTCTCTGGTCAAATTTGGGGCATGGCCAGGCATGGTGGCTCATGCCTGTAATCCTAGCACTTTGGGAGGCTGAGGCAGGTGGATTGCCTGAACTCAGGAGTGCGAGAGCAGCCTGGGCAACATGGCAAAACCCCATCCCTACTAAAAATACAAAAAATCAGCTGGGTGTGGTGGTGCTTGCCTGTAATCCCAGCTACTCGGGAAGTTGAGGCACGAGAATTGCTTGAATCTGGGAGGTGGAGGTTGCAGTCAGCCAAGATCATGCCACTGCACTCCAGCCTGGGGGATGGAGCGAGACTCTGTCTCATAAATAAATAAATAAATAAATAAATGAATTGTGGACATCTTTTAGTGTTGGATTTTCAGACTGCACATTTCTCAAAAGGGATAATTCTATTACTTAATTTTTTTTGTAGAGACAAGGTCTTGCTCTGTTGCCCAGGCTGGTCTTGAACTCAGCCTCAAGTGATACTCCCACCTTGGCTCACAAAGTGCTGGGATTGGGATTACAGGGACGGGCCACCACGCCTGCTCTAGGATAGTTCCTTTAAATTGTGTTTTTCAAATGAATGTATGCACATCCCAGAAGATGCATGGCCTCAGGAAACACAAAGCCTGAGACAGAATGCAAAATTCTCATGACTTTCAAAAAAAGTCTCTAGGAAGACTTAAAAAAAATTTATTGGCCACTCATGGTGGCTCACACCTGTAATCCCAGCACTTTGGGAGGCCAAGGTGGGCAGACTGCTTCAGCTCAGGAGTTCAAGACTAGTATGGGCAACATGGGGAAGCCCCGTCTCTACAAAAAACACAAAAATTAGCCGAGTGTGATAGTGCATGACTGTAGTAGCAGCTACTTGGGAGGCTGAGATGGAAGGAAGGCTTGAGCCTGGGAGGTAGAAGCTGCAGTAAGCCAAGATCGTGCCACTGCACTCCAGCATGAGTGACAGGGCAAGACTCTGTCTCAAAGGAAAAAAAAAATTCTTTCTTTCAAGAAAGTTTCTTGCTGCTTTGGGTTCTCACCAACACCACTGTGGCCTTCATAAACACAGACCAAGCATCCCTCATCTGAAAATCCCAAATCTGAAATGCTTCAAAATCCAAAACTTTTTGAGCACCAATGTGATGCTCAAACATCACGCTCAAAGGAAATGCTCATTAAAGCATTTCAGGTTTTGGATTTTTGAATTAGGGATGCTCAACCAGGCACAATGCAAATATTCAAAAATCTGAATACACTTCTGGTTCCAAGCAAGCATTTCAGATAAGGGACACTACTGGAAAGGTTTAAGGGGAATGTTAAAGTGAGTATTTATGGAAATATATATATAGCTAATACCGGGTGTGTAAAAATAAAGAGCTCACAGAGAAGAGGGGTACTGCCTGCCGAGTGCACTGTAAGAGCCTGTCCACACAGTCAGGATCCGAGGGATTGAAGGTCTGTTCTAGGTCGGCCTGTTCAGCCACCAACTCTACAAGTTGCTGTCTTCCACTCACTGTCTGTAAGCTTTTTAACCCAGACAGTATCTTCATAAATAGAACAAATTCTTCACCAGTCACATCTTCTAGGACCTGGAAAAGAGACAATTCAGAATAAGAGTATGTTCATCATTTGAATGGGACAGATCAACACTGAAAGAGAATAGCTAATTTATTTCAGTTACTAAAGTCAGTTTGTTATTAATGCTTCCAAAATACTGACGAAAAGGCAACTTCTAGCTTCAGTCAATTGAGCTTCAGTGTAAACCACGCATTCTCCAAGGGGGCAAAAATTGGTTCTTAGAAAATGTTACTTTTTTACGTACAAAGCACAGATATACATGTAGTACCATAAACAGATATACAGTGTATATGTGGCATTAAAATTTCATGGGAGAGCAGTTAAGAAAAAAAAAAAATTAAAAAAATTGGCTATTTAGGGGAGTGACTTTAAAAAATGGTTGGAAAAATTCTGTAGCAAACTGTTGAATCAGATTGTATCCTATATTTAAAAGCAGCCTAATTCATATTAATATGGTAATTGTTGTATACAAAATAGGTCACCTTGCAAGTCTCATGTTAAATCTTCCATATCAGTGGGTCTAAATCTTTCTATTCATGGACCAAAAAAGCTCACAATCACGACATACTCTACCAGATTACAAGCTGGGGCATAGGTAAAATAGTCTGATACTCCCAGCTAAAGATCTACTTTTTTCTCACTGAAAAATAATCTTATCAATAAGGAAGTGGGTAGTAGTAGTCTGAAATTTCTAAAGCCTGAACCATAACAGTGATCACATGCTTTAGATAAAATGCTGAATCTTCTGTAACATATTAAAAAAGTAAACTATTCCCAAACTTTGGCACATTAAGATGAGTGAAAAGTTAATTGTGACGCACCTTGCCAATCTTAGCGTCTACAACTATGCTAGATGCTGGGAGCAAAGACAAGCATGGTCTCACCCTTGAAGAGCAGATAGTGTCAAGGGCTAAGGTGACAACAGGTCATTTTGATGTGATGTTTCATTTTGAAATAATTTAGAATACTATGAGAGAGTATCCTAAAATGGAAGGGAGGGGTAGGACTTAGGGAAAGTTTCCTGAAGGAGGTGATTTGCAGAGGTTGCACAAATTTTAAGGACACTACCACGAAAAGTTTAAATGTAATCAGATTCCTTTAAATTACCAAATTGATTCATCATTACCACCGACAAAAGTGCTAAATTCAATCTAAGAAAAACTTAGAAGTTCTATGGTGGTTCCAATGGGATATATGATATATCATTTTATACACAAGCCACACATAACATTGACGAATACTGCCAATGTCAAGTATGCTCTTTTGCTTTAGAGAATTTCCACCAAATGAAGACCAAAGCTCACCTTTTTGGATTCAGTTAGTATAAGCTCTTCCACTTCCTTTGTTAAGACTTCATCTGGTAAAGTCTTAAGTTTTGTAGAAAGGAATTTAATTGCTCGTTCTCTAACAATGTCCTCTCCTTGAAGTATTTGGCTGAACAACCCACCTAAAGTCCCTGCAAAACAAAATAGTTGCCTGTAGCAAGTCAATTCTATAGTGTAATGGTGTTTTCCCATTTAACTCAATTTATAGTATTTCTTCTCAAATAAGTTAATGAACTTCCCAAATATCATCCTCATTACTAGTTAAAAGTAGTCTGAAATTTCTACAGCCTGAACCATAAGAGTGCTTTCTTCATGAAGACATAGTCAGCTTAAGCATGACTTTCCTTTTTTATCATTACTAATAATAAAACCCAGGTATTTTGGAAGAATTTCTTGAAAGTGTCAAAAGGAGTTCTTCCAACAGATTTCTAATGGAAAAACGTGATCTGTTTTTGCAGTTATTTCTGCTCGTTTTTCTAGTCATAAACATCTTGACCTAAGGAGACTTTTTTCACAATACTTAGAATTTTTATGAAATAGAACTCTGGGTAAACCCTAGAGTTTATTCTTAATGAGTAACACCTAACTTTGTGATTCTGTAAGACATCAAACACAATTCAGAATAAGAACTGGCCTTACCTTTTGCATCCATTTTAAATATACTTAATAGGGCATTGTTCACTAGGTTAAATTCTGCAGAGTCATCTGGATAAAGAAAAAGTGGCATAATGAATATAAAACAAATTTAAAATATCATCTGCTTCAGTTTCAAACTTGATTCAACTTAGTTTCTCAAGGTTACATTGACAGGAAACTTATAACTTAAGCCATTCCCTCAAGTACCAAAAAGATACGTGTTCCTTGTAAGTTGAGAACCCGATCTGGCATGCCTGAAAAACTTTTATTAAGATGCTACAATTATGAAACTACAGGAAATTGGGGGAAAAATTATGATATATCAAAATGCCCAAAAGAATCTAGTCATTACACCTTCATAACGGAATTAAAAACAAAACAACACCAGGAATTAGATAACCAGAAATCATTACACTTTAACTACTGAATGAAAGTAGGAAATTTAATCTCTATCAGAGGTAGGACCTCCAGCTCTCCTGCACCCCATTTAAAACCTAAAAACAGAGTCAACATTTCAGAAAGAAGATATATATTTAGAGAAAAAGGTAATAATAAAATCCCTTACCTGTCTGCAAAAGTTGCGTTAGTATATCTGCCACTCGAGGAAGATTTTCTCCAGTGGCAAATTGAGGCAGTTCTTTAATTGCTTGACGTCGAATCTGGGCATGATTTCAAACAAAAATTAACCAAATACTATCACCTTTAAAATAACAAACAGCTTTTTCTTTTCTTTCTTTTTTTTTTTTTTAAAGACAAGGTATTGCTCTGTTGCCCAGGTTGGAGTGCAGTGGTGCAACCATGGCTCAATGTAGCCTTGACCTTCTAGGCTCAAGAGAGCCTCTTGCCTTAGCCTCCCTAGTAGCTAGGACTATAGACGCAAGCCTCCACGCCTGGCTAATTTTAAAGGCGGATTTCCCTATGTTGCCCAGGCTGTTCTCGAACTACTGGGCTCAAGTGATCTTCCCACCTCAGCCTCCCAAAGTGTTGGGATTACAGGCATGAGTCACCATGCCCAGCTGCAAACTCAACTTTTTAAGAAAACTAAAACCACAGAGAAGCCATCATTAGGGGCATACGAGTCACAAAAATATGAAACAGCAGATTTCTAGCAGTTTTAAAAAGAATTTGCTCCAATTGGCCGGGCGTGGTGGCTCACACCTGTAATCCCAGCACTTTGGGAGGCTGAAGCAGGTGGATCACGAGGTCAGGAGTTTGAGACCAGCCTTGCCAATATGGTGAAACCCTGTCCGTACTAAAAATACAAAAATTAGCCAGGCGTGGTGGCACACGCCTATAGTCCCAGCTACTTGGGAGGCTAAGACAGAAGAATCGCTTGAACCAGGGAGGCGGAGGTTGCAGTGAGCCAAGATTGCACCACCGCACTCCAGCCTGGCCAATAGAGTAAGGCTCCTTCTCAAAAAAAAAAAAAAAAAAAAAGAGAGAATTTGCTCCAATTTAATCTTCAAGTTACACAGAATAAAATATAAAAAGGGATGTTAACAATGTCTCGCTGAAGGAGACAGATTTGAGATTATAAACAACTATTTACATGCTAATTATATGCAACTGTTAGGTTTTTACTACCTATGGGCTTATAATATAGTATTCCTAAAAAATGGCTACTGTGGCAATGTTATACCTAGTAACTGTTTACTTTAGAATTTTCAGTATTGACTACTAAATACAACATTTGTGGCTATATTCTGCATGTTTAATTCCAAATACTGATCTTGGCTTATTCGATTTTTACATAAAATATGTACAGCGGGCCAGATGAGGTGGCTCACGCCTGTAATCCCAATGCTTCAGAAGGCCAAGGTGGGAGGATAGCTTGAGGCCAGGAGTTTGAGACCAGCCTGGACAACATGGCAAGACCCTACAAAAAAATTAAAAATCAGCTGGGAACGGTGGTCTGTGCTGCTTGGGAGGCTAAAGTGGAAAAAAATGCATGAACCCAGGAGTTCAAGGCTGCAGTGAGCTATGGATGTGCAACTGCACTCTGGTCTAGGCAACAGAGTGAAACCCTGTTTCTATTAAAAAAGCAAAAAAAGTATAGGGTTTATATCCAGCAAATTCTGCATGAAATGTTGGCAATTCGCTGTTTCATCTGAAAAGACAAGAGCTAACGGCTGAATATTCTTAGGAACCTGTGTCAGCAGCCAGAAATATTACTGGTTAATTCTGTTCCAAAAAACCCCCCAAAAACCAAAAAACAAAAACTATTTCTTTTTAATCTAGTAATCCTATTCACTTATTACACATACCATTTTTCTGCCATGCAAAATATATAAGGGTAGTGAAACTACATTTTATGATATAACACTTAATAATTTAAATATCCAAGTAAGCACAAATTGATTAAAAACAGTCTAATTTCATATGCACAATGAATAACAATCTATGAAACAAGATGTGAGCCACAACCCATTTTTAACAGTGGATAAATGATAAGCGAAACTAAGTATTTTGAGATTCTATGCATTTTTCATAATTTAAAGGTGTTGAAAAAGGCTAATACACTTTATCATATGTAAATTTAAGCCTGGGTGTGATGCCATGCCAGACCATACCATAGTATTTTATTGTGTACTCTGATATATCAGATTGCTACTCCAATTGTATCAGCCACATACAGAAACATCTGAAAGATTGCTATGAAGTGTCATTCATAAACTTACAGATACATCTTCATCCTCACAGAGGTCTAACTGTGCATTGATAGCAGAATCAGCCAATTCTGGAAAATGCTTAA
The DNA here is from genome assembly GCF_000001405.40 of Homo sapiens. Taxonomy (NCBI): domain Eukaryota; kingdom Metazoa; phylum Chordata; class Mammalia; order Primates; family Hominidae; genus Homo; species Homo sapiens. Next base: position 43,318,727 of record NC_000011.10, on the reverse strand, counting down.
AGAATTTCGGAATAAATTGAGCTGCTAATCGCTTTTCCTTAGTACCACCTTTCACACCATCCAATATCACTTGATAGGCATCTTTATGCTGAAATAAAAAATAAAGCAGGAAAGACACATGATTTTGAAGGATGGGAAGCAAAGTAAAAGACCATAACAAACATGTTAGAGTGTGCTTTAAATTTTTACACAGGCTAAGAAATAAAGCTGATTTTGGGAGGTTTACTGCTCAAACTGACACTTACCTTCCCAATTCCGTTCTCCCTCCATCTTTGTTTCATTTTTGAGTTGGGGGAGATGGATGAGTCTAATTTTAAGTGGAAAAAGCAAATGTGTTTGTTAATATGCCAATACTTCTTCATTCTAGTGATTATTAACTCTGGCCATGTGACTGTATCATGCTTAAAAAATTTGTAATGGGCCAGGCGTGGTGGCTCACGCCTGTAATCCCAGCACCTTGGGAGGCCAAGGTGGGTGGATCACCTGAGGTCAGGAGTTCAAGACTAGCTTGGCCAACATGGTTAAACCCCGTCTCTACTAAAACACAAAAATTAGCCAGGCGTGGTGGTGTGCGCCTGTAATCCCGGCTACTCGGGAGGCTGAGGCAGGAGAATTGCTTGAGTCCGGGAAGCGGAGGTTGCAGTGAGCTGAGATCGTACTACTGCACTCCAGCCTGGATGACAGAGTGAGACTCTGTCTCCAAAAAACAAAACAAAACAAAACAAACAAACAAACAAAACAATTGTAATGATGGCCAGGTGTGGTGGCTCATGCCTGTAATCTCAACACTTTGGGAGGCCGAGGTGGGCAATCACTTGAGCTCAGGAGTTCCAGACCAGCCTGCCCAACATGGTGAAACTCCCTCTCTCTAAAAATACAAAAATTAACTGGGTGTGGTGGCAGACATTTGTAATCCCAGCTCCTCAGGAGGCTGAGGCAGGAGAATCGCTTGAACCCAGGAGGCAGAGGTTGCACTGAGCTGAGATCGCACCACTGCATTCCAGATTGGGTGACAGAATGAGACTCTATCTTAAACAAGTAAATAAATAAATCATCATGAATACCATAGAATTCACAAAGAATTGCACTGTATTTACTTAAACAAAAATTTACCTGTTTCTAATTAGCACCTTGAAGAAGGTGAAGGGAATACATTCCAGAAATTTAGCAATTCCAGCAATGTTAGGAAGTGCAGTTTAATTTTACCTCATAGCAGTATATGAAAGCCATGACAATTCACTCCATATAGCCAGACAATTTTGGATTAAGACGGACTCTAATGTCACATGTTTAAACCTTTTATTGGAACAATACACTCAAAGCTCATGTTTCCTTAAAAAAAAAAATCACAGGTGCTCTCCCTCAAATACTCATAATGGGAGGAATCAATAAGTTCCCAATCCTCCTTAAGTACTTGCCTCCAAACCAGTCCTTTTATGAAATGACACTGATAAAGATGGTAAATAACAGTAACAAATACAGAAAGACTACACATATATATTGTTTGGACATATGAATAAAACTTAGTAACTGGAAAAACAACTTAAAAATTATAATCTTGACCAAACATATACACAGTATAGTATTTATTATGTATAAGGAGTGTTCTAAGTGCTTTAGACACATGAGCTTACTTCATGCCATCAAGCGGGGAATGACCAATAAATATCCAATGAACTACAGAATTACCAAATTTATTTTACAGTGATTCTTTTTTGTTGATAATGCTATGTTAAGTGAAAAAATAAAGCAGGATGCAAAGTTACAGAACAACTCCCAAATAACAGAAATTTCTGTGAATAAGGTTAACTTCTTCATGAAATGCAGATATATGAGTCTTCAGGAGTCATCACTGAAAAGTGTATTATAAACACATCAAGACCCTGTCTCTCCAAAAAATATAAAATTAACCAGGCATGGTGGTGTGTGCTTGCAGTCCCAGCTACTGGAGAGGCTGAGGGAGGAGAATCACTTGAGCCCAGGCGATAAAGGCTGTGGTAAGCCATGGTCGCGCCCAGGAGTTAGAGGCTGTGGTAAGCTGTGGTCGCGCCACTGCACTCCAGCCTGACAGAGCAAGACCCTGTCTCAAAGAAAGAAAGGTATATGACATACTTTTCACCGCAAACATTAAAAAAAGAAATCATGCTGACTTCTCTACCACTTTACATTCCTGTGGTTTGCCTCAGACTTCTAGGCAGGCTTCATAAAATCAAAGTTTGTTCTGACACCCTTACTTTTTGCAGGGTATCACAAATCTAATTTTCTTTAACTCAAACTTACTCATAAAGCCATTTGAAGAAACTCCTTACACTGTCCAAAATTAAATGAAAAAAAAAAAACCCTGCTTAAAACAAAACTTCCTTTTGCCAAGAAAAAAATATTAAATCTGGAATCAAATAAAAAGGAATCATTAACAATATTTATTGAAGGTCTACCAGGGACTGAGTGATTCCTTGTCTATATCACAATAGGTGTTACTACTATTCTTATCTTTTAGATGAGGAAACTAGGGCTCAGAGAAGTGAAATAAATATTTCCACATATTTTTGAGGGATTACGAACTTGGTTGGTCAGTGGTTTTAGCTTAATCATACAAAAAACCCTACTACAAGAGTGGTTATTTCATGAAATAAAAGTCCAAGAAGCCTACACGCCAACCCTGCAAAGCTAGTATACTCAATGATTGAGAGAACAGGAGGAATCAGGGTTTCAGCATTATACAGATCTAATCAGCCCCACTGCCATGGTCCTTTAACAGGTGTCGGATACATTTTTTAACTTTTAAGATTTTGACTACATAATATAAAATTAAGTATCTATATTTAAAGTAAGTAAATTCATAATAATTTGAAACAGAATTTTAAATAATGGTGGGCCACAGCTTGCTCTATTATGGCTAGTCAGGAGCCCTGGGCAGAGTACAGTGGAAAAGGAGATCAGAAAGGTAAAGGAGCACACAAGAGAAGAGTGAGACCTGAAGGAGTAGCAGAGGCAGAGTGGGGGAAAGGCAGGATGAACGCATAGGCAGAACATGGCAGTTACATGAGAAGATGATAGGACTGGAAGATTTGAGGTATTAAATAATTCTGCACTTAGAATTTGTCATCTGCAGTTTGCTTATTAGAATATACATGCTCATATATGTATGTATGTGTGTGTGTATGATAAAGTTCCCTTTATCCATTAGAGATAATCTGTGTAAATGGTTTTTCTTTTCTTTTGTAAATGGTTTCTCTGTTCCTTCTTCCAATACATTTCTTCAACTATGAAAAAGAAATGCTTACTGAAGGGCAAGGTACAGTGCAAGAAGAGAAGCAATAAATAAATAAATAAATAAATACATAAAAGGATTTAACCCTTGAGACGTTATAATTTAAGTACAGAAATAAATAAAATAAAATACAAGTCTGAAGCATTATTAGTAAGTACATCGTACCAAGGGGTTCAAAAAGAGGATTTGATCTGCTTTGGGGAAATTAGCCGATAAAACCTCAGACGGCTTGTAAGTTTACCCTTATATATTTAGAAGGCACTACTCTGAAAGGAGTATTGACAATAATGGGGAGGGAATAGTCTGTAGTGGCAGCAATCAGAACACCTGTAGTGCTCACCTCTCTGGTAAAGGTTGATAATCAAAGTAAAAGTTAGAAGGAAGTCAAGACTGACAAACTTGAATGCAGTCTCAGAAGTATCCAGACAGGTATTTGCCAGGAAACTTAGTACTGATCATAAATCTCTCATAAGTTGACATGAAAATCAGGCTTTGCTACATCAAGAACATGAACACGGTTTTCTCTCCTTAAAAACAAGTGAAATGGTGTCCTCTCTACTAAGGTGGCTTTTGCCTTTGTTAGTTAAAATTACAAGCAATATCCTAAAACCTACTGTCTTTTTTAGTAAGTGATTTTAGGCATTTTATCTAAAAGGGGAGAAGTATAACCCAACAGAGCAGAATTAGTAGGCATTATCTTCGGTTTTCCTACAATTCACAATATTTGAGCTGCCTGAGCTAACCACTACATCTCATTATGCAGAGATACTGTTTAAATAGTTGCTTGACAGTTGTCAATACAGAACGCATTGATCACCCATAACCTACAGAGAATTGTGTTAAATTTCAGTGTCCAGCCGGGTGTGTGGTACATGGTAGGTGAAATGTACGGAATAAAGCATGGAGTCCTCATTAAAGTGTAGACAAAGGTATCCTTTTTCATTTTTCACAAACTTGTCTCTAAAGTACCCTTACTAAATAAAGAGTAGATTTTTGCTGTGAAAGACATTTTGACCCCTTGGGGAGAACTCTCAATTCAATCTGGTTTTTATAAAGATGACATGAGAAGGAAATGCAAGCAACTCTCAAAATTAGAGTAGGGGATGGACAGCATTATGTATACGGTTTCAAAGGTTTCTTAGAAGGATTCCTGACACAACCACTGTTGTAGCTTTCACCCTATCCCCCTACTGATATGCAACAAAGTCTAACGTAGGTAGAACAATTTGCTACAAAGTTACCCAACTAAGTCACAGATAAATTATACGATTGAGAATATCTTCACTACTAGTTCTTTTTAGGAACAACAAATTCAAACTGATTGACCACACATAGTTTGTATCTTTTTTTTTTTTTAATTTTTTGTTTGAGATGGAGTCTTGCTCTGTTGCCCAGGCTGGAGTGCAGTGGCCCGATATCAGCTCACAGGAACCTCCACCCTCCGGGTTCAAGCAATTGTCCTGCCTCAGCCTCCCAAATAGCTGGGACTTCAGGCGCATGCCACCACGCCTGGCTAATTTTTGTATTTTTAGTAGAGATGGGGGTTCACCATGTTGGCCAGGCTGGTCTCGAACTCCTGATCTCAACTGATCTGCCCATCCACGCCCCTTAAAGAATTGGGATTACAGGCGTGAGCCACCGTGCCTGGCAGTTTTTACCTTCTTAATGAACAGAATATTCCTCCTTCACAACCGACCTACACACTCTATCCACATGTACAGCAGAACATCCGTATACATTTCTTACTGATAAAAGTGAAATTCCCTACTGACAGGGAATGAAGGAAAAAAAATCATTTGCTATTTCAAACTGGTATATTCTTAATTCTAGATTAAGCTACAATAAATCTCCAACATGAAATTTTTTTTTTTTCGTTCAGCTCAGAAAAGTCCTATTTGAATTATGTTAAGAAAAGGGGACGGGAAAGGTACTCCCACGACTGTTAATAGACTAGAATCTTCCACTTTCTCCAAGAAGGGATGCGTAAGCAGAAAAATCACAAAGTTCTAAGCGCTGAAAAGCTATGGTGTGGGATTTCTAAAACAATGATCAAGGTTACCTCCAGGAGAGCCTGGTTCTTTTCCCAAGAACACACATACCCAACCACTTATCAAGTTCAATGTACTCCAGTACTTGAAAACTCATACAGGGAACAAATGACTTGTATGGATAATTCAACACTGCTGAGAAACTGTGTATCGGGGGCAAGCATCGTTAAGAGAGCTCTTCCAGACAACTCCATTCAGAGCTGCGCACTCACACTCTCCTTCGCCCAGCCCTGTTTTATTTTCTTCAAACATGTTTCATTAAAAAGAATAAATTTTTAAAAAAAACCTTTTTTTTTTTTTTTGAGACGGGGTCTTGCTTTGTCTCCCAGGCTGGAGTGCAGTGAAGCGATCTCGGCTCACCGCAACCTCTGCCTCCCGGGTTCAAGCAATCCTCCCACCTCAGCCTCCTGAGTAGCTAGGATTACAAGCGCGTGTCACCACGCCCGGCTAATTTTTGTATTTTTAGTAGAGACAGGGTTTCACCATGTGGGTCAGGCTGGTCTCGAACTCCTGACCTCGTGATCCGCCCGCCTCGGCCTCCCAAAGTGCTCGGATTACAGGCGTGAGCCACCAAGCCGGGCCTCACAATGCCTATCTTTCTTACTACACTCCCTCCTAACTGTACATTCTGGGAGAGCGCGGACCTTTCCATCTGTATCTCCAGCGCTCGGCACTCAAAAAAATGCACTGAATAAATGAAACCGTGAGCTCTCATCAAAGTCTGGACCAAAGAGTCCCTCTTCTGTTTCTCACAAACTTCTGTCTCCTAAACACTCTTCTTCAATTAGTAGCAGAATTTTGCCTCCCCCCCAAAAAAAACACATCTTGACCTCATGAAGAAAACTCCCGATCTAATCTTGGAAGCACTGAGCTCCACCGAAAAGGAGAAAGGCTTAAGAGAATCCTGTAGAGAAAAGCTCCGTGAGAAGAATTAACGTGAGCCTGAACGGGCTGAGTTAGGTTACGCCACGGTGAGAAAAGGCTGGGCAAGGGAGGCAAGGAAGCCTGGAACCCTGGGGACCGCGGTCTCCCTGGTGAAACCAGAGTCTACACTCCCAGAGAGGCCCACCCCGACGAGACGGCCTGAGGAGGCTAGGAGGCCCCGGGAGGATGAAGCCGCAGCCCCCGCTCGGCCCGGGGAGTGCGGCGGGAAGCGCTTTCGAAAGGCCGCGGAGCGCCAGGCCCTGCAGGCCGCCCGGGGACTCAACTCACCTGGCCCACTTGCTCCGTGGCATCGGCCAGGATGCCATAATTGCGGTAAAGCTCCTCTACTGTCGGCATGGTGAGCGACAAGCCCAGGGCCCGGTTCCGCTATCCTTGTCCTGACCGGCGCCACCGCCGCCTCGGAACTTCTCCAAACCCACTACCCGCACTATTACACCTCCAGCTGCCGCCAGTGCAGCCGCCAGTCACCGCGCACAGCGCGGCTGCGCCCCCGACGTCTACGTAAAGACGCGCACGTCGGGAGCGGCCTTCAGTAGACACCCCCCACCCCAATGCGCCTCCGCGGTTTTTGTCGCCCTCTACAGCCTGGAGGAGCAAAAAAGCGGCAAGGATGATTGAATTAGCTCACGCCTTTTTGAAAGCTTGAGCTTGGCTGCAGGCTCTCCATGGAAGGGGTGTGGGTGGGCGGGGAAGTGAATACAAAGACAATTGCGTTTCTGCCCTTAGAAGATCTTACATATGAGAAGTCACAAATGGTTTCCTCCTGATTCAAGGAAGGTAATATTAATCGGTGGCACTAGAGGCTAGTGGGTCCGGTGGGAAGCAAAAAACATTCCTATGCTATTAAAAAACCCTCTGTGTCCACCACGCTCATCAAGTGCGGGGTCAAATTTGGCCTGCTGGAAGAATTTGCTTATCTTTGCTGCCAGTGTAAAGAATTGGGGCCACCTGATTATGTCCAGTATCCAAAAGAATAATAAATAAATGAAATCACGTACGCTTACTGATAAGAATTTCTAAGATACAAGTTTAAATGAAATTATATATATAATATGATATAATATATAATATTTTATATATTATATAATATATAACATTATATATTAATATATAATAATTTTATATATTATATAATATATAATATTATATATTAATATATAATATTATATATTATATAATATATAACATTATATATTAATATATAAATATATAATATATAATATAAATATAATAATATTATATTAATATATAAATATATAATATATAATATAAATATAATAATATTATATTAATATATATTAAGATAATAATATTAATTAATACATTAATTATATAATATAATTATAATATATCTATATATTGAGATATAATATTAATTAATATATCAATATTATCAATTATATATTATAATTATCTTATATTATATATAATATATTAATTATATAATTAATATATTAATATTATTATCTTAATATATATTAATATATTATTATATTTATATATCATATATAATATTATGATATTAATATTATAATATATATTATATATTATATTATATATACAATTATATATATAATATATATTATATATTGTATATTATTATATAATTATATATTAAGATAATAATATATATTAAGATAATAATATATTATATATATTAAGATAATAATATATATTATATATATTAAGATAATAATATATATTTATATATTAAGATAATTATATTTATATAATAATATTATATATATATATAGCCGTGTGCGGTGGCTAACGCCTGTAATCTCAGCACTTTGGAAGGCTGAGTTGGGTGGATCACTTGAGGTCAGGAGTTCAAGATCAGCCTGGTCAACATGGTGAAACCCTGTCTCTACTAAAAATACAAAAATTAGCCAGGCGTGGTGGCATGCACCTGTAGTCCCAGCTGCATGAGAGGCTGAGGCAGAAGAATTATATGCACATAGGAGGCAGAGGTTGCAGTGAGCCCAGATCATGCCACTGCAATCCAGCCTGGGCCACAGAGCAAAACTCTATCTCAAAAAAATTAAAAGAAAAAGAAAAAGAAAAAGAAAAAGAAAAGTTAAAAGGCAGGTATAAGATGATCCCATTATGTAAAACATACAAAGCATACAAAACAAAGTTATGTGTGTATGTGTAAAAGGATGTTAAAGGATGTTAACATTTCAGGATTGAAATATCAAACTATAATAGACTGTAAATTTCAAAGCCACATCCACTTGTACAGAACATACACGGGAAATGATTACAAAAGAACTCCCCGGCTCTTGTACTTCTCAGTTAGATTGAGGATAAATCTCACATCCTAAAAAGGATTAGAGCTGAGCGTGATAGCCAACAGTCCCAGCTATTTGGGAAGCTAAGCGGGGAGAACCACTTGGGCCCAGGAGTTCAAGTCCAGCCTGGGCAACACAGCACGACCCCTGTCTGAAAATAAGAAATCAAGTGTAAAATTCAATGTTAAAAAAAATTGCAGGCCAGGCGCGGTGGCTCACGCCTGTAATCCCAGCACTTTGGGAGGCTGAGGCGGGCGGATCACGAGGTCAGGAGATCAAGACCATCCTGGCTAACACGGTGAAACCCTGTCTCTACTAAAAATACAAAAAATTAGCTGGGTGTGGTGGTGGGCGCCTGTAGTCCCAGCTACTTGGGAGGCTGAGGCAGGAGAATGGCGTGAACCCGGGAGGTGGAGCTTGTAGTGAGCCGAGATTGTGCCACTGCACTCCAGTCTGGGTGACAGAGCAAGACTCTGTCTCAAAAAAAAAAAAAAAAAAAAAATTGCAATTTGGACTCTTGTGGAGAAAAAGAAAAAGAATTAGAGAATAAAATGAGAATTGGTGATTTTTTTATTTTTATGTTTTTGAGAAAGATGTCTTGTGAGTAGGTTGAGGGCAATTTCTACCCCCTTCCCTCAAGCGTGGGGCCATTTTGAGGAGCCTGAAATATGGTCCCAGGTGGTTGAGAAACACAAAGGACTGGACACGCCTGATAAGCTCAGGTTACCCGTGACTGCAGAGTGGAGGTGGCCATGTTGGGATCTACCGTGTTCCCAGATTTTGCTGGAGCGAGGGGATGGGAGTGATTCCCTTATAGCAGAGATGAGCCATATAAAAGAGAAAGAGATTCTGGATTCATTTTGAGTCCTTCTGCCTGAGAGTAAGAAAGCCCCCATGGCGAGAGTCAATGGCGCAGAGAGTGGTGACTGCGAGCAGCACATCAACACCTCACGGGAGTCACCGTTGGGAGTGGCCTCTAAAGGCCCCTTGGAGTGGCCCACAGGACAGACCTGGTCTCTATCAGACCAGAGAGAGCCTGTGGTATTGCACTGTCCAGACCTTTCCGAGGTTCTCCTCTTCCTTTCTTCTCATGTTCCCCTCTCAATGCATTTGCGCAGGAGGGGTCAGAAGCTGCCCACCAAACTGAGTGGAGGATACAGAGAAGAAAGGCAAGATAGGGAGCGGCCTCAGCTGGAGAATAGAAGAAGATCTGATTGGAAATTAAGTTTGGATTCACATGTTGGAATGGACGTTTTAATTTCTGAAGCAGAAAAGGCCTGGGTCTGCCAGAATTTCTCTCTAGGGCTGGAATGAGATGACCCTGCCTGCTATGGTCTGAATGAGTGGGTCTTCCCAGATTCATGTATTGAAACCTACCCCGCAAGATACTATTAAAAGGTGGGGCCTTTGAGAGATGATTATGTCCTGAAGGCTCTGCTCCCACCAATGAGATTAGTGCCCTTATACAAGAGGCTTGAGAGAGCAAGATCCTGCTGGTGCCTTGATCTTGGACTTCCCAGTTTCCAGAACTGAGGCAATAGGTTTCTGTTGTTTATAGATTACCCATTCTAAGGTATTTTGTTGTAGTAGCATAAATGGACTAAGACACCACCTGAATAAATTTTAAAGACGTGGTGGAAGACAGTAAGAAAGCTATATATATACACATGTATATTTATATATATAGACATATATAGCTACATATATACTTTTATTATCTTATATATTTTTATATATATTATAGCTTAATATATATATTTTTTAGACATGGTCTGGCTCTATTGCCCAGGCGGGAATGCAGTGGTGTGATCTCAGCTCACTTCAGCCTCAACCTCCTGAGTTCAAACCATCCTCCCACCTCAGCCTCCCAAGTAGCTGAGACTATAGACACACACCACCACACCTGGCTAATTTTTGTCTTTTTAGTAGAGACAGGGTTTCACCATGTTGCCCAGGCTGGTCTCAAACTCCCGAGCTCAAGTGGTCTGCCTGCCTCGGCCTCCCAAAGTGCTAGGATTACAGGCGTGAGCCACTGTGCCCAGCCAATAAAACTGTGTTTTGATCACATCCTTCAAGTTAGGTATTTGATGTGTGATACATATATGTTTAAACGTAGAAAAAGCAATCCGGGGCAGGAAATAAAGCTGCGTTTGCTCGGGGGACCTTTGCTTTGGCTTAATGTTTTAATTCATTACAATAAGTATGCCAATATATATATATATATACATAATATATTTTATGTATCCATTTTTGAAAACAAATTTAAGAAGAGGAAAAAGACTCAACTAGTGTTTCTATATTCTAAAATATAGCTATTCATACAAACTCCTTTAAAACTGACCCTTGAGGGCCATGCACTGTGGCTCACGCCTGTAATCCCAACACTTTGGGAGGCCGAGGTGGGAGGATCACTTGAGGTCAGGAGTTTGAAACCAGCCTGGTCAACATGGTGAAACTCCGTCTCTACTAAAAATACAAAAATTAGCCGGGCATGGTGGCAGGCGCCTGTAGTCCCAGCTGCAGGAGAATCGCTTGAACCTGGGAGGTGGAGGTTGCAGTGAGCTGAGATAGTGCCACTGCACTCCAGTCTGGGCAACAGGGTGAGACTCTGTCTCAAAACAAAACAAAATGAAAGAAAACAAAACAACCAAAAAACCCAATAACAACCAAACAAATGGAAAAAAACTCATGCTTGTCTAAGTTGCCACGCGGTTTCATTCAACACTACTCTTCCTGATGCAGTCTATTACTTAGCCACGTTAGTCAGGCTTGTGAACACTTCTTGGTCTCCTTTTTCTTCTCTAAGAGTCCTGGGGTTTGCTTTAAATCGTTTCCTATTTTTATGTATTTCTAGCTGGTCATTTAAGCTAAAGGCCTACAATTGGTCCTAATGATCATAATGATGACAAAATCGATGACGATGCTGATGGTAATGATATTGGGAGTCATCCCAATAATAACCAGCGTATATTAAGTGATGGCAGAGTTCTGAGCACTTCATGTGAATCAATTCTCAAAAACTCTATGAGCCAGGAGATAATATTATCATTTCCACTTTACAAATGAGGAAACAGACACAGAGACGTGAACTAACTGGTCCCATGTTCCTTAACTGAGATGAGTTTTGAGTCCTGGCAGCCTAATTCCAAAACCCATGCTTTTTTGTTGTTGTTGTTGTTGTTGTTGTTGAGACAGGGTCTCCCTCTGTCACCCAGGCTAGAGTGCAGTGGTGCAGTCATGGCTCACTGCAGCCTCAATCTCCCAGGCTCAAGCCATCCTCCCAACTTGGCTTCTTTTCTTTCTTTTTCTTTCTTTCTTTCTTTTTCTTTCTTTCTTTCTTTCTTTTTCTTTCTTTCTTTCTTTTCTTTCTTTCTTTCTTTCTTTCTTTCTTTCCCTCCCTCCCTTCTTTCCCTCCCTCCCTTCTTTCCCTCCCTCCCTTCTTTCCCTCCCTCCCTTCTTTCCCTCCCTCCCTTCTTTCCCTCCCTCCCTTTTCTTTCTTTCTTTCCTTCTTTCTCTCTCTCTCTTTCCTTCCTTCCTCTCTCCTTCCTTCCTTCCTTCTTTCCTTCCTTCCTTCCTTTCTCTCTCTCTCTCTCTCTCTCTCTCTCTCTCTCTCTCTTTCTTGTCTTACTCTATCACCAGCCTGGAGTGCAGTGGCACGATCTCAGCTCACTGCAACCTCTGCCTTCCAGGTTCAAGCAATTCTCCTGCCTTAGCCTCCGGAGTAGCTGGGACTACAGGTGCATGCCATCATGCCCAGCTAATTTTTGTATTTTTAGTAGAGATGGGGTTTCACCATGTTGGCCAGGATGATCTCAATCTCTTGACCTCGTGATCCACCCATCTCGAACTCCCAAAGTGCTGGGATTACAGGCATGAGCCTCCACACCCGCCACCAACTTGGGCTTTCAAAGTGTTGCGATTAAAGATGTGAGCCACCATGCCTTGCCAAAAAGGCAACACTTTGCTGTGGAAGTGCTTTGCCTCTCAGCCTGAACATTCTCTCCTCCTCCTTTTCACACTACATTCAATCAATAAGAAGTCTCAATTTTATACCCTAAATCTATCACACATTTATGTGTTTCTCACTCTTCCTTCTGTCCCATGTCAGACCCTATCCCCTCAAATCTGAACAATGGCCACAGTTCCTAAATGGTTTCCTTATCTCCAATGTTAGTCAATTCTACTTCTTATAAAGTATCTTTTTATAATTTTTCCATTTTTCTTTAATTAAACAAGTAACTGTAAGAATACAGTATCATCATAATACATCCAAGTACTACAAAATGTTTCATGTAATAAGCAAAAGTTCCTCTTCAACTCTCCCTTCCTCAGAGGTAACTATGACTACCAATATAATTTATATTCTTATAGGCCTTTATATACAACACATGGGTCTAAAAATACATAAATGGGAGCACATTACACATTTTGTTCTACACCTTGCTTTTGTTAACAATATGTTTTGTAAATCTTTCCCTGAGCTTACTGCCTATTATTATTATTATTATTATTTTTAGATGGAGTTTCACTCTTGTCACCCAGGCTGGAGTGCAATGGCGTGATCTCGGCTCACTGCAACCTCTGCCTCCTGGGTTCAAGCCATTCTCCTGCCTCAGCCTTCAGAGTAGCTGGGATTACAGGTGCCTGCTACCATGCCCAGCTAATTTTTTGTTTTGTTTTGTTTTGTTTTTTTGAGACGGGAGTCTCACTCTGTCGCCCAGGCTGGAGTGCAGTGGTGTGATCTCGGCTCACTGCAACCTCTGCCTCCTGGGTTCAAGTGATTCTCCTGCCTCAGCCTCCCAAGTAGCTGGGATTACAGGCGCGTGCCGCCACACCCGGCTAATTTTTTGTATTTTTAGTAGAGATGGGGTTTCACCGTGTTAGCCAGGATGGTCTCCATCTCCTGACCTCATGATCTGCCTGCTTCTGCCTCCCTAAAGTGCTGAGATTACAGGTGTGAGCCACTGCGCCCGGCCTCTAATTTTTGTATTTTTAGTAGAGATGAGGTTTCACCATATTGGCCAGGCTGGTCTTGAACTCCTGACCTCAGGTGATCCACCCACCTCAGCCTCCCAAAGTGCTGGGATTACAGGTGTGAGCCACCACTTCTGGCCACTGCCTATTATGGATGTACCATAGTTTATTAATAGTTTCTCTGTTTCTTATAGGATATGTCAGTTGTCCCTCATTTTTCATTATTACACTGATAAATAGGTGATTTTTATTTTCTTCTTTGTGCTTTACTGTATTGTCCAGATTTTCTACAATGACTTTTGTAATTTTATACAGATTCTCCTTCCTTTTCATTGGATCTCTGAAGGAGTTTAGAGGTCATGTTGTCAAACTTTCTCTATTCTTACAAAGGCAAAATTCAATCCCAGAAAAGAGAATTGGATTGGCTAACCTTAGGTCACATGTCTATTCCACCCAATCAATTTAGACCAGGAAAGCAAGATCATACAAAGCAAACATTGCTGCCAGGGGCCCATAGCTACTGATAGAGGAGTGTGGGACTGTTCCTAGAAAATGAGGAGGCGAGGCAGGTGTTGATTTCCTTGTAAGGGCATTTCTGTAGCATCTGCTATGGTTTGAATGTTTCTGTCCCCTCTTGGAACTTAATCTCCAAACAATAGTATTAATAGGTGGATCCTTTAGGAAGTGATTAGGTCGTGAGGGCTCTTCCCTCTTTTTTTTTTTTCCTTTTTTGAGATGGAGTTTCGCTCTTGTTGCCCAGGCTGGAGTGCAGTGGCACCATCTCGGCTCACCACAACCTCCGCCTCCCGGGTTCAAGTGATTCTCCTGCCTCAGCCTCCCGAATAGCTGGGGTTACAGGCATGCACCACCATGCCTGGCTAATTTTGTATTTTTAGTAGAGATGGGGTCCATGTTGGTCAGTCTGGTCTCCTGACCGCAGGTGATCTGCCTGCCTCGGCCTCCCAAAGTATTGGGATTATAGGCATGAGCTGCCATGCCTGGCTGGCTCTTCTCTCTTAAATGGGAGTAAGGCCTTTATAAAAGGGGCTTCACACAGCATTTAGCCCTTGTTGCCTTTCTGTCCTTCTGCCACATGAGGACACAACAATAAGGTGATGTCTTGAAGCAGAGAGAGTAGCCCTCACCAGGCACCAAACCTGCTAGCCCTTGATCTTGGACTTCTCAGCCTCCAGAACTGTGAGAAACAAAATGCTATTACTTATAGATCACCCAGTCTCAGGTATTTTGTTAAAGCAGCACAAACAGATAACATTCTGTGTCAATGGGTACGTTTGAGGACCATCTGGATTTCATTCTGTAAAGCTGAGTGCCTGAGTAGAGATTGTGTTTTGGTTCATCATTCAAGTACGTATTGAACATTTCCTACGAGCCAAGCACTGTTTTAGAATGCAACCAAGCCAAGCAAGCAGGAAGCTTACATTCTGGCAGAGGCAGAAAAACAATAAACAAAATACATGAGTAAAATATATTTGGTTTACTCAAGTAAAGCAATAACATCAGTATAGAATAAAACCAGGCAATAGAAAGGCTTCATATACGGAAGCTGTGGTATGTGACTGATGACAGTCTGGAATTAGCCTTACAGAGTCTAGAAGAGATCTAGGTGCTTATCTGGTTTAGTGCTTGCCCTGGAAATCCACAGTGAACATCTCTTCCTTTTTTTTTTTTCTCGCTCTGTCACCTAGGCTGGAGTGCAGTGGCATGATCACAGCTCACTGCAGCCTTACCCCCCTGGGCTCAAGCAATCCTCCTGCCTTAGCCTCTCAAGTAGCTGGGACTATAGGTGTGTGTTACCTTGCCCAGCTAATTTTTAAATTTTTTGTACAGAGTCTCACTATTTTGCCTAGGCTGGTCTTGAACTCCTGGTCTCAAGCCTTCCTCCTGCCTGGCCTCCCCAGGTGTTGGGATTGCAGGTGTGAGTCACTGTGCCTAGCGCATCTCTTCGTTTTTGTTGCTTCTCTGTGACACTCAAATCTTCCTACTTTGTATTTCTGTTGTCTGTATACAGCTCCACTGGATAATAAAACTTGATCAGGAACTACTTATTAGATGTTTAATAAGTGTTAAATAAATGAAAGAATAAACTAAAAAACAAGTTTTCCAACAACAGTTTATTGTAGTATGACAAAAGCTTCTACTGATTTCTTGGCAGTAAGATTTTTTTTAACTTTGTTTTCTTTTTATTAATTTATTTTTAGGAAAACCATTATCTCCTTTTCCTAACCTCCCATTATCCCACCTACCTACCTAACATCACTGACTTTTGCCCCAGTATATTTTGACATTTTGAGGGCTGTGACTATCTTTACATTTATTTATTTTGTAACTTTAAAATTGGGTTTGTCTATTAAATATTAGTTGAAAAGCTTAAAGGACCACCTCCTCCCCTGCCAGTACTTCCAGTACTTTTTTTTTTTTTTTTTTTTGGTGACAGTTCTCACTCTCTCACTCGGTTGCCCAGGCTAGAGTGAAGTGGTGCTATCCTGGCTTGATGCAACATCTGCCTCCCAAGTTCAAGCCATTCCCATTCCTCAGCCTCCCAAGTAGCTGGGATTACAGGTGTGTGCCACCATGCCCAGCTAGTTTTTGTATTTTTAGTAGAGGTGGGGTTTTGTCATGTTGGTCAGGCTGGTCTCAAACTCCTGACCTTTTATTTGGGGAAACATTGGCTGCTATATAGAGGTGTGACATTTCTGATGGATTTATTCCTTTTTTTTGAGATGGAGTTTTGCTCTGTCCCCCAGGCTGGAGTGCAGTGGCATGATCTTGGCTCACTGCAACCTCCACCTCCCATGATCAAGCGATTCTCCTACCTCAGCCTCCTGAGTAGCTGGGATTACAGGCACATGTCACCATGCCCAGCTAATTTTTGTATTTTTAGTAGAGATGGGGGTTTCTCCATGTTGGCCATGCCGGTCTCGAACTCCTGACCTCAGGTGATATGCCCACCTTGGCCTCCCAAAGTTCTGGGATTATAGGTATGAGCCACTGTGCCTGGCCTCTGTCAGTAGTTTGTATGCCTTATATTTTGGCTCCATCTTTTGCCTACATTCTGAGAGCTTTTATTTTAAATTTCCGTCTTCCAAGGAGGTCTTTTTAATTCTAACAGAAAAGAGATCATGGCTCTCTGGAAGAAACCAAGAAAGATTTCCAAATTAAGGTCTACCTAGGTCTTAAACCAACTAATGATGATAATCATAGCAGATATACATTAAGTGTTAACTGTGTGCATAATAGCATGTGTGTTACAGTAATAGCTGAACCCTGTGGAATAACTGCTATCTGTCAGGCTTTGTGCTAAGTGCTTTCGATGTTTCAGCTCAAATGATGTTCACAATAACTTAATGTAAGGTTATGTAACTTTATGCGACCCTGTCACCAGGGCCACACAGCTGGTGAGAAGTTCTTGGGTTCATATCCAGGTAGTCTGGCTCTGATGGCTGCACCTCTATCTACTAAACTGCCTGTTATTTAAATATGTTTATTTCTAAGTCAGGTGTGGAGTCTCCCAGTTCCTTATCAAGACACTTCCAACCTCTAATCCAATTTGGGTCTGGCCACGGGAGCTTCACATAATTATGAATAGTATCTACTTCTAGGGTTGTTGTGGGGATTAAATGAAATAATACAGGCTAGTGCTTAGGACAGTGCCTGCCCCATTGTAAGTGCTCAGTGTTCGCTTCCTTCCCTTGTACCATTTTAGGTCTTATTAATTTATATTTCAAGAATGAATGTTCTTTGGTCGCTGTCAGTTACTCTTTGGAGATAAATTTGTTCCCTCTGATTGCATCTCAAATATGGGAAACCAGGGTGTATTAGTTTTCTGTGGCTGCGACAACAAATGATCATACATGTGGTCTCTTTAAACCATTTCATGTTCTCGCAATGCTCTCACAGTTCTTGGGGCCAGAAGTCTGAAATTCAGGTGTTGCTGGCAAGACCACGTTGCTTCCAGAGGCTCTGGGGGAGATTCTGTTTCTTTCCTCTTCCAGCTTCTGGTGGCTGTCAGCATTCCTGGGCTTGTGGTAGCATCACTGTAATCTCTGCATCTGTCTTTACATGGCCTTCTCCTGTGTCTGCTGATTGAGGGCCCCCTCTGTCACAACACCTGGGAACCTAACCTGGGTTCCTAAGCACTAACTAAGAGTAGGGTAAACAACTCACTGGAAAAGTTGAATTGTTTGTCTGAAAACAAGCTGTAAACAGACCACCTACTGAAGAGCAGCTCACCTCCTGCTGGCCTGCTGCCCATTGCAGTGCAGGAGCGCCAGATGTTGCCATTACTGTCC
This sequence comes from Homo sapiens, assembly GCF_000001405.40. Classification (NCBI taxonomy): domain Eukaryota; kingdom Metazoa; phylum Chordata; class Mammalia; order Primates; family Hominidae; genus Homo; species Homo sapiens. The sequence goes on along the minus strand of NC_000011.10, from coordinate 43,300,888 downwards.
TAGCTACAGAAGAACAGGGGCGAGACAGACAGAGACAAAGAGAGAGAGAGTGAGAGTGAGAGACCACTAGCAGTTAAGAGCACTGGATTAGAAGGGTGACAGAGGGGACCAAAGAAATACTATCCCTGGGACTTTAAGCAAGTTAATAAACTACTCCAAACCTCAGTGTTCCCATTTTAAAATGGAAATAATAATAGTGCCACATCATGGGACTGTTGTGAGGTTAAAATGAGAGCTCCTTGTGCAGAGCCTGTCACATAGTGACTGCCTAATAGTAATGATAGTAAGTACCATGTTTTGAATGTTTTTCTGATGTGCCCCCTGGGTATCCCCACTTTTTTTTTTTTTTTTTTTTTTTTGAGATGGAGTCTAGCTCTGTCACCCAGGCTGGAGTGCAGTGTCGCGATCTTGGCTCACTGCAAGCTCCGCCTCCCGGGTTCACGCCATTCTCCTGCCTCAGCCTCTCCGAGTAGCTGGGACTACAGGCGCCTGCCACCAAGCCCAGCTAATTTTTTGTATTTTTTAGTAAAGACGGGGTTTCACCGTGGTCTCGATCTCCTGACCTCGTGATCTGCCCGCCTTGGCCTCCCAAAGTGCTGGGATTACAAGTGTGAGCCACCGCTCCCAGCCGGGTATCCCTACTTTACAGATGAAATGGGTAAGGCTAAGTAAGACCAAGAAAGACGACCAGGTGTGGTGGCTCATGCCTGTAGTCTCGACACATTGGAAGGCCAAGGAGGGCAAATTGTTGGAGCCCAGGAGTTTGAGACCAGCCTGGGTAACGTTGTGAAACCCCAGTAAGCACCTGTAGTCCCAGCTACTCTGGAGGCTGAGGTGAGAGAATCACCTGAGCTGGGAAGGTTGAGGCTGCAGTGAGCCATGATCACGCCACTGCACTCCAGCCTGGGTGACAGGAGTAAGACCCTGCCCCCTGCCTCAAAAAAGGAAAAAAAAAATCAAGAGAAGAGAGATTATTAGTGGCAGAAATAATAATTATTATTATTTGAGATGGAGTTTCGCTCTGTTGCCCAGGTAGGAGTGCAGTGGCACGATCTTGGCTCACTGAAACCTCCACCTCCTGGGTTCAAGCAATTCTCCTGCCCCAGCCTCCCGAGTAGCTGGGACTACAGACACGCACCACCATGCCCAGCTAATTTTTGTATTTTTAGTAGAGGTAGGGTTTCACTCTGTTGGGCAGGCTGGTCTCGAACTCTTGGCCTCAAGTGATCCACCTGCCTTGGCCTCTTGAAGTGCTGGGATTACAGGCATGAATGATTGTGACCTGCCAAATTATATTATTTTAAATTTTTAAGTTTTGTGGGTACATAGTAGGTGTGTGTATTTATGGGGTACATGAGATGTTCTGATACAGGCATGTGATGCATAATAGACATATCATGAAGAATGGAGTATATGCATCCCCTCAAGCATTTATCCTTTGTGTTACAAACATCCCAATTATACTCTTTTAGTTATTTTAAAATGTATAATTGAATTATTATTGACTATAGTCTCCCTGTTGTACCATCAAATAGTAGGACCTATTCATTCTTTCTTACTGTTTTTTCGGTATGGATTAACCATCCCCATCTTCTCTCCCCTCCCTGCTACCCTTCCCAACCTTTGGTAACCATCCTTCTACTCTCTATCTTTGTGAGTTAAATTATTTTGATTTTTAGATCCCACAAATAAGTGAGAACAGTGGCAGAAATTATTATTATTAATGCTTTTTTGGCCACTCAGTTAATTTTACTCTTTCAGCCTCCTTTTTCTATCTGCAGAGAAGAGTAATTCCTACATTAGTGTACTGTGAAGATTTAAAGGACAAAAGTACTTTGAGGGTGATCAGCTTGTTTTATTTTTAACAATTTTTGCTCACATTTACTTAAACGTATTAACAGCTGGCATCACTTATTTCATGCTTTTGAAAAAGCCTTACATGTGTAGGGCCACTTTGTTTTGCAAAATGCTTAAAGCTCAGGAAATTTGCTCTGGATTTCTTAAATAGCTAGGGAGTTTGGAAGGCGGGAAGGAAATAATTGAGAATTTCTCCTTGAGCTGAAGAAAGTCCACTTTGTCTGAGTTATGGCATCTTCTTCAAAAGACATTTTATATAGTGCAAAATGTTTCATATAGTCCACTACTGATCATCGGGACATTTAGCTGTTTGGGAATTACCAGTAAAAAAGGTGCAGTGGAGGCTGGGGCTGGTCTCACCTTCCTAGCATGGATTGATTACTAACCTTTAGGGTCTCGGGAGTGGAGAGAACCTGAAGGAGGAAGTGAGAGCAGCTGAGATGATGCAGCAGCTGCTACTGATAACAATGCTAACAACAGTAACAAAAATGACAGCCAACATATATCGAGTGCTTTCTGTATGCCGTGCAGCTCCATGCTAAGTGCTTTCATTGTGGGATCTGCCTCTCTCTCCACGTTTGAGAAGTATACATTTAATTATGCGCTATAGCAGAGAGATCACGAGGTCACATAAGTTGTCCAAGTTTATTTAGGTTTATTAATTGGTGATAGAGGCAAGATTTGAACTCAGCTCCTTTTGACTTCAAAGCTAAGCTCTTAGATTCTTTTTCTTTTTCTTTTTTTTGAAACAAAAGTCTTGCTCTGTTGCCCAGGCTGGCGTGCAGAGGCTCGATCTCGGCTCACTGCAACCTCTGCCTCCCAGGTTCAAGTGATTCTCCAGCCTCAGCTTCCCAAGTAGCTGGGATTACAGGCACCAGCCACCATGCCTGGCTAATTTTTGTATTTTTAGTAGAGATGGGGTTTCGCCATGTTGGCCATGCTGGTCTTGAACTCCTGACCTCAGGTGATCCACCCACCTCGGCTTCACAGATTGCTGAGATTGCAGGCATGAGCCACCGTGCCTGGCCTTCTTTTTTGTTTTTGTTTTTTAGAGACAGAGTCTCACTCTGTCACCCAGGCTGGAGTATAGTGGCACGATCTTGGCTCACTGCAGCCTCGACCTCCTGGGTTCAAGCGATTCTCTTGCCTCAGCCTCCTGTGTAGCTGGGACCACAGGGACGCACCACCACTCCCGGCTAATTTTTTAAAAAATTTTCTCTAGAGGTAGGGTCTTTCTTTGTTGCCCAGGCTAGCCTCAAACTCTTGAGCTCAAGGGATCCTCTCCCCTTGGCCTCCCAAAGTGCTTGTATTATAGGTGTGAGCTGCCTTGCCCAGTCTAGCTCTTAGATTCTACAGCTTTACATCTTTTCCCACTATCCTGCACTGTAGCAAGTAACTGAAGCTGGAGAAAATTCTTTCCTCTCTTTGTTTTCCCTTCCTGGAGAATGAGCAGATTCTGTGCATCTTTATTCCTTCCACGCTCCCCATTCATTAATCAATACAGATAGCAAATACCTACTGCATGCAAAGAGACACAAGTTGGTATCAATTTTGTCCAGCAAGGCAGAGTGGTCCTAGAATCAATTCCCAAATATGAAATGAAAAACATATTTTGGCTGGGTGCGGTGGCTCACTCCTGCAATCCCAGCACTTTGGGAGGCCTAGGCAGGCAGATCACCTGAGGTCAGGAGTTCGAGACAGTGTGGCCAACATGGTAAAACCCTGTCTCTACTAATAATACAAAAATTAGCCAGGCGTGGTGGTGGGCACTTGTTGTCTCAGCTACTTGGGAGGCTGAGGCAGGAGTATCGCTTGAACCTGGGAGGTGGAGGTTGCAGTGAGCTGAGATCGGGCCACTGCCCTCCAGCCTGGGCTGTAGAGTGAGACTCTGTCTCAAAAAAAAAAAAAAAAGATAGTTTTAAAAGTATGGATAATCGTTACATTTTAAAATTAAAAATGTAGTTCTTATTCACTGAAGAAAATTTGAACCACAAAGAAAAGTACAAAGAAGGAAATAAAAATTTCCTACTATCCTATGCTCAGAGACAACAACCTCTGTTAACACTCCAGTATGTTTGCTGAAAAAAATGAAAATGCTTTTCCTATTTCTTTTTTTCTTTCTTTGAGACAGGGTCTTACTCTGTTACCCAGGTTGGAGTAGTTTTTCCTATTTATACATAAAAATATAAATTCTAACTTATAGAAAACATTATTTAAAATTTTTATTAGGGGTATATCATGTTGTAACTTGTTTTTCACTTAAATCAGAAACCTTTTCCTGTATTGTTAAATATTTTTTAAAATGTTTTTTCCTTTTATTGATATATCATAATTTACATATTGATAGTGTACATTAATTTACATATTGATGGTGTACATGTGAATGTTTGTTACATGCAAAGAATGTGTAATGATCAAATTAGAGTAATTGGGGTATCCATCACTTTGAGGGTTTATCATTTTTATATGTTGGTATCATTTCAAGACCTCTCTTCTAGTTACTTTGAAATATACATAATATGGTTGCTAAGTATAGTCGCCCTAGTCTGTTATTAAACATTATAACTTATTTCTTCTACCCAACTGTATGTTTGCTCCCATAACCAACTACTCTTCTCTCCCTCCCCCCAGCCCCACACAATTCCCAGTCTCTGGCGTTTTTCGTTCTATTCTTTATCTCTATTAGACCTCTATTAGATCAAGTTTTTTAACTCTCACATATGAGTGAGAACATGTGGTATCTGTCTTTCTGTGCCTGCCTTCTTTCACTTAACATAATGACCTCCAGTTCCATCCATATTGCTGCAAATGATATGATTTCATTCTATTTTTAATGCCTGAATAGTATTCCGTTGTGTACATGTACCACATTTAAAAAAATTCATTCATTTGTTGATGGGCACTTACGTTGATCCCAGATCTTTGCTATTGTAATAGTGCTGCAATAAATATGCAAGTGCAGGTATTTCTTTGACATACTGATTTCTTTTCTTTAGGATTGATACCCAGTAGTGGGATTGCTGGGTCATATGGTAGTTATAATTTTAGTTTTTTGAGAACTCATACTGTTTTCCATAGGGGTTGTAATAATTTACATCCCCACCAACAGTGCATAAGAAATCCCTTTTCTCCACATCCTTACGAGCATCTGTTTTTTTTTGTGTTTTTAATAGTAACCATTATAACTGAGGTGGGATGATAGCTCATTGTGGTTTTGATTTTCATTTCTCAAATGATGTTGAACATTTTTCATAGACCTGTTGTCCATTTTTATGTCTTCTTTTGAGAAATGTCTATTCATGTCCTTTGCCTACTTCTTAATGGGATTATGTGTTTTTTAACTGTTGAGATGGTTGAATTCCTTGTATATTCTGGATATTAGTCTCCTGTTGGATGAGTAATTTGTAAATACTTTCTCCCATCCAAAAGGTTGTCTCTTCACTCTGATGATGTGTCTGTTTTGCTGTGCAGAAGCTTTTTAGTTTATTATAGTTCAATTTGTCTATTTTTGTTGCCTTTTAAGGTCTTAGCCATAAAATCTCTACCTAGACCATGTCTTGGGGAGTTTTAAAAATATTTTCTTCCATTCGTTTTATAGGTTTGGGTCTTAGATTTAAGTCCTTAATCCATCTTGAGTTCACTTTTGTGTATGGTGAAAGATAGGGATCAAGTTTCATTCTCCTGCGTATGGTTAGCCAGCTTTTTCAGCACCATTTATGGAAAAGGGTGTCCTTTCCCCAGTGAATGTTATTGGCAGCTTTGTTGAAGATGAGCTCGCTGCAAATATGCGGATTCATTTTTGGCTTCTCTGTTCTCTTCTGTCAGTCTATGTGTCTATTTGTGTATCAATATCGTGCTGTTTTGGTTACTGGAGCCTTGTAATACATTCTGAAGTCAGGTAGTGTGATGCCTCCAGCTTCATTCTTTTTGCTCAGGATTTCTTTGGCTATTCAGGCTCTTTTTGGTTCCATACAAATTTTAGAATTTTTAAAATATTTCTATGAAAAATGATGTTGCCGTTTTGATAGCGATTGCATTGAATCCCTAGGTTGCTTTGGTCAATATGGTCATTTTAACAATATTAATCCTCCCGTTCCATGAGCATGGGATGTTTTCCCACTTGTTTGTATTCTTTTCAATTCCCTTCATCAGAGTTTTGTAGTTTTCCTAGTAGAGATCTTTCATCTCCTTGGTTAAATATATTCCCAGGTACTTTTTTTTGTTAGCTATTTTAAATGGGATTGCCTTCTTGACTTTTTTGTCTTTTCATTACTGATGTATAAAATGCTTATGATTTTTGTATGTTCATTTTGTATACTGCAAATTTATTGAATTTATCAGTTCTAAAAGTTTTCTGGTGAAATCTTTTATGTTTTTCTAGATAGAAGATCGTGCATCTGCAAAAAGGAACTTTTTTTTTTTTGAGACAGAGTCTTGCTCTGTTGTCCAGGCTGGAGTGCAGTGGCACAATCTCGGCTCACTGCAAGCTCCACCTCCTGGGTTCATGCCATTCTCCTGCCTCAGCCTCCCGAGTAGCTGGGACTATAGGCACCTGCCACAGTGCCTGGCTAATTTTTTGTATTTTTAGTGGAGACAGGGTTTCTCCGTGTTAGCCAGGATGGTCTTGATCTTCTGATCTTGTGATCCACCAGCCTCGGTCCCCCAAAGTGCTGGGATTACAGGCGTGGACCACTGCGTCTGGCCAAAAGGGAACAATTTGAATCCCTCTATTCCAATTTGGATGCCTTTTATTTCTTTTTCTTGCCTGATTTCTCTGGCTAGGATTTCCAGTACTATGTGAAATATGAGTGGTCAAAGTAGGCATCCTTGCCTTGTTCCAGTTCTTATGGAAAAGGCTTTCAACAAATTCCCGTTAAGTATGATGTTAGCTGTGGGTTTGTCATATATTTCATTTACTATTTTAAGGTATGGTCCTTCTATGCCTAGTTTGCTTAGAGTTTTTATCATGAAGAGGTGTTGAATTTTGTCAAACGCTTTTCTGCATTTACTGAGATTATCATGCGTTTTTTGTCATTTATTTTGTTGATGCAATGTATTATGTTTATTGATTTGTGTATTTTGAACCATCCTTGCAACCATTATATAAATCCCACTTGATCATGGAATATGATCTTTTTGACATGTTGTTGGATTTCATTTCCTAGTATTTTGCTGAGGATTTTTGCATTTATATTCATCAGAGATATTGGCTGATAGTTTTCTTTTTGTGTGTGTGTGTTCTTGTCTGGTTTTGACATCAGGTTAATGCTGGCTTTGTAGAATGAGTCAGGGAGCATTCCATCTTTAATTTTTTGGAATAGTTAAAAAAGAATTGGTATTAGTTCTTTTTTGTGCATTTGGTAGTATTATGCAGTGAATCCATCCACTCCTGGGATTTTCTTTGTTGGGAGACTTTTTATTACTTATTCCATCTTGCTGCTGGTTATTGGTCTGTTCAGGTTTTCTCTTTATTCCTGATTAAATCTTGGTAGGTTGTATGTTTTTAGGAATTTATCCATTTCCCTTAGATTTTCCACTTTGTCAGTGTACAGTTGTTCATAATACTCTGACTTTTTTTGTACTTCTGTGGTATCAGTTGAAATGTCTCCTTTTTCATGTCTTATTTGTTTTATTTGTTTTTTTTCTTGGTTAGTCTAGTTAGTGGTTTATCAATTTTATGATCTTTTAGAAGAACCAGCTTTAAATTTTATTGTTCCTTTGTACTGTTTTTTAGTCTCTATTTAGTTCTGCTCTGATCCTTGTTATTTCTTTCCTTCTATCAATTTTGGGTTTGGTTTGTTCTTGCTTTTCTAGTTCTTTGTGGTGTATTATCATTCGATGGTTTATTTGAAATATTTCTGTTTTTTTTTCCTTTTATGTAGGTGTTTATTGCTATAAATTTCTTGCTTAGCATGGCTTTTGCTATGTCCCACAGATTTGGTATGTTGTATTCCCATTTTAATTTGTTTCAAGAAATTTTTTTATTTTCATCTTAATTTCTTCATTGACCCAATGATCATTCAGGAGCATATTGTTTAATTTCTAGGTATATGTATAGTTTCCAAAGTTCCTGTTGGTATTCATTTCTAGTTTTACTCTATTGTAGTCTGAGAATATACTTGATATCATTTTGATTTTTAAAAATTTGTTGAGACTTCTTTTGTGGCATAGTATATAGTCACTCCTGGAGAAAGTTCTATATGTTCATGAGAAGAATGTATATTCTGCAGTTGTTGGATAAAATGTTCTGTACATGTCTGCCTGTTAGGTTCATTTGGTCTAAAGTCCAGTTTAAGTCCAATTTTTTTCCCTGTCTGAATGATCTATGTAATGCTGAGAATGAGGTGTTGAGGTCCCTCACTATTATTGTATTGCTATTTCTTTCTTTAGATCTACTGATATTTTCTTTATGAATCTGAGCACTCCAGTGTTGGGTGCATATATATTTATAATTGTTATAGCCTCTTGCTAGATTCATCCCTTTATCATTAAATAATGACCTTCTTTATTTCTTTCTATGCTGTTTTTGGCTTAAAGTCTTTTAAAATCTGATATAAGTATAGCTACTGCTGCTCATTTTTGGTTTCCATTTGCATGGAATATCTTTTTTCATCCCTCTACTTCCAGTCTATATGTGTCTTTATAGGTAATGTGTATTTCTTACAGGCAGCATATGGTTGGATTATGTTTTATCCATGTAGCCAGTCTATGTTGATCTCAGCTGAGCTGGTTGCTCACTTCTTTCTCCTTCTGTGCCTCAGGTGTTTCCTGTAACTTCTCTGTTGGACTCTGGAGTTCTCTCCTGGATGTCCTATTAGAGGTGTGATTATTCATAATTTTGGTTCTTCATTCTGGAGAGGGTGAGTGTCCAATGTCTGTAGTCAGCCATCTTGAACCAGAATCCTCTAAATATAGTTTTCACATAGCTACATTGAATGCCATTTTGTTATAATTTATTTAATCATTCAAGTGTTATTAAGCATTTAGGTTGTTCTGTTTTTCACTATTATCAACAATGCTTGATGGGCATCTTTGCACATACTTCTTGCATTACATCTCTGATTATTTCTTTATGATAGATTACTATAAGTGGAATTACTTAAGAGAAAAGATAAGCTCATTCTTCAAGGCTTTTGGATCATGGTGCCAAATTGCTCTTTAGAAAGATTTACTACTTTCCTGTCCTGTCAAAGGGTTGTTCCAAGAAGACTTTTTATTTTATTTTTAAAATCTGAAGTAAAGACTTTCTTTCTCTTTGAGTTTTGATTCACAGACTTAATATTTCTGGGCAACTTCTCTATGTGTGTGTGTTTGCTGTTTCTGGAGAAGATGCCAAGATGGCGGCCAAAACACTGCCGTCTCTCTCTGAGTAGCCTCCTGGGACTAGCACTTTTGGCTGCATATGATGGCCACTTTCCTATGTGGCAGAACCTGCCTCTTACTGCATATGCCAGTTCTTCATTTTTCTAGCCTCTCTTGCCAAGCCTTGGGCATATGATTTACCCTGACCCATGAAACCAGAAGATAATTCATGACTATTAAGAGAAATATTTTTAATCCTGATCAAGAGGTAACTTCCTATTTCTCCCAACCTTTGAATGTGGTTGTATGGGGATACAATTTTAGGAGCTGTGGAAGCCATATTGTGACTGTAGAGGGAAGACCAAGAGTCAAGACTAATGGTTGGAAGACAAATTGTTGGGGCACAGAATATGATTCCCCCAAATGTGGCACTTTGATGTACTGAGTGCTTTGAGAATTGAAAGGCCTCAGAACCAAGGTCTCTCTCGTATCTTCTACTCCCTCCCTGTCTCTGATTCTCTTTCCCAAAGAAGCACTGGAAGGGACTCTTTCTAGAATTTTCTTATCTATGAAAGCATCTTTCCAAACGAACACAATTGTTCTTACTTCCTCAATAGGAATGTCATCAAATAACCAGGAAAAGATCAACCACTGGAGGAGAGAAGAGATTAGGAGTTGTCACTGCATCCAGACAGACTTTTCATCTGTTCTGAGGGTAGCTCTGGAGACTACCTGGGGACTTTATCTGCATAATAAAGCAACCTTTGTTCCTGTGCAGTTCTGGCCCTCACCTCCCTGTAACTTGTCCCATTCAGCTTCCATAAGAGAATCACTTACAAGATAATATCTGTCTCCCAGGTCCATACACTTCTCTCCTAGGAAGAGAGTATTTAAACCTCAATCATCTGGTCTCTCTTTGAGTATCATACTTTGTGTATGGCTTTGTGCTTATGCATGTTAAATAAATTTTGTATGCCTTTTTCTCCTGTTATTCTGCCTTTTGTCAGTTCATTTTCAGTGAAACTTTTGTGGGCAAAGGGGAAGCTTTCCCTTGTTTCCTACAAAGTACAAAGTACTGGAACTGTCCACACTAGACTTTCGTTATGTGAAAAGAAAACCAAATTGTCCTTTTTTTCTTTTTTTTTTTGAGATGGAGTTTCTCTCTTGTCACCATTGCTGGAGTGCAGTGGTGCGATCTTGGCTCACTGCAACCTCTGCCTCCCAGGTTCAAGTGATTCTCCTGCCTCAGCCTCCTAAGTAGCTGGGATTGCAGGCACCTGCCACCATGCCCAGCTAATTTTTGTATTTTTTGTAGCAATGGGGTTACACCATATTGGCCAGGCTGGTCTCAAACTCCTGACCTCAGGTGATCCACCCGCCTCAGCCTCCCAGAGTGCTGGGATTACAGGCGTGAGTCACTGCACCAGGCCTAATTGTCCTATTTTTAAATGCCATTTTTATCAGTTGGCTTGTTATTTGTAGTTGAAAGCATTCTGATTTCTCTCCTTATGTGACCCAATCACTATTACTTCTGGTTCATTCTCCATATCATACTCATTAATTCATGGCTATCCTAGTCACTGAGAGGGGAGAGAGGAATCAAATGATAAACAAGGCAAGCATTACTCCTGTAGTTATGGAGCTTAGGAAAGGGAAAAAATACATAAATTTAAAAAATAAAACAATTTCCATAGGTTGTGATAGATGTCATGATAGAGAATGACAATGGTGACTATAGTGCCTAGGAAGATGTTTCTGAAAACCAAACTTTTGTGTTAAGACCTAAAGAACAAAAAGAGCCAGTCACTGGGAGAGTGTTTTGGAATGAAGAGCTGTTTGGCCAAGTCATTTAACTTCCTAATGCCTCAGTCTAATTATTTGTAAAATAAGGATATCAATAGTACCTAATTTAAAGGTAGTATTATAAGGAATAAATGAATTCATAATGTAAAGTGCTTAGACAATTGCCTGGAACATGGCAAACCCTTTGTAAGTGTCAGCTATTGTTGTTGTGGTGGTAGTGAGGCATGATTTTTCTCAGTCACTTTGCCAGCTGGGGACCTCCAGCTGGTGATGCCCCTGCCTGGGCCTCACTCAGGCATGCTACCTGCTGCAGGAAGTGGCTTCACCATTTGGCCTGCCTGGGCTGCACCTGGCTTTCCCACTGGCTCACCCCAGTCTGCCTGTGTTATAGCTCATACCTGCATTTGGCAGTTCTCAAGTTCTTGTCCTGGATCCAAGAAGAATGAGGCGGCAATTGAAGGGTGAGGAGGGCAGAGAAGAATTTTACTGAGTGATGGAACAGCCCTCAGCAGAGAGGGGATGTGGGGACGGTTACCTACCTGAAGTCTGGCGGTTTCTTCCCCCAGTGTGGCTGGGTCCTGGGCTTTTATGGGCACAGGATGGGTGAGGGGTGGGCCATAGGTAGTATTGGAAAAGGCAACATTCTATTGGTTAAAAAGCATTATTCAGAAACAACCAATTGGGAAAGGGCGGGCAAACAGGAATAGAAGTTCTCACTCCAGGTCACGTTTCTCATCCAGAACCAGCAGCCCAGTCTTTCAGGCTTCAGGCTGTTTTTGGTTTGAAGGTGGGGTTTCACTGGGGCTCTGCTCCTATCTGTTTAGGTATTTGTCTGCCTCCTCCCTCTCTCAGTAGTGGTGATGGCAGGGAGTTCTACGAATTCCCAAGGACTTGTACTTTCACTTTATGATGACCTCTGCCTCCAGCTCCTGTGTGTGGTGGCATGAGCTGTCTCTTGTTGTCCCTGTGTCAACCTGTGTCTTGACATACAGCCCCTTCTCTAGTTTCCACCAAAACAAATAAAATTTTTTAAAACCACAAGCAAACAAACAAATGAACAATAAACAAAAGCATATTAATAAATAATAAAAACAATTCCATTCTTGCTAAACATTCATAAATGTTTAAGCTCTATGGGAGACTTGAAGAGATCACAAGAAAGGGATATATTAGCATGCAGACATCCATCATCTTGTTTTCCCCTTCCCTTTCTTTCCTCCATCTCCTTCTCTGGAGCAGAATAGTTTCTTTTCGCATCTTATGCCTAGAAGCTTAGTTTCTTTTTTGTTGCTTGAACATGTCATAAAACCTTGCTCTTTGCACCAAGAGCCTATCAGTGATGCTGTGCTGTTACTAAGAAATAAAGTCTTGTTATGTTAGGTTGTGTTATGTTGCAGTAACAAACATCTCCTAAATCTGGGTCGCTCAAAACAAGATTTATGTCTTGCCCATTCAAAGTCTCTTGTGGGATTGGATGACATTTCAGAGCAGACTTCCTGCATGTGATGGCTCAGGGTTGCACTCTGTGTGTGCTGTCAAAACCACTGCCGTGGGGTAAGAGTGAGGTGGAGGGTTGGGCACTGGCAATTCAATACTTCCACCTGGAAGTGACAGGTTACTTCCTCTCATATTTCACTGGCCAGAGAAAGCTACACAGCTACTTCTAACTTCAAGTGGCAGGAAAGTACATGCCTTCCTTGTGCCCCAAAGGAGAGGGAAACAAGATATTGGCAAACAGTGTTAATGTCTGTTGAAAAATGATCTTGACTTCATTCCATTGACACACAACGAGGTGCTAACAGAACCAGGATGAGAATCTAGAACTCTGGCTCTGTAATCTTGGAGCCTTCCCACTGGAGGTGGTGGTGATCAGGAAAACTAGACACCTATCAAGAGCTTGAGGTCTGAAGCAAGACTAAAGTCAACACTCTCCAGACTACACCTCAAGTTAGCAAGTGCAGAAACTTCCACTTCATTTGCACAAGTGTGATTTTATTTCAAAACCAGGCATAATTATTTTGGGCTCCTTTATTTGGGGGGACATTTCATCTGCGTTGAATTGAATATTCTTAGAGTGCATTAAAATATACTATGTAAAACCAAAGCTCATTAAGTCTTCACTGCAAGAGAATCAACACAACAACCTAAGCTCTTGTGAAAACTATTATCACCAAAGGACTTTTAGACAAATAGTTGAGTAAATGCAATCAATCAGATTAGGCCTGGCATGTGGTTGGGGTTCAGTAGATATCTGCTGAATGAGTGAAAGAATGAACCCTATTTTCCACGTCTATTACACTTACTTATTCAACCAAAAAATACTAAATGCCAATGTGTTATATGGTTACCTTGATGGCTCCCAAGGAATCACACCTGCCAGTCTATGCACCCTGTGTAATGACCCTCCACATTAACCCTGGGCTTGCTCAGGTGACTTGCTTTGGTCGATGGAACATCAACAAGCATGAAGCAATTAGAAACTTGATAAGCATTTGTGTACTGGGGTTTGTCCTCTTGTAAAGCTGCACGGGGAAACGCAGATGAAAGCCCACTGGGAGAGAGAGGCTCAGCTGCCCCAGCTTCCTTCGCAAAGCCCACCCCCTGGCTCACCCTACAGTTGAATTCAGTTGCCTGAGAGCCCAGGAGAAACCAGCAGCAGGACAGCCCAGCCAAACCAAAGAATTGTGAGCTATAACAAATCGTTGTTGTAGGCTGGAGGTCAGTAAACTTTTTCCATGAATGGCCAGACAGTAAATATTTTGGGCTTCAATTTTTGTTGCAACTGAAATGGGAGAGTTCCCTGATGCCCCTCTCAGGATGTGTGACAGGGGTGTGACTCACCTGTTTGGTTGCCCTGCAGCTCAAACCCCTAAGGGAAGCATGCAGATGGGCAGGTGCAGAGGCCAGGGCTAGTGCTTTGGGCTCTCGGCCCCCTGGTAGTGTCTAGGGGGTGGGTGCCTGCAACCCAACCCCATGTTATAAAGCTCTTTTAGCTTTGCCATCTGCAGACAGCTTTGTGTATTAATCAGCTCAATGGACCCTCTCTGCCTTACTGCAAGGGCAGAGGGCCAGTGTGACAGCCTTTTGTATCCCGAGCTCTTGCCCAGTGTCCTGAAAGAATCGGATCACATGTGGGCTTGAAGCATGAGTGCAAGGCTTTTTTGAGTGGTGGAGGTGGCTCTCAGTGAGTTAGATGGGGAGCCAGAAGATGGGGAGGCAGGGTAGATAATCTTCCCCTGGAGTTCAGCCACCCAGTGGCCGGACTATTCTCCGACTTCCCTGGCCAAACTCCCCTCAGCGTCCAGACATCCTCTTCTCTCTTCCTCTGCCGTGTGGCTCTACCGTTGCTGCTCTGCTGGTCTCTGCTGCTCCTCTCAACATTCAACCGCTGTGTGTGCCCGCTAAGGTCTCAGGTTTATATGGGCGCAGGATGGGGGTGTGGTGGGTCAGGGTGGTCTTGGAAAATGCAACATTCAGGTGAGAAAACAGGAGTGCCTGTTCTCACTTAGGTCCCTGGGCACAGGCCGAGGGTGGATCCCTCACCAGGGACCTCGCCCTTCTCTACCCATCACTTTCCTGCCCTCCTGCTGTATCGCAACTACTGAACTCTGCCATTATTTTGCCATTATAGCATGAATACAGCCATAGATGATACATAAATAAGTTGGCATGGCTGCTTTGTTTTCAAAAATAGTGGCGAGCTGAATTTGGTCCACAGGCTGTAGTTATTGACCCTGCTTTAGGCCTCCAAGTTTTGGGAAAGTTTATTTTGCTGCAATAGATAATGGAAATAACCTGCCATATTCTTCTAATTATTCAAGGTATCCTCATTTCTCAGAACATTCCACAGCTACGACTTCATCCATGATGACTCCCTGGTGTGAAACGCCCTCGTTTCTTAGGCCTGGCCCCAGGAAAATTGGAAAGTCAGCAGTCTGTGTTTTTAGCCTCCCTGTTGAAAGATTCTAGGAGAACCAAAAAGAAGTGGTTAAGTGCTTCTTTCACTAGGAGGAGAAGGTGCCAGTTATTAAGTTCCAAATGAGTGATGGGGACTTTTTCCTGCCCCAGAACCCTACGGCTCCATGAAGTCTGAACAGGATGACTTAAAACTGCATAAGAGGCAGTTGAAGGGAAGTCTCTTAGCCTGATCATCTTGTTATATCATTAGAAAAATTCAATTGTCCCAGTAAAATGATGGCTTCTGACCTATCAATTCACATGTTGCCCAGAAGTCTCAGATTTCCTGGAATTTCTACTAGAATTCCTAGAACTCTAAGTAATAGTCTTTAAAAATCAGAATTATTGTATAATGAAGGGTTAATCACCAAGGAAATAGAGTCCCACCTTCTTGTTACTTCAAACTGGCCACATATCTGGTGGATAAGAGTGCCGATTCCCGAGTCCAGCTGCCTAGAAGAAAATCCTGTCTCTCATCCATTTAATGACTACATGACCTTGGGCAAATAATTTAATACTCTAAGTCCAAGTTTTTCATGTATAAAGTGGTGATAGTAATTGTATTTATCTTTAGGATTTTTGTGACAATGGAATTATATAATTTTCATGGATTTATCACCGTGCCTGGCTCATACTAAGTACTCAATACATTGTGGCTATTACAATTATTAACTCGCTGTCAGTCAATTCAATAGTTTCCCAATTCCTTAGATTTTATCATTTTAATCATTTCCTGAAGTGTTCTCACCTCTATAACTCATTGATTTGTGTGAAAAATGTTGGGAATAAGTAGCACAGTAGTAATTAATCTCAACTTAAGAAGGAGGAAAGTGAAGTTGAGGTGTTAGGTATTATTCTATTCCCCCAGTTGTCTTTATTCTTGCTCAATGAAGCTGGCAGGAGACAAGCATTATTGTTCCATATCCTTGGTTTACAGGGGGGAAGAAAGAGGCAGGGACTTAGGAGGGGGCAATGAAGAACTAACATTTAACTGTTTCAGGGCAATTCCTTCAGAGGCAAACCCTGAGAAGATCTGAATGAAGGAAGTTGATTTGAGAGTGTTCTCTGGACCAACATCTGTTGGGAGGTAAAGGAAGCAGGAATGGGCAGAGGGAGAAGCTGGGTGTCATTTAGTTGAAACAAAGGCCTCAGTCATCCCTTTGCAGCCCTGAGGCTGGAAAGACCCTGTGGAGTTGACCCAAATGAGGCAATCAAATTGGGCCTTTAAACCCACCAACTGATGAGTCTTTGGTTGTGGGCCACAACTGGTAAGGACAAGGCTACTGTCTTCAGTTGGGAACAATACCCAGAGGGGGACTTAGCTGACAACACTCTGCTGAAGGTTTTAGGGGGATCTGGGTGACCTCCCACAGCATTAACAACATACAGCTTCTACTAAGTGCCACGAATTGTGGTAAGAACTTTCACACACATCATTTCATTCACACCTCACATTTCACAACAAAATTGTGAAATAGCCAATGAAGAGAGCTATAATATTTTCAGTGCCTTGTGTATGTCAGATGGTTTCAACCCTTAGTTCATATAATTTTCCTAACAACTTGTCAAAGTTGGAATTATTTGCTGCCTTTTATGTGGTAAAGATAAACTTAGGCACGTTAAAATTTTAACAGCTTTATTTAAACAAACATTGATGCGTGAATTAGGCAGCACCAAACTGCAAGTGGCTCAGGACTCCACTGAAGGGACCCAAGGGGAAAACTTTTGTTCTGCATATGCAGAAGCAAGGCAAAGAAAATATTGGATTGAAAGGGAACAGTAGTTTTAAGATCCCTAGTTAGAGGTCAGTTGTTGGTTTCTGATTGGCAAAGCCCCTAGTTAGGAGTTACTTGTCAGTTTCTGATTGGTAAAGCTTAAGTTTTGTTTTCCTAGGATCTGACCCATTCAGGCTGAGTTGGGCTTTGGTTTGCTTACATAAAAACTCAGAGTGCTAGGGTGAAACCTCGTCTCTACTAAAAATACAAAAAATTAGCCGGGTGTGGTTGCGGGCGCCTTTAGTCCCAGCTACTCGGGAGGCTGAGGCAGGAGAATGGCGGGAACCCGGGAGGCGGAGCTTGCAGTGAGCCGAGATCACGCCACTGCACTCCAGCCTGGGCGACAGAGCGAGACTCTGTCTCAAAAAACAAAGAAACAACACTCAGAGTGCTAGAGTTGCCTTAGTGTCATTGCTTCCCAATTAATTATTCTAACAGATAGAAGAGAAATTGGCAGTTCAGAAAAGCCAAGTTGTCACTCAGGATCCGAACTCAGCTCTGTCTGACATCAAAGGTAGTACTCTTCCCACTGGGCAGTACAGACTCATGTTCTAGATGAGGAACTTGAGGTTTAGGGAGGTTAAATGACTTACCCGAAAATCAGAGCTGGCGGAGAGCCGAGTTGGGGCTTGAACTCAGGTCTGTTATGTGATGCTGTTTCCCAGGCACCATGCTGCTTTGCAGGATTGAGAAAGTTGTGCCCTGGGAAAGATGAAAAAGACCATGATACGGTGGGAAAACAAAAGGCAGCTAAGATGCAGCTTAATTTCTCTGAACTCTGTTAACTGTCCCTAACACTACGAGGGCATCAGGACACTTCCTGACAGCTGCAGTGTATCAGCTTTGTGCATTTCACTAGGGATGGCCGAGAAGGATTTCAAAATCTGCCTCTCAGTTTAGCCTCCCCCACTCCCCCGCACCGCCCCCGGCCTCTTCTACTCCTGTATCAGCCTCTATAGACTAGACACAACTTTGAGTTGGGGGCTAGAAAATCTTACTTGGGAAGATTAAGTAAAAAATTAAGTCAGGTTCCTTTGGCTGTGCTATTTGCTGCGCGTGGGGGCCACTAGATGGCGCTCACCGCCTATTCCTGAAACTCCAGTTTGTCAGTGGGGGCTTGGTTGCCTCGCTCCCTCCCTCTGCGCTGTAATAACAGTATTAATAGCTAATAGTTATTAAGAAGTTACTATGCGCCTAGTAAATTACTATGCTAAGCGCTTTACATAAATTATCTCATCTAATCCTTACCATAACCCTTGAAAATAGGCAGTTATCCTTAATTTACAAATGAGGGTAAGTAACTTGCCTGAGGTAACAAAGCTGATAGTCTCTGAGTCAAGCCTGGTTTCAACCTGGTCCTCTGACGTTAGAGCTTTGACCTCCACATTCGATCGTCTCTCCAGTCCTTATGTAACAGATGACGATGAGTGCTTGCTCTGTGCCGGATGCCACCTTACAGCTATAAGTAGTGGGATCCAGGCTGTGAATCTCAAACTTAACTACATTCTGTTTCTGTCTCTCTCTGAGTTACCTTCTGAAGGTGACAAAAAACGAGACTATTGGACCACTCAGACTCATTGGGGCCCTAGGCTGATTCTGGAGCCACCCTAAGATTCTCCCCTTGAGCACCTTCTGCTTCACGGAAGAGAGCTCTCCATAAGCTTACCCTGCTGCGAGTCAGCCCAGACTTTGAGTCAAATTCAGGTTAGAATCTCAGCTCCATTCTTTACTGGATCAGTGTAATTTTGGCTAAACTTCTCTCCAAAGTAACTGCTTTCAGCTCTGCTCCCTTGGCTGTAAAAACACAGAGTCACAGTCCTCAATCTTGCAGTGTTGCTGTGGGTCCACAGTCCAGGTTGAGAAGGGGCATTTGAGAAATGCGGGTCCCCTTACCCTCCCTCTCTGAGTTAGTTCCATGGTGTGAGGCAGCCCAGGAGGGGCGTTGGGCATGACTTTTCCAAAGTGGGTCAGAGATCCTTTAAGATTGATGACATCCTTTCTGGAGATGCTGAGAGAAGCAGTTACTTTATTTGTGTATCTGCTCAGTATCTCTTTCCCTCTCTAGACTGGTGCCCTCCCATAGGACTTTCTGCATTTATGGAAATGTTCTATAGCTGCATTGTCCAACATAGTAGTCAGGTCACACGTAGCATTTGAGTACCTGAAATGTGGCTAGTGAAACTGAAGAACTAAATTTAACCTTTATTCAATTTTTAAATCTTTTAAATTTAAAATTAAATTTGTAGCTAGTGGCTACTTTATTGGACAGCAAAATGCTAGACAGCTCAGTGTTCACTATCGTATCCCCAGAGCCTGGCACAGCATCTGCCCTTAGTTAGTGCTGGATACATATGTTTTAAATAAATGAATGCAAATTATCCACATGAGTCTTCCTAAACTACAAAAGTAGGCATTTGCATGTAGGAAGGCTTGGGGTCTGAGATAGCCAGAGGTTTAGTGAGTACTGTATTCAGGAAAGAACGAGAGGAGGAAACTATCAAACGTGTAGGTATCACCTAAGAGAGGGAATCTGAAACAGACCACGGACTATGCCGGGTATAAAGTACTAAGTTAAGGAACATTTGCCACCTCCCTATTTTGTTGTTATTTCATTTTTCCTGCAGTGATTAGGAATCAAATCCTTAAAGCAAGAAGGGAACTGTGGGCTCGATGGCAAAGTCCCGAAGAAGGGGAGGAGCTGGAGAGACTGTATCACTGCACAGTGAACTCTGACGGGGAGAGAACCCAAGGGATAGAGCAGGAGGCAGGAAGATGGCAGGGATCTTGGGCTTGTGTGGGAGGGAAGGGAATAGAGATATTGCTCTGGGATTTAACAGTCTGGAGGCTCAGTTAGGTCACCTGGTGTAAACTCAGTTACCTTTATAGTTCCTACTTTGAAGTTAAAATTGGAGAACTGAGAATACTGGCTCTTTCCATTTTCCTGCCTGTGGAGTCTCTCTGGCCTTAGCCTCAAGCAATTTCCCTTTCTCTCTTACTCTCTTCTCTCCTTCCTATGAGCCTAGTGTAAATTAATAATAATAATAATCAACATTTATCAAGCACATACAGAGACTCAGAGTCTAAATGGGTTGTATCTTTTTTTTTTTCTTGAAACGCAGTCTCACTCTGTTGCCCAGGCTGGAGTGCAGTGGTGTGATCTTGGCTCACTGCAACCTCTGCCTCCCAGGTTCAGGCGATCCTCCAACCTCAGCCTCCTAAGTAGCTAGGATTACGGGCATGTGCCACTACGCCTGGCTAATTTTTTTTTGTATTTTTAGTAGAGATGTGGTTTCACCATGTTGGCTAGGCTGGTCTCGAACTGCTAAACTCAAGTGATCTGCCCACCTGGTTCTCCCAAAGTGCTAGGATTACAGGTGTGAGCCACTGCGCTTGGCCTGGACTGTATCATTTAACCCTTCTACCGAGCTCTGAGGTAGCTGATTTAGGCAACATTTATCAATTGCTTATTATTACCAAGCACTGCTCTAACTCTTTAAATTTTCACAACCACCCCATTTTCCATGGGTAGGTGCCATTGTCATCATCATCAACATCCTTCAATTTACAAAGGAGTGCTCTGTGACCTGGAGGGGCTGAGTAACTTACCCAAGACTACACAGCCAGTGAGAAGCAAAGCGAAGATTTGAAACCTGGGCAACTGGGCTCCGGAGAAGAACCCTACTGCCAGGTTCTGGGAGTTACTTTATAGGTATCAACTCTTCTAATCTTGATAATAACCCTATAAGGTGGAGATAATTATTATTATACCCATTTCATGGGTGGCGAAGCTGAGGTTTAACGAGGTTAGGTAACTTGTCCAAAATAATACAGCTAATTAGATCTGTGGCCAAGATTTGAACCTAGGCAGTTGGACTTTTGAGGTTACTCTTTAAACCCTTGGGGTGGATGTTCTGGGTTGAATAATATCCTCTCCCAATTTATGTCCTTCCTAGAACCTCAGAATATGAACTTTTTTGGAACTAGAGTTATTGCAGATGTAACCGGCTAAATTGGGATTATACTGGAGTAGGGCGGGCCTTTAATCCAACATGACTGGTACCCTTATAAGAAGAGAAGAGACACCCAGACAGACGGGGAAGATGTCCATGTGGAGATGGTGGCAGACATTGGAGGGAAGTATCTATAAGCCAAGGAATGCCAAAAACTGGCTGCAAACACCAGGAGTTAGGACAAGACGAGGAAGGATCCTTCCTAGAGCCTGCAGAGAGAGCCTGGCCCTGCCGACCTGCTTTCAGACTTCCAGCCTGCAGAACTGGGAAAAGTCTCTGTTGTTTTAAGCTACCCAGTTTGCAGTAATTTGTGGCAGCAGCCCAAAAAAACTCAGACAGTACGATATACATTTTAAGACGGAGATGGAAGTGACAATTTTTTTTTCCTTTTTTTTTTTTTTGTTGAGACGGAGTTTCACTCTTGTCACCTATGCTGGAGTGCAATGGTGCAATCTTGGCTCAATGCAGCCTCTGCTTCCCGGGTTCAAGCAATTCTCCTGCCTCAGCCTCCTGAGTAGCTGGAATTACAGGCACACATCCCCATGCCTGCATAATTTTGTTTTTTGGTATTTTTAGTAGAGATGGGGTTTCATCATGTTGTCCAGGCTGGTCTTGAACTCCTGACCTCAGATGATTTGCCCACCTCGGCTTCCCAAAGTACTGGGTTTACAGGTGTGAACCACTGCGCCTGGCCAGAATTGACAATTCCTTCACTTGCTGGTCAGCATGAAGTAGCATAGACTTTGGAGTCGCTCTGAAAACTCAGGTTGAGGCTATGTTTTAGGGATGATGAGGGAACGTGCAAGGGAATAGAAGAGGGAGCTCCACTCCCCACTTGAGGGATTGACCCAGTCCCACACAACCAGATGGCGGAGGGCTGATTGGGTCTGTGCCTCCCCTTAGGATTATGGTTTAGGCTTTGGAGGCAAATATTAATAGACCCAGGTTTACATTCAGGCTCCTTCCTACTACCTGGGTGAGCTTAAACAAATTCCTTTAATTCCTAAGCCTCAGTTTCTTCCTCTGAAAAAGGGGTGATAATAATAGTTTTTCATTTGAGAATGGTTGCCAGGTTTAAATGAGGCAATACAAATAATGCCCCTAGATACACACATGAAGCTCTCAATGAATTATAACTGTTATTCTTCTCCCAGGAAGTGGCAAAGCGACTGAAGGAAGGAATGGCATCAGGCCTGGATGGTTTATGCTCCAGGGCTGAACTCCATAAGGTTGAATGTACGACCTGCAGGGTCCTGCGCAATTCTATGATCTCCCCCCATCTCTGGTGCTTCTCATAGAGCTGGACTCCATGAAATCTTTTACTATAGCCTTTTCTTTCCTAATCCGGTAGGTGGCAATAAGCCTCCGTCATTTTTCTTTATGAAGCTTTTACTCTTCAGCCCTGCTATTGGCTGTGTTGTGGGACGAGGCCATTGGGAGTGATTGAAGCAATTCAGACCAAGGGGACTCTTTTGGGAAGCATTCAGCACCCCTCAGGGCACAAACAGGGCATCAACCTCACCCCAGAGGGACTTCCCAAGAGCTCTTCTGACGATGTTTATCCCCGGGGCGGCCAGCTCAGACACAAAATTTATACTTACAATAAAAGGCCTCTGATTTTGTTCCCAGAGCAAGGATACATCATCTTGCTAAATCCCAGAAGGAGCACAGCCCTACTGGCTAAGAGGTGAACCCCATCTCCCTGGTAAATCTCATGGTGTTTTCGGAGGCAGCTACATGCCCCTGTAAATTCTGAGCCTACAGCATGGACATCATCTGGGACTTCTTAGAAATGTAAAATGTCAGGCTCCACCCCAGAGCTGTTGAATCAGATGGTGCATTTCAATGATCTCCCTGGGTGAATTGTGTAGCCAGGAAAGTTTGAGAAGTCCTGGCCTCCAGGATCTCAGAGGGAAATATTTCTTCTCACCAGCCTATATAATTAGTTCTCTTTAGTCCAGTGGAGAATAAATAATAAGCTAACATTGTCAACATGTGTCATATTTACAAAGGACACTATTACTGTATGCCTAAAGGAGATATATAAATAATATCTATCTATACACACACATATAGTCTTTTTTTTTGTTTTTGAGACAGGGTCTTGTCCTGTCGTACAGGCTGGAGTGTGGTGCTGCAATCTCTGCTCATTGCAACCTCTGCCTCTCGGGCTCAAGCAATCATCCTGCCTCAGCCTCCTGAGTAGCTGGGACTACAGGAACATGTCACCGTATCTGGCTAATTTTTGTATTTTTAGTAGAGATGGGGTTTCATCATGTTGGCCAGGCTGGTCTCGAATTCCTAGCCTCATGTGATCCACCCGCCTCGACCTCCCAAAGTGCTGGGATTACAGGTGTGAGCCACTGCACCCAGCCTACACATATAGTTTTGATGATTTACCTTTCCAATACCCCCTTAGCTCAATCCCATTTAAAGATGAGAAAACTAGACTTAGAAGTACGCAAGTATCCAAGAGGAGAGCTGAGATGTAAGCACAGGTTTTTGGAGTCCACAGTGACTGTATTTCAAAGTAGCAATAGAAAGAAAGGCCAGCATTTATCCAGTGCTTGCTGTGTACTAGGCCCTATGCCAAATGTCAAATGTGTTATTTAACATCATCTTCTTGACAGTTCTAAGCAGAGGAATACCATTGTCCCCGCTTCACAAATGAGAACACTGAGGAGCAGAGAAGTCAATGAACTTCCTTAAGACCACATAGCTGCTAAAAAAAAAAAATGACCTATCTAGAATTATCACCCAAGCCAGTATGACTCTGAGCCTGAGTTTAACACTACAGCTTAAAGTCTTCCTGAGAAATGTCTGAATTCCTCATGTACATGTCCTTTTGAAACACTTGCCTATGATTATAATGTACTTTTGAGTACATTATTAGTTTGATCTTTAAATTAGTACTTATAGCGACTTGTTTCTTCCCCAATGTTTATTCCCTTCTCCTACTATCTATATTAGTTTTCTAGGGCAGCTGTCACCAAGTGCCACAAGCTGGGTGGCTGAAAACAATAGAAATTTATTGTCTCCAGTTCTGGTGGCCTGAAGTCTAAAATCAAAGCATCAGCAGGGCCATTCTTCCTCTGAAACCTGTAGGGGAGAAATCCTTCCTTGTCTCTTCCTAGCTTCCAGTGGTTTTCTGGTAGTCTTCGGTGTTCCTTGGCTTGCAGGTGTGTTAACTCCAGTCTTTGCTTCCATCTTCATGTGGTGTTTGTCCCTTATGTGTCTGTGTTTTCTCTTCTTCTTTTTTTTTTTTTTACCTCAACCCAAAAGGTACAAAAATAGATTGTAATTAGGTAAGTTAAGATGAGGTCATACTAGAATAGGGTGGACCTTGTTTACAATATACTTTTCATTTTTATCCAGGTAACAGAAGTACAGAGTTTGGAGCCATCATAAGGAATGAAATATTGGCATTTGCAGCAACCTGGATGGAGTTGGAGACCATTGTTCAGAAACCAAATATCATATGTTCTCACTTATAAGTGGGAGTTAAGCTATGAGGATGCAAAGGTGTAAGAATGATATAATAGACTTTGGGGACTCAGGGGAAGGGAGGGAAAGGGGTGAAGAATAAAAGACTGACTACACAGTGGGTACAGTGTACACTGCTCTGGTGATGGGTGCATCAAAATCTCAGAAGTCACCACCAAAGAACTTATCCATGTAACCCAAAACCACCTGTTCCCCCAAAACTACTGAAATAAAATAAAATTGAAAACAAACAAAAAGAAGTAGAGTTTCAACAGTCAAATGTCACTCCAAGAACTAGGACCATGGCCTTTCCAGCTCTTCCCAAGGCCTGTTCTGGGAGCCACTTTGTGTTAGCACTGTCTGTGCCTCTCTGGTTATAACCTCATTTTCCTAAGTGGCCCAATGCTCACTTTCAGTGGTTGTTCATTTTAGGTAAATGGCAAGCCAGTGGGACAAATAGGGGCAATTTCTCCCCTCAGGTAGCGCAGACCTGATGCAGGTTAGGTGCCTGAGGAGGCTGTGATCAGCAGGTGGTCCTGACATGGGAATGTCCCGCAAGGCCCAGAGGTGGGTCATTCTTGGCACATTGATGGCACAACAAAGGGCCTCACATGGGGACCCATCACTAGGCTTCGCACTCTCACCCTGGCGAGGGAAATGGCTGTGACTCCTCCGTTTTATTCTTAATGTATATGCTCCTCAACTTACAATGGACTTATGTCCTAATAAATCCATCATCAGTCAAAAATGTCATATGTCAAAAATGCACCTAACGCTGCTAACAGAGCAGATGGTTCCCGACTTTCAATGGTTCCATTTATGCTTTTACCATGTTATGACAGTGCTGGAGTGATGTGTTTTCAGTAGAAATTGTAACCCTATCATGATTTAGAAGGAGCTCCTCTACCTACAATGGGGCTACCTCCCAAAAGACCCACCTCAATGTTGAGAAATCTTAAGTTGAAGCATCATAAGTCAAGGACTGTCTGTATGCATTTTACTTACATAGAAAGGTTACACAATCCATGTGTACATTATAATACACACCCGGGTCATATCTACAGGACAGTTCCGGAGTCTGTGATAGCCCCACTTCCTTCATCTGGGTCACCACAGTCTCAGTGTGCCCTTTGTGACATGTGACCTCTATATGGAAGCAGTCACCAGTGTACCTGTGGCTGAAGGTGGAAGCGCCACGGGCTCACCTCCCTCCCATTTCCTCAACCCTTTTCTCTCCTGTGGGTTTCTTTGCTTTCTAGTCTGCTCCCCACGCTTCCTCATGGTTCTTATTGCTCTCATCCCCCCTGCCCTTCCCTGGGCTTACACTTTTCTGTCTCCCACCCCCAAGCCACCTTCCCTCTCAGCTTGACTCCACCTCCCCCGTGATTTCTGATCTTTTCCTCCAGCCTGCCTTTGGGCTTTGTTGCGGGAAGACAGGGACCCCAAATGGAGGGACCGGCTGAAGCCATGGCAGAAGAATGTGGATTGTGAAGATTTCATGGACATTTATTAGTTCCCCAAATTAATACTTTTATAATTTCTTATGCCTGTCTTTACTGCAATCTCTAAACATAAATTGTGAAGATTTCATGGACACTTATCACTTCCCCAATCAATACTCTTATGATTTCCTATGCCTGTCTTTACTTTAATCTCTTAATCCTGTCAGCTGAGGAGGATGTATGTCGCCTCAGGACCCTGCAATAATTGCATTAACTGCACAAATTGTACAGCATGTGTGTTTGAGCAATATGAAATCTGGGCACCTTGAAAAAAGAACAGGATAACAGCAATTGTTCAGGGAATAAGAGAGATAACCTTAAACTCTGACTGCCAGTGAGCCGGGTGGAACAGAGCCATATTTCTCTTCTTTCAAAAGCAAATGGGAGAAATATCGCTGAATTCTTTATCTCAGCAAGGAACATCCCTGGGAAAGAGAATATGCGCCTGGGGGTATAGGTCTATAAATGGCCCACCTAGGTGTGGCCGTCTTTTCTGGTCTGTAGACTGTAGGGGTGAAATAGACCCCAGTCTCCCATAGTGCTCCCAGGCTTATTAGGAAGAGGAAATTCCCACCTAATAAATTTTGGTCAGACCGGTTGATCTCAAAACCCTGTCTCCTGATAAGATGTTATCAATGACAATGGTGCCCGAAACTTCATTAGCAATTTTAATTTCGCCCTGGTCCTGTGGTCCTGTGATCTTGCCCTGCCTCCACTTGCCTTGTAATATTCTATTACCTTGTGAAGTGCTTGATGTCTGTGACCCATACCTATTCACACACTCCTTCCCCTTTTAAAAATCCCTAATAAAAACTTGCTGGTTTTGTGGCTTGTGGGGCATCACGGAACCTACCGACATGTGATGTCTCCCCCGGATGCCCAGCTTTAAAATTTCTCTCTTTTATACTCTGTCCCTTTATTTCTCAAGCTGACCGATGCTTAAGGAAAATAGAAAAGAAGCTATGTGACTATCGGGGCAGGTTCCCCAATAGGGCTCCTCCCTGGACACTGCATTTCTTTTCACCCTCTTTCCTCCTCTCTTTACTTTCTACTTCCAGGCCTTTGCTCACTGGCTCAGTCTTGTTCTGCTCTCCCTCCTCCCATGGCCCCCACCCTGCACCTAGATGGGGGCCACATGGACTTGTGGGAAGCCACCATCCTGCACACACCATTCTCTACAGCACTTGGACCCTATTTGTAAAAATCCTGCTCCTTTATTTGTTCAGAAAAGCAGCCTTGTCCCCAACCCAACTGAAACCCAGCACATGCCCTTTGGTGACAACAGCCTCAGCACCCTCCTGATGCCAGGCCCAGGGGTGCTTTTTCTTCTTATAGGGAAGGACACCAGCCATGTTCATATAAGGGCCCACCCTGTTCTAGTATGACGTCATCTTAACTTAGTTAATAACAACCTATTTCTAAATACAACTGGTCACATTCTGAGGTACTTGGGATTAAGACTTCAACATTTATTTGTGGGAGACACCATTCAACACATAACAATATCTCTTGAACTCCTGGCCTCAAGCAATTCTTCTGCCTTGTGCCTCCCAAAGTGCTGGGATTACAGGCATGAGCCACCATGCTTTGCTCCATAACAATATCTCAAAAGGCAGTACAGTGGCCTGGTGTGTGGGTTCTAGAGCCAGAGTGCTGCAGTACAAATCCTGGCTCTGTCACTGAATGACTTAGAGCAAGTTACTTGGAGTATCTGGGCTTCAGCTTCTTCCTCTATAAATCAAAGGAGAACCTCAGAGGAGCATCATGAATTAATATACATAAAGCACCTAAAATAGTGTTGGAGTAGAAATTGCTTATGCCCTTTCCAAATCCCCTTACCAGCTGGTGCACCCATTCCTAGCCATGGCTGATAACTCACACCAGTGATCTTCTGTGGAAAAGGTGGCCCATGGGAGCCGCCCTGTTGGAGATGTCTGAGAGTTTGATTTCCCCTTCAAACTGGCCAAGGCTGGACTTTATCTGGGACCACATCCTTGCTTAGCTCTTTCTCCTTGCCTGAGCTCTCCTGAGAGCACAGCCTCAATAAGTCAAGTGCATCTGAATTCCTGCCTCAGGCTCTGATTCCAGGGTGCCTGACCTGAGCCAAGTGCCCTGGATGAGAGTATTAGATTGCTTCGGCTGGGCGCGGTGGCTCACACCTGTAATCCCAGCTCTCAGGGAGGCAAGAGGCTGGAGGATAGCTTGAGCCCAGGAGTTCGAGATCTGCCTGGGCAATATAGCGAGACCCCGTTCTCCAGAAAAAGGAAAAAGACAAACAAACAAACAAACAAACAAAAAAAACAAAAATGAAAGTATTAGATTGCTGTTACCATTAACATGTTCAGGGAGTGTATTAGTCCCTTCTCAAGCTGCTAATAAAGACATACCTGAGACTGGGTAATTTATAAAGGAAAGAGGTTTAATTGACTCACAGTTCAACATGGCTGAGAGGCCTCAGGAAACTTACAATCATGGCAGAAGGGGAAGCAAACATGTCCTTCTTCACATGGTGGCAGCAAGGAGAAGAAGAATAAGCAAAAGGGGGCGAAGTCCCTTATAAAACCATCAGATCTCAAGAGAACTCACTCACTACCATGAGAACAGCATGGAGGTAACTGCCCTATGATTAAACTACCTCCCACTGAGTCACTCCCATGACATATGGGGATTATGGGAACTACAATTCAAGATGAAATTTGAGTAGGAACACAGCCAAACCATATCAGGGAGCCAGGAATTTACCTCCCAAACTCCCTGCCTTCCCCATGATTCAGTACTGCAATTATATATATATATTTTCTGCCATTTATCTTACAATGCCAAGAATGAAAAGTTTTCCCCGTACACATTGACGGGTTCCTGGGCTGAGACTGTCCATGCGCACCCAGGGGAAGCTGTCCCTTCATCATCACTGGCCACCCCTGAGAGTGTGTGCAGGCCTGAAGCATTTCTCTTTGCTTTACCTCAACTTCGGACTGCTAAGTTTCCTCTGCACTTCACTGCAGCAGCCCACTTCTTAGTGCTTGCTCCTCAGTCATTTGTATGGAGGACGAAGTCTACTTTGTGACAACATCTGGGATTAGTAAATGTTGTTGGCTCAGCCTAACCCAGTTCCACCCTATCTGAACTCAGGTTGGCTTGCTACACCTTAGCCCTGTCCCTGTCATCATCATCATCATCATCATCAATCATCATCATCATCATAACTGCCTCTTAGCAAATGACTAGTATGTGCCAAATTGTCCATAGTATATGTAATAATAACAAAGACATAAGTTTTAACCTTCAAAAATACCTTGAAATAATGAGTGACATGCCGTTTTATTAGTGAGGAGCAGAAGCTCAGAGAAGTTAGGTTACTTCCTGTGGCCACACAGTTGAGCCAGACTTTGAATCACAGTCATTTGGGGGAGAACCAAGTGTAACTACTCAAGTTCTTTGTTGAAATTACATTCTCTATAAGCCCTGAAACCATGAGCCATTGATTTTGTCTAGCGAATAGCACTTCTGATAGCTGGTGTTCTAGGCCCTTCCCAGAAATAAGAAATGACATTGTAACTCCTTGAATCTGTCCTTTCCTTTTTTTCTCCAACTTGGGCTTAAAGTTTCCTCAAATTGTTTTACTTCTATTTGCCATCTGAAGCTTCCTTAATCTACTGCACTTCTTCTCCTCCATTCCCCAAGCCCCGGGCAAATTCATGCATATTATTTGCCCATTTCATTCTGTTCCTGAGATTTGTTTCTCTAACATTCACTCAAGTTTATGCCACCCAAGTTCCAATTCATAATAAGATTTGCATTTTCAGACTTACATTTAAATCAAAGCATATGAGATTCTTGTTCATCACAAATATTAAGAAGGGGGTAGTGGTCATGTCATTTGTCATAATTTATCATGATGTTTGGAAATACTTCATTAATTAAGTTCCCAAACAAAGCCTCCTTCTTTCCCCTTTCCAGGAGCCCATTAATTAGAATTAGATTATTTTGAAATCACGACTTGGTAGCAACCTGTGACAGATATCTGGGTTACTCAACAAATCACAGGGGCTCTATGAAATTGCATAGGAAAAGCTTCGCAAATGACAATACCCACTAACAAACTCACCTTTTCCAACAGTTCTCCAGGACACATCCTTCCATGACTCAGGGTCTTTGTGAGTGGGTGTCAGGCTCTTGATGTTTGATGAAAGATGAATGTCTAACAAATGCAGTGCAAATTCAATGGCAATCAATTGCAAAGTGAAACTGAAAATATTGCAAAAGGTGTAGGATTTCATGAAGTCGAGGGAATTGATATTGGAGGATGGTCTGAACCATTGGCAAAACAGGAATCAGAAGAACCCTTATAAATTGAAGCAGATAAGGATGAGGATGCCTGAACTTCTTTGAGAGAAAATGATTAAAATATCAAATGCCTAAGGGAGTCTCTTCGGCAAAATGAGGAAGCCTTTAAGTATTTTTCAAAAATGACTCTCTTATTTGTTCTCACTGAGAGCGTTAAATATGAAATAAAGAATACCCTATTGTGCAATCACACAATTTTGTGAAAAAATTATGCTAAAGGAATCAATGCATGATTTATTCTTTATTCTGGAATAGTAATGACCTACAGCTTGTTATTTATAAGTTTAAATCAATTTTTATAACTTTTCACTTCAGGTTTTATTATTTTATTTTATATATGTACATATATATATGTACATATATATATATATATATATATATATATATTTTTTTTTTTTTTTTTTTGAGACAGGGTCTTGCTGTCACCCAGACTGGAGTGCAGTGGCACGATCACAGCTTACTCCAGCCTCGACCTCCCATGCTCAGGCCTCCCAAGTAGCTGGGAGCACAGGCGCGTGCACCATGCTTGAATCCTTCCTTCCTTCCTTCCTTCCTTCCTTCCTTCCTTCCTTCCTTCTTTCCTTCCATTCTTCCTTTCTTTTCTTTCTTTTTTCTAGATGAGGTCTCGTTCTGATGCTCAGGCTGGTTTTGAACTCTTGACCTCAAGGAATCCTCCCACCTTGGCCTCCCAAAATGCTGGGATTAGAGGCGTGAGCCACCATGCCCAGCCCACTTCAGGTTTTAATATAGAACCCCAGTAAACCTCGTTTTCTCTATTTTCTATGACGTTTTCCTCTCCTTTTAAGTAAGTTCATTCACGGTAGTCAATTACCCCTGGAAATCAAAGCCTGTCTGTATACGACAGAGTGCCTGCCCACAAGGAGCTTCTGGTGTTATTGGCGAGGTTTTCCAAATGTGCTGGGCACAGGTCAGTGACGAGTGAGAGGATTCCCTTCTGACCAGGCTGTAACTACGGTTTAACTGGGGAAAGAAGAGATGGGAAAAGGAAGGAGGAAATAAATGTCTTCTATGTCCAGTCAAGATCTGCAGGATCTGTAGCCTGGTCTGGCCTTGCTTTCTTTGGCTCCCAAGATGACCCTCTCCTTCTACACAAACCCTTTTTCCTGCTGCTGTCAGAAACATGTTGACAAGACTCTTTTGTTGGCTTTCTGAGGGAGCTCATGAAAAGCACGCTGGGAATTCAGCAAAACACCGGCGCTCTAACTGCTCCTGAATGAGACAGAATTAGAAAATGGCTTCAAATTGAAAACTTAATTTTCAATTAGTGTACATTCAGGCAGGAGTGGGAGGGATTAAGGGATGGCAGCTTGTTTGGTTAACACACTTTTTAGAAGACACGCTTGCAAGCTATTAGTTAGCTTCCTCCTTTCCTCCCCCTCCCACCATCCTAAGTGCTCCTTGCTCTGTAATTTGGCAGCCGCTCGCTCCCCGGCCTGCTGTGCTCTCAGTCCCTGACCGACTCAGATGCAGATGGCAGCAGCGCAGCCACAGGAAGTGGGACGCAGCCTGTGGCCTCCGAGATTGGCTTCTCTGTGTCCTCCTTGCTGTGGACCCCGTGACGCCACAGGTGAGCTTGCCACCTTAAAAGACGCATGTCCTTCTGATGGCTTTAAAAAACACGTTTGGAAAAGAAAAAAACAATTTCTTTCTCCAGCATATTTGGCCATATTATCAGGCTCACCATTGGGCAAATATGTTCAGTGCAACGTCTAAATTAGGGATTTGCAGTGAGTGGGCTTGAAGGTGGGAAGAATGAATGCTGTAGGAATGGAGTATGAAGTTGGATATAGGGGATGGCAGAGGCACAGGTCAGGGATACGGATTGCTTTATCTGCTCTCTGGTGCCCTCTTTCTCATCTTTAGATAGGTGTCATCCACTTCTCTCCCTTTCCCCTTTCCCTAATTCACAAATACTTATCAGGCCCTGAGTGTTCCAAGCAACCACAGCCCATTCCCCTTGGTTAGCCCTGCTTTCTCTTGGTACTTTGCTACCTGTGATGAGTTATCTGTGGAGTCAGTGTCTCTAAAGTGAAGCCTCAATTAACACGTGCACGTGTAACATGGTGTGTTTACAAGCCCTGTAACTGGAAATCATTAATTCAGTCAGCAGAGCAATAACTTCATTAGGAACTTCCTTCTGTCATTAGTAGGCAAGAGAAAGTGTGCCACTGTGATTAAACATGCCATTTCAGACGTGGCAGGCAAGACTGCTATCTGCTTGGCAGGCGTTTTTCATCTTTTCATCTTCCTTCCAACTCTTCTCAGATACAGCAAAGCTGGCTGCAAACATTGGAAGCCAGCATTTCATTCTATAACAGGCATGGCCGCTGGCTCCGCTGATCTGTCACTAGGGTTTTCCTGACTCCTTCTTCGACCTTGGCTCACATCCCAGCCCCAAGCTCCTGGCGACATCTGCTCCCTACAGATTGGCCTGAACAAATTCCAAGTGCCTTTACTTAAGGCTCTCTCTCTCTTAGTGAGTGCAACCCTAGGCTAATTTCTGCAACCCCTTCTCAAAGGCATCAGTGTCCTCAGCCGCCACCAGTGAAATCCTTCCCAAGGTTAAACTCCTCTCCAGAGAAGCGATCGCCACACAGTTTCTTCATTAGCCGTATCGTGCTAATGAGCAACTCTTGTTAATCCCTTCTCTGCCATCCAGGCTGTAGCCTTCCAGCCAGTTTCCAAGAAGTGTTGGATTTAATTGAAGAAACGATGAGATTGGCTCAAATGCTAACAGAAGCTTCCAGACTGAAAAAAAAGGAGAATAGGAAGGAGTTTTGAAAACAAACTCCTGCTAGACAAATACCAATGAATCTTGACAGCTCAGATGCAATTAATTGACTTTGAGAAATGAAACTGAAAGCTAGGATTTTCAGGCTTAAAGGGTCCTAGAAGTCTTGTAATTCAATCCTTTTATTTAAAAAAAAAAGGAGGGGGAGAAATTCTGATTTAAAGCAGCTAAAGGACCTGCTCAAGTGTCTAACAAGGCAGTGGTAGAGGAAGGTGTCTAGCCCAAAGACTGGGACTGTTCCTCTTCCCTGCGATATTCACTATACACATAGCCCTTCTCTTTTTTCCTGTTGTAAAAGCAGTTGAGAAGGTTTTTGGTGATGGTGTCAATGCTCATCTACTTACATTTTTCTTTTTCTCTCTTTTTTTTTTTTGGGGGGGGGGGCGGAGTTTCAGTCTTGTTTCCCAGGCTGGAGTGCAATGGTGCAATCTCGGCTCACTGCAACCTCTGACTCCCAGGTTGAAGCAATTCTCTCACCTCAGCCTCCCGAGTAGCTGGGATTACAGGCACCTGCCACCATGCCCTGCTAATTTTTGTATTTTTAGTAGAGATGGGGTTTCACCATGTTCGCCAGGCTGGTCTCCAACTCCTGACCTCAGGTGATCCACCTGCCTTGGCCTCCCAAAGTGCTGGGATTACAGGCATGAGCCACCAGGCCCAGCCTACTTCAATTTTCAAGGATGTCAGTATGCTTCTCCCCAAAATTTAGGGACGCATCAGTCAGAACTCTTTTGGTTGCAAGAGATGAAAATACAACTTGTCAGAAAGGAGAATTTATCAGCTCATAGTCTCTAAGGGAGGTTGGGTAACTAAATCATAGAAATCTGGGATGCAGGACAAACTAGAACAAGCTCTGGAATATCACCAGCTCTTTCTTTGTTTTCCACTGTGTCTCCTGCATTCTTTCTCACTGAAGACTGCTGTTTTTTCTTTTTTCTTTTGTTCTATTTTTCATATGGAGGGGAATAATTGCTATCAACAGTGCTAAGTTTTACGTCTTACAGCTCCTACCATTGAAGAGGACTTAATCACACATATATAGTCTCAATCCTTAGAAAGTGTTTGGTTGGCTGGGGGTGGTAGGAGGAGCTGGCTTTACGTATTTCAACTTACTTGATCCTTATAACAACCCTACGAGTTTAGTACAATTAACAACATTTTGGTTTCATAGATGGAGATAATAACACAGATAGGTAAATTTGCTTGCCCAATGCCACACAGGTAGAAAGTGGCAGACTGGGATCTAGACCTGGGCCATCTGGATTTTGGGTATTGCATTAAATCATCATGCTAATCTGTGTCTTAAGTGGCCAGACATTATTATGTATGACAATGAGTTTTGGAAGAACTTCTTCTACTTCCTTAAATACTTTACCTACCTGTTGAATAATGATGTTGGTTGATTTAATTCAAAGTATCCGTATTCCCCTTAAAAACAGAAATAACCCTGGGAACAATATCCTATAATTTTTGTTAGTAAGATACTCTCAAATTCAACTAACATTACTTATACCCTTATTTTATTTATTTATAGAGAGAGGGTCTTGCTGTCACCCAGGCTGGAGCACAGTGGCATGATCATAGCTCACTGCAACCTTGAATTCCCAGGCCTAAGAGTTCTTTCTGCCTCAGCCTCTTGAGTAGCTGAGGCTGCAGGTGTGTGCCACCATGACTGGATAATTTAAAAATATATATTTTGTAGAGATGGGGTTTCACCATGCTGCCCAGGGTGGTCTCGAACTCCTGGGCTCAAGTGATCCACCCGCCATGGCCTCTCTAAGTGGTGAGGTTGCAGGCATGGGCCACCGCATCTGGACTTAAGTGCTTATTTTACATGCTACATTAGTACCATGAAGCGGGTGGTATTAATCTTCACTTTACAGATGAGGAAACTAAGACTTGGCAAGGTTAAGTGACTTGCCAAGGTCACACAGAAATAAAGCAGGCAAGCCAGGATTTGCACAGGCCTGCCTTTTTCTGAGCTTAGCACTCTCTAGAATACTGTGCTTGTCAATGAAATGAATCTGTCCCATGCTTTCTGGTTTGCAGAGCTGATTGTATTAGGGAAGGAAGGTGGAAAGTAAGAGGAGAAAAAGAAATTGTGTCCTTGAGGCTTACCGTAAAAGTGAGATTCTTTAAAAGATCTAAGGGGATTGATGTATGAAAAAAAGAGGATGGATGTGAGGGGCTAGTCCAGAAAATTCTAATTCTCTCACTTTACTGCCCAGAGAGAATGGAAACATTCATTGACATGAATAGAAGGCTCCAGCAATTAGGGTGTTAATATTCTGTGTAGTCACAATTATGTTGTAACTACCAATTATGGGAAAACTCATCATTTTACTGTAATGTAATTACATTAAATAGCACCAGTCATGTCGGTGCAAAGACTGGGGCAGCCTCTAATTATCCACTGTATCCAGACACCTCAGCCTGGATCAGGAATAATTGGTGTAATGTGGTTTTGCATTTCAGGGTTGGCCTCCGTATTCCTCAGAAAATCTTTTCTTGCTTTCTGAACCTCCCTTGTGCACGTGATTCAGCTGTGTTTGTGACCTGGAAGCTGATGAGAGGTTAACATCCCCAATCTAGGTGTGTCTTAGTATTTCCCTGAGCAAGAAAGGAATTGAGAGGAAAGCATCTCTTACAGTTGGTGAGCCCTCTGAGGACCAAGACTGTCTTTCTTTCTTTCTTTCTCTCTTTCTTTCTTTCCTTCCTTCTCTCTTTCTTTCTTTCCTTCTCTTTCTTTCTTTCTTTCTTTCTTTTCTTTCTTTCTTTCTCTCTTTCTCTCTCTTTCTTTCTCTCTCTCTTTCTTTCTTTCTTTCTCTTTCTTTCTTTTTCTTTCTTTCTTTTGTCTCTCTCTCTCCTTCTTTCCTTCCTTCCTTCTTTCCCTCCCTCTTTCTTTCTTTCTTGCATGCTTGTTTGCTTGCTTGCTTTTTCTTTCTTGAGACATGGTCTTACTCTGTCACCCAGGCTGGAGTGCAGTGGCACAATCTCAGCTCATTGCAACCTCTGCCTCCCAGGTTCAAGTGATCCTCCAGCCTCAGCCTCCTAAGTAGCTTGGACTACAGGCGTGCACCACTATGCTTGGCTAATTTTTGTATTTGTTTAGTAAAGACGGGGTTTCACCATGTTGGCCAGGCTGGTCTCAACTCCCAATCTCATGTGATCCACCTGACTCAACCTCCCAAAGTTTTGGGATTACAGGCGTGAGCCACTGAGCCCAGCCTAGTTTGATTACTTTTCAAAAATTCTTTTTCCCCCCTGCAAATCCCATTCTTTTCAATCCAAATCCCATTCTTTTCAACATTGGGAGGGTGCCTTCAAGGATTAGTTTTTGTGGGTGTCTATGTTGGAGATTATACATTTACTTTTTTGAAAGCCAATCACTTGTGAAGTTGATCTCAATGAACATCCTTGGGGAAAACCTACATCTTAGAAGGACAAAGGGAGGTGCAATGAGGTGAAGAGGCTCAAAGGTATGAGAAAGCAAAAAAAAAAAATGGTCTCATTTTTCTTCTTTCTTTGATGCTTGGATTTGGCAGTGATCTGATTTAAACATTAGGGGAGAGCAGCAGATGGTGTGATTTATATTCACACATAAAATGCTTTCCCAAGTGATTTGAAGGCCCTGGTGGATTTTAAACATTGTAATAGCTGTGATTATTTTGTTGTATTTTATAGACACATTGTGTTTTGGTCATTCCTGATTGATTTCTTCTCAATTATAAAAGCAGCAGTGGTAAGGATAGGCATCTCCCATTTAAGAGACAGGGAAAGCAGGATGGAGGAGATGATTAAAAAATAGATTTACCCTGGGAGACTTCAGCGCAGGTCACTGCATCATGAACTGGGAGTGAACAGAGACCCTGAGAGCCCAGCCTGACGGAATTTAGTTCATTCTCAACAGAAAACAGATACGATTACAGTGGAGGTCAATAATCGAGTTGCACCAGCCGTGGGATTTGTAGCTTCCTGCTGACTGATGGGCCTCACCTTTCCAGACGAATTTTCTTTGCTTATATTAAGTCTCTGCAGAGAGGATTTTATTGCTCTCTGTGGAGTTAGAGAAGTTAGGCTTTTCAGTTTGGACCTTGTGATTCTAAGTTAAACAGCAACTGACCTTCTTAATTAATATCTAGAAGAAAGAGCCATTATTTTGGAGAAATCCTCAAGCTATTTCAAAGAGAGGTAAAATCAGGATACTGTGAGGTGCCTCATCTTCCACAGGGAGAAGCTGAGGAGGATGGCACTGAGCTGGAACCTGGAGGTGAGAGCATTTTAGGAAACTGAGTCATAAACTTGACCCCAGTGGATGTGCTTCTGGCAATGCTGCAGACCCTGGAATAAGAAAATATCTAAATAATGGCATGAAGTTTTCAGAGTTAGCAATCCCTCCTCTATATTTTGATCTTAATTGTTGACTACCTAACTTAAAACATTTTATTGTCTACTTTTATCCCCAGTGTGATTAATGCTTATGATAAAATTCAAAAAGTCACAGAGGAGTCATTATCCTGTTTCTCTGTTGCACCGACCTCGACATCTTGCCTGTGTCCCACATTTCCCCCACATGCCTATAGATTGGTGTATCCATTTCACACTGATTCAAGAAATGGAAACTGAACAGCTAGAGAAAACCTTCCCTAGCACTGAAACCAGTGGTGAATTTGGTAAATGCCTTGCAGAATATATGGAAGAAGAACAAGCATTTAAAAGATCTAGAAACACTGATGGTTGAATTATGCGTTGTGTTTCAGAGCAAGAATGCTTGGACAGTGATTGGAAAAGGAGATAAGAATATTAAGGCTTTCTGTATAGACTACAGAGCCAGGGTTCTAGCCCCAGAGGGCAATGGCCCCAAGTGCATGCTGAGTATCAGTGCTGATATTGAAACAGTTGGAGAAACTCTGAAGAAAATCATCCCTACCTTGGAAGAGTACCACCATTATAAAGGAAGCAACTTTGATTGCGAATTGAGGCTGTTGACTCATCAGAGTCTGGCAGGAGGAATTATTGAGGTCAAAGATGCTAAAATCAAAGAGCTTCAAGGGAACACTCAAACAACAATCAAGCTTTTCCGGGAATGCTGTCCTCATTCCACTGACGGAGTTGTTCTTACTGGAGAAAGACTATGGAGTTGTAGAGTGCATAAAATTATCCTTGATCTTATATCTGAGTCTCCTACAGAGGATGTGCACAGACTTATAATCCCAATTTTCATGATGTAACCTATTACATTACATGATGTAACACCATTATATTATGGTGGTTTTACAATGTTGTCTGATGACCACCATGGATGCCTGGTGGGGTTTCCCAGGCAGGGAAGAGGTGGTTTTGACAGAATGTCTACCAGTCAGGGTGGGTGTTCCATGTGGCCATCTGGAAGAGATTATGATGACATGAGTCCTTGTTGAGGACCACCTCCTCCTTCTTTTGGACAAGGTGCCTGGGGTGGTAGCAAAGCTGAGAATCTTCCTCTTTCTCCACTACCACTACAGAGGGTAGGAGACATAAGGGCCTATGACAGAAGAGGAAGACCTGGAGATGGTTACATGGCATGGCTGGCTTCAGTGCTGATGAAACTTGGGACTCTGCAATAGATACATGGAGTGCATCAGAATGGCTGATGGCTTATGAACCACAGAGTGGCTCCAGATATAATTATTCCTATGCAGCGGACAGTGGCTCATATGGTGGACCTATTATTACTACACAAGGAACTATTCCCAAATATTTGGTTGGATCTATTATTGGCAAAGGTGGTCAGTGAATCAAACAAATCCATCATGAGTTGGAGCTTCAACTAAAGTTGATGAGCCTTTAGAAGGAGGTGAAGATCAGATCATTATCATTATAGGAACATAGGACCAGATATAGAATGCACAGTATTTGCTGCAGAACAGTATGAAGCAGTTTTCCGGAAAGTTTTTACTAATGCTAGTGAAGGACTGAAGGAGTCCTGCATCTTTTTTTTTTTTTACATTTGCTTCTGTTTAAAAAGCCATCATGCCTCTGCTTCACAGGTGTTTTGCATCTGAGGTGTAGTGAAACCTTTGCTGTTCACCAGATGTAAGGTTTTAGTTCCTTACAAACAGGGTTGGGGATGTAGGGAAGGGCTTGCAAAAACTAATGTTGAAATTTTGAAACAGCAGTAGAATGAGCGGATTTTTTTTTGTGTTCATTGTTACTGGTTTAAAAAAATGTTCCCCTATGTAATTTTTGTGAACACCTTACTTTGTGGTCACTGTAACATTTGAGGGGTGAGACAGGGAGGAAGAGTAACAATAGGCCACATGTCCCTGGCATCTGTTCAGAGCAGTGTGCAGAATGTAAGGCTCTTTAGTAAGAAATGTTTTACGACTTTTAAGATAAATTTAGATAAACCTAAAATAGTCACAGAGGATGTAAAATAAAAGTGAAAGACTCCCTTCTTACCCCTCACCCCTCCATCATACCTTTTAAAACTAACAACTGTGAATCGTTTATTGTGTTAACCCTATACGATCATTTTAAATAAAAAATAAGCCTGTGTGTGTGCGTGTGTGTGTGTGTCTAAATCATATTCTTTATATATTTCTACAGCTTGTTTTTTAAAAACGTTAACACTACAGGCCGGGCGCAGTGGCTCACGCCTGTAATCCCAGCACTTTGGGAGGCCTAGGCGGGTGGATCACGAGGTCAGGAGATCGAGACCATCCTGGCTAACACAGTGAAACCCCATCTCTACTAAAATTACAAAAAATTAGCCGAGCGTGGTGGCGGGTGCCTGTAGTCCCAGCTACTCGGGAGGCTGAGGCAGGAGAATGGCGTGAACCCAGGAGGCGGAGCTTGCAGTGAGCCGAGATAGTGCCACTGCAGTCTGGCCTGGGCGAAAGAGTGAGACTCCGCCTCAAAAAAAAAAAGAAAAAAAATTAACACTACATATCAGGCATTGCTCTATATCATTAACTATAGATTTAAATGGTTTATTTTAAAAATATTACAAATTATTACAGTGCATAAATGTACTATCATTTACTTCCGTCCATTATTGATGAACATCTGGGTGGTGGTCAGGATTTTTTTCTTTATCCTTTTAAAAAACTGTCGTCATTGCAAACAATGCTACCCTCCACACTTTTTGTGCCAGTTCATCTTAGATACCTGAAGACCAGAGCTGGAAGTATCTTCAGAGGTCAGCAAGTTCAGTTTCCTCTATTTGCAGGTGAGAAAATTGAGGTCAGACAAAGAAGAGAAGTGATTTGCTCAGGATTATATATTATGTTATGGTTTCACCATGTATATGATCCTGATCTCTTGACTCCAGAATCCTCTGTGTGTTGGAATTTAAATATAAAGTGACTATTGAATATTCCTTGAAATAAGTAGTCTGCAGGCTGGGTTTTCCATTCTTCCATTATGTAGTTTTCTGTTGGGACTGCTGCATATAGATGTGTATTTTGTGCACTGCATAAAAACACTCAGACTAATAAGAGGTGAACGAGGGCTGAAATGGAAAGTTTGCTTCATTTATTAAGCTCTGTATCTGGTCTTGGTGCTACATCTGAGGGACTTTCCCAGACTGGGCACCTTTCTCAAAATTACCTAAAGGCACCATGCCGGCTAGCAGAGGTCCTCATTTCTGGGATTTGGCTTTAAAACAGTAATGCAGCTTGTTGTGTCTTATGCAATGCTATTAATTCCAGTGGACATAGAATTCCACTGTTGTTCACACTTTCTTATCTAGTCTTCCTGATGACTGACAGTTTGCATTTGATAGACAACGGGGTGGGATTAGGGCTACAGGATATGGTCACAGGTCGGTTAAATCTAACAGCCAAGTGTGGCTGACAGAGAGGCCTCTCATGGGCAGAAGATGTTATTTACTCTTTTGTGGTTTGATACTCAGCTTTCTGGAGCCAATGATATTCTCACTGCCTTGTGAAGCAGGGACACAAGGGGCCCTGCTTTTTCAGCTGGGAGGGGCCCCCTTTTCAGATAATTGGTAGCTTGGAGCTCTGCATTTCTCATTACCTATTTTCCCTTGTATTCCCCACTCTGCCCCTAACTATTGTAGATTCCCTCTTCAGCTGCTGGTCAACAGACTCATCTTGCATGACAACTGTTCAGCTAAAGACAATTTGCCACAACAGCTCCAGAAAAGTTATTTCACTTTTTAAACAGATTCCTGTTTTTGTTATAATGACTTTTTTTTTTTTTTGAGTCAGGGTCTCACTCTGTTACCCAGGCTAGAGTGCAGTGGTGTGATTTTGGCTCGTTGCAGCCTCAAACTCCTGGGCTCAAGCCATCTTTGCACCTCTGCCTCCTGAGTACCTGGGACTACAGGTGCATGGCACCATGGCAGGCTACTTTTGTTTGCTTATTCATTAGTTTTGTAGAGATGGGGTCTCACTATGTTGCCCAGGCTGGTCTCAAACTCCTGGACTCAAGTGATCCTCCTATCTCAGGCTCCCAAAGTACTGAGATTACAGGTGCGAGTCACTTTTCCAGGCTGATATGATGACTTTTTAAAACAAAAAACACACTCAAATAAAATGAACTCAAAACACACTAAATATAAATGTTACAAAGAAGAGTGAGATTCTGGTATTCCATCTGTAGGCATTTACTGGACCCAACAGTTTCTAGTCAGAGACTATATGGGACTTTTTGACTTGCACATCATTCTGAATGACCTTCCATTTTTTCATATTTAATGACTTTTTAAAAAAGAGCAGTTTTAGGTACAAAGTAAAATTGAGAGGATGGTACAGAGATTTCCCATATACTTCCTGTCCCCAACATGCATAGCCTCTCCCATTATCAACATCCCCAACTAGAGTGGTACGTTTGTTACAATTGATGGACCTACATTGACACATCATATTCACCCAAAGTCCATAATTTACATTATGGTTCACTCTTGGTGTTGTACATTCTACAGGATTGGGCCAGTTTATGAAGACATGCATTTATTTACCATAATAGTTTCATACAGAATAGTTTCACCACTCTAAAATGTCTTTGTGCATCACCTATTCATCTCTCTCTCCTCTAAACCCTAGCAACCACTGATTCTTTTATTTTTTTTAAACTTTATTTTTTCTTAAAAAAAAACCGGGATACATGTGCAGAACTTGCAGGTGTGTTACATAGGTATACCTGTGCCATGGTGGTTTGCTGCACCTATTGACCTGTCCTCTAAGTTCCCTCCCCTCACCCCCAACCCGCAACCGGCCCTGGTGTGTGTTGTTCCCCTCTCTATGTCCATGTACTCTCAAGGCAACCACAAATCTTAATTTTTTTAATTGATGTAAAATATACATGTATAATTTACTATTGTTACCATCTTTAAGTGCACAGATCAGTGGCAATAAATACCTTATATTCTTCTCCCCCTCTTCACTTTCTTCTCCCCCATCCCCTTCTTGGCCTCTGGTAACCACCAGTCTACTCTCTATCTTTATGAGATCCACTTTTTTAGCTCCCACATATTATTGAGAACATGCAATATTTGTCTTTCTGTTCCTGGCTTATTTTGTTTGAAATAATAGACTTCATTTCCATCCATGTTGCTGCAAATGACAGGATTTCATTCTTTTTTATGGCTGAGTAATACTCCATAGTATATACACACCACATTTTCTTTATCCGTTTATCTGTTGATGGGCACTTAGGATGATTCCATATTGTGGCTATTGTGAATAGTGTTGCAGTAAACATAGGAGTACAGATATCTCTTTGATATATTGATTGCCTTTCTTTTGAATATATGCCCAGTAGTGGCATTTTGGGTCATATGGTAATTCTATTTTTAGTTTTTTGAGGAACTTTTATTCTGCTGTT
Source organism: Homo sapiens (assembly GCF_000001405.40). Lineage (NCBI taxonomy): Eukaryota > Metazoa > Chordata > Mammalia > Primates > Hominidae > Homo > Homo sapiens. Next base: position 43,258,209 of record NC_000011.10, on the reverse strand, counting down.
CATAGTAGCTATACTAATTTACATTCCTGTCAACAGTGTTTGAGGGTTTCCCTTTCTCCACATCCTTATCAGCATTTGTTACTTTTGTCATTTTTTTTTGAGACAGAGTCTTACTCTGTCACTCAGGCTTAAGTGCAGTGGCACAATCTTGGCTCACTGCAATCTGCACCTCCCAGGTTCAAGTGATTCTATTCTTGTGCCTCAGCCTCCCCAGTAGCTGGGATTACAGGTGCCCACCACCATGCTGGGCTAATTTTTGTATTTTTGGTAGAAATGGGGCTTCACCATGTTGGCTAGGCTGGTCTCAAACTCCTGACCTCAAGAGATCCACCTACCTCAGCCTCCCAAAGGGCTGGGATTAGACGCATGAGCCACTGTGCCCAGCTCCGTTTTTGTCTTTTTATATAAGCCATTTTGACTGGAGTGAGATGGTATCTCATTGTGGTTTTGATTTACATTTCTCTGATGATAATTGATGTTGAACATTTTTCATATACCTATTGGTCATTTATGTCTTCTTTGAGAAGTGTCTGTTCAGATCTTTTGCCCATTTTTAAATGGATTTTTTTTTTTTTTTTTTGCTATTGAGTTGGTTGTACTCCTTATATATTCTGGTTATTGATCCCTTGTCAGATGGATAGTTTGCTAGTATCTTATCCAATTCTGTGGGTTGTCTCTTCACTTTGTTGATTGTTTCTTTTGCTGTGCAGAAGAATTTTATCTCAATGCAATCCCAATTGTCTATTTTTGCTTTGGTTGCCAACCACTGACAGTCTCCATAATTTTGCCCTTTCCAGGGCAAAAAAAAAAAAAAAAAACCTTTTCATATTGCCTTTTTTCACTTAGTAGTATAAATTTATGTTTCTTCCATGTCTTTTTATGGCTTGATAGTTCATTTCTTTTTAGCACTGAGTAATATTTCACTGTCAGGATGTACCAGAGTTTGTTTATCCACTCACCTTTTGAAGGACATCTTGGTTGCTTCCAAGTTTGGGCAATTATAAATAAAGCTGCTGTAAACATTTGTGTGTAGATTTGTGTGTGGATGAAAGTCTTCAACTTCTTTGGGTAAATACCAATGAGTGTCCTAAAATGTTTTGCTTTGCATTCATAGGCCCAGTGAGAGGAAGGGGGAGCAGTATCAACTAAAATTCTTCAATGTGTTAGGTAGGAGCATTATTTCCCCATGTTTGGAAATCCCCTTGCATTTGGACTTTTTTTTACCCTACATATATGCTTCTGTGTAATAATTTTAAGTACAGCTCAGTGAAGCAAATGGTGTAGAAAGGAGAATGCACATTTCCCAGAATGGGCTCCCTCTCACCCCCCTCCACCCGCCTCTGCCTGCTCTTCATCCTGTACGGTGTAAAATAAGCCTTGATTGTACCATAGTTCATGAACTGACTGGATTTAGTTTTAATACTCGTAAAACTTGGTTTCACAATTCAATTGAGATATTATTCTGTCATTGCAAATTGTTCAAGTATCACTGTGTTCGAGTATTATTGGTCACGGTGAAATACGTCCTATTTTTTTCCATTAAAATCAATGAAAATATTGTTTCTTAGTGACTTTTCATGCAGTAGCAGGATTTTCAGGAGTGAATTAGAGCCACTAAGTGAGGGATGGGCATACTGAATGATGGCTGTTGAGGTCAGGGCCCATAGATTTTCATTGTTCTATTGATAGCAGTGTGTACATGTAGCAGGCCTTTAGTAAAACTTTGTAGAATGAAAAAGGAAATCCTCTTTATATAACTGCAAGTGGGGGTGTGTGTTTTCAAGTAGACACTGCAGGCATCATGTGACAAAACTTCTCATTTTCTTTTAACTTTTTTTTATTATTATACTTTAAGTTCTAGGGTACACGTGCACAATGTGCAGGCTTGATACATAGGTATACGTGTGCCATGCCTGCACCCATTAACCCATCATTTACTTTAGGTATTTCTCCCCGTGCTATCCCTCTCCCCATGACAGGCCCCGGTGTATGATGTTCCCCACCCTGTGTCCAAGTGTTCTCATTGTTCAATTCCCACCTATGAGTGAGAACATGCAGTGTTTGGTTTTCTGTCCTCGCGATAGTTTGCTCAGAATGATGGTTTTCAACTTCATCCATGTCCCTACAAAGGAAATGAACTCATCCTTTTTATGGCTGCATAGTATTCCATGGTGTATATGTGCCACATTTTCTTAATCCAGTCTATCATTGATGGACATTTGGGTTTGTTCCAAGTCTTTGCTATTGTGAGTAGTGCCACAATAAACATACGTGTCTATGTGTCTTTATAGTAGCATGATTTATAATCCTTTGGGTATATATCCAGTAATGGGATGGCTGGGTCAAATGGTATTTCTAGCTCTAGATCCTTGAGGAATCACCACACTGTCTTCCAAAATGGTTGAACTAGTTTACATTCCCACCAACAGAGTAATGGCATTCCCATTTCTCCACATCCTCTCCAACATCTGGTGTTTGCTGACTTTTTAATGATTGCCATTGTAACTGGCGTGAGATGGTATCTCATTGAAGTTTTAATTTGCATTTCTCTGATGACCAGTGATGATGAGTATTTTTTCATGTGTCTGTTGGCTGCATAGATGTCTTCTTCTGAGAAGTGTCTGTTCATATCCTTTGCCCTCTTTTTGATGGGGTTGTTTGGTTTTTTTTCCTGTACATTTGTTTAAGTTCTTTGTAGATTCTGGATATTAGCCCTTTGTCAGATGAGTAGATTGCAAAAATTTTCTCCCATTCTGTAGGTTGCCTGTTCACTCTGATGGTAGTTTCTTTTGCTGTGCAGAAGCTCTTTAGTTTAATTAGATCCCATTTGTCAATTTTGGCTTTTGTTGCCATTGTTTTTGGTGTTTTAGTTATGAAGTCCTTGCCCATGCTTATGCCCTGAATGGTATTGCCTAGGTTTTCTTCTAGGGTTTTTATGGTTTTAGGTCTAACATGTAAGTGTTTAATCCATCTTGAATTAATTTTTGTATAAGGTGTAAGGAAGAGATCCAGTTTCAGCTTTCTACATATGCCTAGCCAGTTTTCCCAGCACCATTTATTAAATAGGGAATCCTTTCCCCATTTCTTGTTTTTGTCAGTTTTGTCAAAGATCAGATGGTTGTAGATGTGTGGTGTTATTTCTGAGGCCTCTGTTCTGTTCCATTGGTCTATATCTCTGTTTTGGTAACAGTACCATGCTGTTTTGGTTACTGTAGCCTTGTAGTCAGGTAGCGTGATGCCTCCAGCTTTGTTCTTTTTGCTTAGGATTGACTTGGCGATGCGGGCTCTTTTTTGGTTCTATATGAACTTTAAAGTAGTTTTTTCCAATTCTGTGAAGAAAGTCGTTGGTAGCTTGATGGGAATGGCATTGAATCTATAAATTACCTTGGGCAGTACGGCCATTTTCACAATATTGATTCTGCCTATCCATGAGCATGGAATGTTCTTCCATTTGTTTGTATCCTCTTTTATTTCATTGAGCAGTGGTTTGTAGTTCTCCTTGAAGAGGTCCTTCACATCTCTTGTAAGTTGGATTCCTAGGTATTTTATTCTCTTTGTAACAATTGTGAAGGGGAGTTCACTCATGATTTGGCTCTCTGTTTGTCTGTTACTGGTGTATAGGAATGCTTGTGATTTTTGCACGTTGATTTTGTATCTGAGACTTTGCTAAAGTTGCTTATCAGCCTAAGGAGCAAAATCTCTCATGTTCAAAATGGTGTGGCTTTGGGAATTTCCTTGTGTGAGTGAGTTAGAAGCAATTGAGCAATCCTGTCAAAAATGAAGTTTAGAAATGCATACATATGATTTGCACTGGAATAAGTTAATACTGCTTTACGGTTTGATCAGGATTCTTGGGAAACAATGAGCATTGGGTGCCCAGATGGGTTACTTAGTGAGGCAGGTTAAAGAAAGAAATATTGGAGCGATTGTAGAGAAAGAGGAGGGAAGAGGGCACGAGGAAAGGAGAAAAGCCTTCAGGAGGAACTTGTCAAGGCTGTCAGGAGCACTACTGTGAAAAACTGGAAAGCTGTGGAGCATGAGAAGGAAAAAAGCATGGAGTAGAGTTGGTATCTGCCCTGGAACAAGATGGGCCAGTGTGGGAGATCTCTGAGGAAAAGGGAGGGAAGGGGCCAGAAAGCATTAAGTTGTGGATATGTCAGGGAGGCCGTGGCGAGGAGATTCAGCCTGAACAGGTGGTGGGGTCTGGGCTTTGCTTTTCCAATGACAAAATGACGTGGAGAGAGAGGGAGACAGATAGATATATAGATATATAGATAGAGAAATAGAGACATAGAGAGAGGCAAAGACAGTGAGAGATACACAGACTGAGAAAGAAAAAGAGAAAGAGACAAAATGAGGGGAAGTGGAGGGAGGAAGAGAGAGAGAGAGAGAGAGAGAGAGATAGAGAACAGAAACACAATGAAGACTGAGGCAAAGAGACACAGACAGAGTTAGAGAGTATTTGAGTTGCTCTGAAGAGAGGAAGATGTGATGGAACCAGGAAATGAAGCCTATTCACAACCAGACTGGAACAAGAGCCCTGACAAAACATCATCGGCTAAAGAGAAGCGTGCCCTAGTTGCCTGTTGGCCCTTGGATTCTGCACACTGCAGGTTACAAACTCTCATTCTCCAACTGACCGACTGCATAGACCTCAAGCTAAGGAGACATGAGTCACAGAGGCACTCGAAAGACATAAAGATGTGAGAGACAAGGGAACTAGGGGTTTGGTCATAAGAGGGAAGTGCACAAGCCAGCCAGCCAGCAAACCTTTTTCCCTTTGGTGGAGGGGGCAGGAAGGTCACCACTTTAAAAATACCCCCGGAGCCCTGTGTGACTGTTTTCTGGAAAAAAAAAAAAAAAAAAAAAGAAAGCAAAGATAAATAAATCAAAACCTATTATTAAGGTAGACAAAAGGGTTCCTTCTTTCTGGGTGTAGGTGGGGTTGGGGATCTTCTTGTTAGATTTTGGAAGTTCAGGTTTCTTTCGCTTCGCTTGCTATACTATTTGCCCTCTTTTGCTGCCTCTATAAAGTGACAAGTCAGAAACGTTACCAGGGATAATCCAGTGCTTTACTTCATTAAAATGTGTCAGGGCTTAATGTGATGGGAGACCCTGCTACTCTCAGTTTTGGTGAGTGGGTGAGATGTCCCACCACAACTCTCCTGTCGGATGAGTCCATGAGCTTTTCCTATCTTAGCTGCAGACAGAGCTGCACTGAGACTGCGGACAGTGGCAGCAATCCCCTCATCAAATGGTCATGAAGAAGTGTGTCTTCCATTGCCTCACTTCTTATATCAGAGGAAGAATGGTGGATGTTTGTAGGAACAACCATTTGTAGTTTTGTGAAAGTGTGCACCTTCGATTTGGAAGCCTGTGTCATTGAGGTAAATTTCTGAAAGAAGGTACAAAGTATTATGCCAAATTTTTTGAGGCTAGCAGATCCCAAAAGATTGCTCAAGGTGAATAAATATTTATATGTTTCACCTGAAAGTGGTGAGAGGCTATTTTGTTTTCCATGGGCCAGAAATCAGCGAAAGAAAGAGGTCTTGTATCCATTCACATTTTTGTATCTTCAATTTCCATGATCAATTAAAAGACAGTAAACTCTCATCCTGAATAGAAGTACAATTAGATCCAATAATGAAATCATCAAGTACTACTGAAGTGGAACTTGGTGGTAATTAGTTTTTTGATACATAAATACAATTTCCAAATGCAATTTGTCCCTAAGCCCAGGCCACTGATTCAATTCACCATGTTTGCTATTACAAGGGAATGTGCAGTAAGGTGCATTCCAATTCCTCACGGATGCATCTCTCCAAGGAGAATAAAACAAGTTGGCTAACATCTGAAACAACTAGTGGGACATGGAGGAGAGATGCTGTGCCGCTATCCTGGGATCCGGGGTGGAGGGTGTGCCTCCAGCATTTCACTGGCACGTGAACCATTCTATCAGGTAGCAAACTGATGTTCTCTGTTTCTCCTTTTCGTGTGTCTGTTTGTCTCTCTTTTTCTTTCTGTCTCTGACACTTCCCCTTCATTAGTTTATCTATATGTTTATTCGTTTGTTTTTTTTTTTTTTTTTTTTTGAGACGGAATCTCACTCTGTCACCCGGGCTGGAGTGCAATGCACAATCTGGGCTCACTGCAATCTCCGCCTCCTGGGTTTAAGCAATTCCCCTGCCTCAGCCTCCTGAGTAGCTGGGATTACAGGCGCCTGCCACTACGCCCGGCTAATTTTCTGTAATTTTTTTGTAGTAGAGACGAGGTTTCACCAGGTTGGCCAGGATGGTCTCGATCTCCTGACCTCGTGATCTGCCCGCCTTGGCTCCCAAAGTGCTGGGATTACAGGCATAAGCTCATTCAGTATTTTTCGAGGGCTGCCTGCTATACTATGTCAGGTGCCGGCATGTAGTGGTAAGGAAAGGAGACATGGTTCCTGTCCTCAGGGGATTGTGAGTCTACAATTCAACTTGAAAGAAATACTTATTTAAGTATAATTGTTGCAGTGCTAGGAAAGGTCCCATCAGAAGGCAGAAAGAGGGCTCTATCCTGGTCTGAGGGGTCAGGAAAAACTTCCCAGAGGAACTGACATTGTAGCTTTGATCAGAAGCATAGATAGGACTTAGGCAGAGAATTTGGAGAAAACTGTCCAGGCAGAGAGGAGTGCAGAAGGACACTAAATGCAACAGAGAAACAGGGATGCCCATGCCAGTGGGAGCAGAGGCACGAAGCAACTAGGGGACATGTGGATGAGATGAAGCTGTGCAGCCACAAATGGCCAGATCGTTCGGGGCCTTGTATTAATAGCTCCTGTCAAAGGTTTTAGATTTAATTTTGAAAGAGATAAGAAATTCTTTGAAGATTGTAACATAGAGGAGCCACGTGGTCCTTCTCTTTAGTTGCAGGCTCCCCTAAGGTTCAATAATGATGTGCCTCTTAATTTGAAAGCTCTGATCACTCTTCAAGTCAGTTTCCACCATTCCTCAATATTTTCAGAGATACCAGCTGGGAGGGAAATATAGGTGGTGGCCCATCCTCCTTCAAGGAGCTGTAAAGTCAGAATTTCAATGCTCCTGTGATAGAAAGCCCTCACAATTATGATCAGAAGTACTTCAGGCAAAGGTTAAAGATTTGTGATGTGGGTTCATCAGATGAGAAAAATACCAGTATGAATAAGTATATTTACAAAGTGTTTACAGAGAGTGGTATTTCTCCTCCCCACCTTCCTAACCAAAATCCTCTTAACAAGGAGTCAGATCATTGCTTTATTTTTCCCTCTGAGGCTGAGGGCCATGGAGGGACTGAGGAGGGAGGGATTAGGACTGACTTTGGATTCTTTCCACAAAATACCAGAGTGAAGTATTCGTTGACCTCGTTTTCTAATGAATGGTGACTGCGCCTTCAGTTGCCCCAGTGTATTTGTTAGGTGATGGTAGGCTGTAACTGAGCAGTTTAAAGAACAAAAGTATATTTCTCTTTTGCATATTACTTCTGATGTGAGCAATTCAGGTCAGGAAAAAGCTCTGCTTCTCTTGGTCATTTGGGAACCCAAGTTTCTTGTAAGTTGTTACTCCTCTATCTCCAGGGACATTGTCATCAGCTGCATAAATAAAATGATGCTGGATTTGTTGCTACATCAAGATTCTAGCTGACAAAAGGATGGAATATAGCCTCCCAGAAGACATTCTCAGATATCTTAAGTGGCACATGTCACTTCTACTCACATTCCATTAGTGAAAAGTGATGAGAACTTAGTCACCTAGGTCACAATGAGTTGCAAAAGAGGCTGTGCAATGTAATCTACATGGCTGGCTGCATTTCTTTTGCTATGGAAGAAGGGAGAGTGGATTTTGATGGACAGCTAGAATTCTCCATCACACCCAATGTGGTAGATTGATTACAAAATGGGCCCAATTCTTCACATCTTTCTGTGTCTGTACTCTAGGCAATGTGATGTGGGGGCTCTTCCCACCAAGAAATAGAGTCTGTTTTACTGCTCCTTGAATTCTGGCTTGGCTTTTACTTTGCTTTAGCCAACAGAATACGGTAGAAGTGGCAATGTGTATACCGTTGGTACTTTACACCAAAAGCTATCCATGGAGTCACTATAACTAAGACTATTGATATGCAGGTAGACTGAATATTGCACAGGAACCAGGACCTTAGAGGCAAGAACTTCATACCTGCAAAGAGCAGACCTGGTTTCTAGGATCCTGAAATGCACCAAGAAATTACTAAAGAGATGTTAAGGCACAAATGTGTGTATTTTATCCTTATGTAGCAACTGACCCAGGTCCAAAATTTACTTCATCCCTTCTGCCATTCCAGACCTTGCCTTTTGACTTCAGGATCCCTTAGCTGGCTGACCCACTTCCCAAACTATTTATCAGCTGCTCAAGAAAGAGTTCCTGCAAGCTGACCAGCAGGTGGTATATTAATATTTCATGACTAGCTCACTCTTCCTAGGTATAATAACTAGCAGAAAAAAAGCTGGCTGTATTTATTACTATCAAGATGATTTCCAGGTAAGGGAAGCCATTGCTATAGCAATTCCCTCCCAGTGGCACAAATGCAGGTTTAAAAATCTGGACTATTTCCCCACATCCAAATGGGGCCACTTACAGTTTATCATCTGTTGATAGGAAAAGTTATCTGCACAGCTGTGGATCCACATTAGTTATGCTCTGTGCAGGAAAACACTGTAAATTATTTGCAATATGCTGGAACTCAATACAGACTGAGTTTATAAATATGATATTAAACTCTTAAGAGGCAGTTGCAGACCTTTTATAAAGCCATTAATTTTTAAAGTGGTTTAGGATTCCAAATTAACAGCTGGGTGTGGGTGCCAGCTTCCAAAAACAGATGGCGCTGGCTTTTCTAAAAGCAATAACAAGATCCTGAGATCAAATGGAAGGATCAGGACTTGGATGCTTTTTGGAAATCTATTTCAAAGCCCTGAATAAGGTGTAAGTTTCAAAGCCCTCCTCCTGGAGGCTTCCCTGATCACCCCAGTTCATTGTCTGGAGTTCCGTCATCTGGAGTTTTATCTTCTGGAGTTCCATCATCTGTAGTTTCATCATCTGGAGTGCCACCTGAATTCCAGCATGCTTGCTGCATGCTGATACTTTGAAACTAGTCACATACAACTTTGTTTTATATACAGTATTTCATTTCTCTTATGTGTATCTTATATTTTCTGACTATCAAATAACTAAAATAATTCTACGTATTATAAACCCTTCTAGAAATATGTTCTAAAGAAAGAGAAAGAGTCTATAATTTGACCTCACAAAGGTAACCACTGTTAATCATTTGGTGCAGAATCTTTCAGATATTATTTTTGCTCTCTATACTAACATATATGTATCTCTAAACAGAAATTATGCCATTTATACTATTTTACAACTTCCTTTTTACATGCTTCCACATGTACAGTGTAAGCTCCTTGAAGACAGGGATTTTATTTATTTTTATTTTTATTTTTTTGAGACAGAGTCACTCTGTCGCCCAGGCTGGAGTGCAGTGGTGTGATCTCGGCTCACTGCAACCTCTACCTCCCAGGTTCAGGTGATTCTCCTGCCTCAGCTTCCTGAGTAGCTGGGATTACAGGTGTGAGCCGCCATGTCTGGCTAATTTTTGTATTTTTAGTAGAGAAGGGGTTTCGCCATATTGGCCAGGCTGGTCTCAAACTCCTGACCTCAGGTGATCTGCCTCTGCCTCCCAAAGTGCAGGGATTACAGGCATGAGCCACTGGGTCTGACCAAAGACAAGGATTTTAGCTCAATAAATTATTCTGTGCTTATTTAATATCTACTATGTATTAGGTGCAACAAGATAAAAAATGAATAAAGTGAAAAAACCCTCAGATCTGAGGAGCTTGCCTACCTGGCCAAAAGAAAATTGAAAAATAATTATTATAAAACAATGTGACAAGGACTGTAACATAGGTTTATATAAAGTGCCATGAAAAAGTCTTCAGTCAGCCCACAGGGAAAGAGGACACACATCTGTCTGACTAACTCAACTGGCTGCAGAAAGATTAATTTGGGTCATTAAGGAGCAGGACTTGGCCCTGGATTCCTCTCTCTACTTGCCCATACCTTGAAAATATTGGCTCTAAATAATTTCTTGGAGTCAGTTGATGTGCAGCACATTAAAAACTCTTACTGTCTCTCTCTCTTAGCTGATCACACTGACACAAGAGTGTAATATATTATGAAATGCCTATCTGTAGGATTCCAGGATTCTGAAAATGAATGTGCTTTAACAAAATGAATATCACTGAAACAACCTCCCGTACTTCCCCACCAGCAGCACCACTACCCAGCCCTTCCCTGAAGTGCCATCTGGTCAAGTTAGTTCACATTTCTAAGCCTTGGTTTTCTCCCTGTAAAGTAAGAATAATGGTGCCTCTTCAAATACTAAGAGAAAAATACATGTGCTCCTCAATTCTGATGATTAAGTGAGATGATATATGTGACGGCTCCCAGCTTTCACAGTGGCTATTCAGCAACTGTTAAGGTAATGAGTATATAAAACAAACAGGACCCAGGGGGTACCATCAGCAACCTTATTTCATCTCAATATCCCTTTAGAAGGCTCTAGATAAAATTTCAAGTAAATTCCAAAAACATTTCTGTTCACTCTAGGGAGACCTAGGGTTATGTTAAGCCATAAACACAGTCTCAACTCAATAATTCTAATGATCAGTCCTGTAGAATATTTCAAATTCCAAAACCAATTTCACAATAAATCTCTCCTTCTCCAGCTGGGGCCTGTTGCAAACTAGTCACTTTTCATGGATAAGGGTGTTGTCTTCTTTATCCCCTTCTACACACTACACTTCCATCTTCCCTCCCTTCTTTTTTTGTTTTTATTCCTTTCCCCAATGCCGCGAAACACCACAAAAGATTGCCTCAAGGCCATCCAGGCAGCTAAATCCTGGTGTTTTCTCCTTCTTTTTGAAAAGGGGTCTTGCTATGTTGCCCAGGCTGGTCTCAAACTCCTGGACTCAAGGGATCATACTGCCTCAGCTACCCAAGTATCTGGGATTATAGGCATGCACCACCATGCCTCCTTCCCTTCTTGATACTGTAGTTACGTTTTTTTGTTCTACCACCGTGGTGTGAAAGGGTTGGAAAATAAAGGGTAGGAGCAGGGCAGCTAGAAGAGGTAAAGAGGTTAGGAATATCCCTCTATGATTGGCATGCACCTAGGATGGCTCTGTGCTCTCTGAGCTTGGCAGGTTTAAAGCTGACTCTCTCATGGGACCTATTTGTGCATTCTTTGGTGATCCCAAACACCACCTTTACCTAAGCCAGTGTTCTCCACCTTGGTGCTATCGATAGTCGGGGCTGGATAATTCTTTGTTGTGGAGAGTTGTCCAATGCACTGGAAAATGTTTAGCAGCATCCTTGCCCTACACCCACTAGATGCTAGCAGAACCTCTCCAGTTGTAACAACCAAAAATGTCTCCAATCATAGCTATATGTCTCCTGAGGGGTGAAATTCCCCATGGCTGAGAACCACTGATCAAGGCAAATATATTCTATTTCAGTAGTTGCTTACTCCCTCTGCTATCCCATGAATCTAGTATCTGCTTCCAGATGCTGTCTATTGGGGTGCAGTTGCCCTCTAGGGAGCCCTTTTTGAATAGATCTAAGATGACCCCTACACTGGCTATCCTACATGCAGAACCCACATCAAGTCCATGGGGGGAAACACTCCCACATGTTTTTTCTTAAAAGAAAAATTAAGAGTATATGCCAATCACAAAATACAGCAAGTCTCCAGGCTACAATACCATAGCACTCACCAACTCAACTCTTGCACTCTGGATTTCCTGGGTAAGACTGAGGTGGACACTAATCCGCCATGTTTTCAATGTGTCACGCCTCCAAACGGTCCAATTCACGTTCCTCACACTGTATTGGAGGACAGAAGCAGGCAATCCACTATAGCCCTTGGAGAACATGCTCTAAGAAAATAATTCTCACAAAAATATTTCTCCATCTCTATTCAGCACTCTTTTATGCCCTCTATCTGGTGATATCTAAGGAGTTTCTAGGACCTCTACTTTGAACTATTTACTTGTTAGTATATATCACAGCCTCTTTTGGTAGCTGAGGGCTATCTTTTCTCACTACCTCAATTAAAACTTCCAGTTTAACTTCGTTTTATATTCTTATCACTTCCTTTGTCTTTCTTTATAACCAATCCCAGCACCTACATAAAGATAGTAAGAAAACAGCTATAGCTGCATCCACTGTCTATTGCTAAGGCAACCAATCACCCCAAACCCAGTGTCTTAAAATAGTATGCATTTATTACTGCTCATGGGTCTATGAGTCAGCTGAATAGTTCCTTTGGTCTCAACTGGATACACTGATGCATCCATGGTTAGCTGTGGGCCAGGTAGGCAGCTCTGTAGATCTTGGCATTGCTTTCTTAGACGTTTGGAAGTAAACCAGCTATAGTTGCTGGTCTAGAGTGGCCTTGGTTAGACACTCAGCCACGTGGTCTTTCATTTTCCAGCAGCCTGGCCTGAGCTTGTTCACATGGCGGTGGCAGGGCTCCAAGAAGCACACAAGCTCTCTTGAACTTTATCCGTATACTTTATAAGTACCAATGGTGTTTGTGATAAATTTAAACTGTAAAACTAGCTGAAAGTTTTATAGACTCTTTAGCCAAGTGACTGTTAAGTTTATGTTTTCACTATGATTTTTATTCACCTTTTTGGAAACATTAATTGTCACCTACTTACAATGTGCCAAGAATGGTACTTAGAGCTAGGGAGAAAATGTTTTAAAAACATCTTTTGTTTATTATGTTATCTCAGCCTAGAATTCAATCCCCACTTGTGAACCTGGTACTTGCAGTATCATATCCAGGGAAAATGTAAGTACTTGCTTTTATTGTAAAGTTGTGTCCTTTGGAGCACTAGTTTCTGATGAAGTAGCCCAGGAACCACCATAGGAGGCAGGAGAGACAAACGAGATTTGGGGGATGATTCTGGGCTGGCTTGTCTCAACCATCAACCAGGGCAGCTGCAGTCGCTTCCATTTTATATTTGGAGTATTTGATAGATTAGCTTATTTTGGGGCACATATTCATTCCCTTCCCCCCACGTCTTCCATGGGAGGAGAAGAATTTCCCACACATTGATATTCGACTTGGCTGTACAGTTTGCTTTGGCCAATGGAATGTGGGTTGAAGTGACAAGGTACCACTTCTGAGCCTCAGCCTTGAAGAGGTATTGCTCTTTCTACTCACCCCGCAGGGAGCTTCTGAACTCGATCCCAAGAAGAACATGTTTAGGTAGCTGCTGCTCCTCCAGCCTCATCCCCAGAATGAGACACATGAGGCATAGCCAGACATACGTTAATAATAAACATTGAATATTGTATGACACTATGGTGTTTGTGATTGTTTGTAATGCAGCAGCAACTGATCAGTACAAACTTCTAGTTAGGATCTTACTTGTAGTGAGGGTTTGTTCATTCATTCACTCATTAAAAAAAAAAAATCAAGTGCCTTACTATATACCAGTTAGAACACCACTAGATAGGTGGCCTTAAACATCGATTGGCTTTCTTTATCTTCTTGACTTCTGCTCTTTACATTTGATGTGAAGAAGCTTATGGTCATTTATAATACATAGACTCTAAGAAATAAAATCAAGACACACAACCCTCAAAGGAAAAATAGTGCTAAAACATCAATTTGAGAAGTGACTAAGAACTGACAGAAAATTAGTCAATTACATGCAAGAAATAAGCAAGCCATATGTAAGTTACACACAACTCTTCAAAAGTATCTTTTAAAGAAGAGATGTTGCAAGGTGAGAGGACTGGCTACTGGGATTTACAATTCCAGCTCCTCCTCTGAGGGTTGTATACCAAAGAAACTCAATAGGAGTCCCTGGCAGCCTTAGAGGTAGGCTGAGGGGGCTGATATAACAAAGCCAGGTTTTTCTCTTCTTTGTGTGACTAGCTGCTATCTTTCAGGCCCGGGGAAGGAGCCAGAGCTGATCGGAATGTATTTAGAATGAATCTTCTTAATGAGCTGTCAAGTTCAGTGGAATTACCAGACCTGGTTTTAATAATTTCCTGGTTTTTAGTACCCGAGCCTATAAAGATGATATACAGGCCACAAAGGATGGAGAGTGGTCTGGGTGGGGTAAAAAGGTGTGGGGAGGGAAGTTGGAGCTGCCATCATAATAGGTGGCTTGTGTAAACTTATCCATCTGGGTCTCTGGGTTGCACACCTGTCTTTGCAGCTGGAGACAAGGGGATGGAGTGGGGAGAGGTGAAGCAGCTGGGGATAAAATAAGAAAATAGGCAAAGCTTGAATGTGGAGGCCCTCTAGCCTCCCTTTTAACCAAACCCTTCTTGAATCCTGCCTTCTCTTGTCCCCACACTCACTCCTTCTCCATCCTCTTTTCAATCTGTCTTATCTTCTTTTCTCTAGAACAATCTCTCAGTTGTATTATAGGGCACAGTGTTTTAGGACTCTGGGATTTTGGGGTCATAAAGAGCAGCAGTCCAGACCTTTTATTTTATAGATAGGGAATCTGACACCTAAAGATGGACTGACTTTAACAAATTGACCAGCTGGCCAGTGGCAGACCCAGGATGGAGTGTTTTGATCTCAGATGATGCTGTTTCCATTACTCAAGGGGGGATTATTCCCTGCTAAAAACTTGGGATATTATCATCATCTGGGAATCTTGAAGAACAAAATAGGTATGCAAAAGGACAAAATCGAAATGAGGAATTTTGAATTTCAAATACATGCAAGCAGGGAAGACATTTGTGGACTGAGGATCCCTCCAGTACCCCTGAGACAAATCTCTGCTATTTCCTACTCTGCCTCAGGGCGAAGGGGGGAAACTTTTTTTAATGACACACCCTCCAAATGTACCTGGTATGAAAGAGGGAACTTCCTTTCGGGAGCCCTATATGCATTGACACTTTGAGGGTTCTAAGCCATTATAAAACTCCCATATTAGCAAATTCTGCCCTAGCAAATATGATTGGATACTATTTTGTAATATTAAGGGACATTTCCTCCTTCACCTCCCATTCCTTATACTTTTAGCCTC
The DNA here is from genome assembly GCF_000001405.40 of Homo sapiens. Lineage (NCBI taxonomy): Eukaryota > Metazoa > Chordata > Mammalia > Primates > Hominidae > Homo > Homo sapiens. Next base: position 43,243,097 of record NC_000011.10, on the reverse strand, counting down.
CATTCACTCAGATAAGGAATTTCAAGCTTACTGTCTTATAGAAGGACTGACACAATAGAATGCGGTTAAAACAAATAATCTGTGTCTCAAAGAGACTAAATAATGAGTGGGGGCAAAGCTTCTAACTACAACCTGGACAAGACCTCTGGAACTGGAGAGAGGAGGAGAAATGAAGAGGAAAGAGGAAAATGTAGAAAATGACATTTCTTTGGGCTCTATATCTTGTCTACCATTTGCTTATCTCTGGGAAAAAAAAAATCCAATAGATAAGTTTGAGCTTTTGTCAGGAAGTTGGAACTCTGGTGTTATACTGGTTAATTACTGTTACATACGAAACATGCCCAACAATGAGCATTTACTTAACTCCTGCATCTGTGGATTGGATGGGGATGTCTGAGATTGATTGGTTTGAGCTTGGTTTGAACTCTGCTTAGTTCAGCTGGGCTTGTTCACATGTCTCTGTGTTGGCTGGTGATCAGATGATTTAGCTTGGACTCACTAGAGAAGCTTGGCTCTGCTCCACATGTTTCTCATCCTTAGACCAGTGAGATAGCCTCAGCATATTCTTCTCTTTGCTATAGCAGAGGTGCAAGAGAGTGAATGGAAACAAGCAAAGCCTCTCAAGGCCTATGCATGGAGCTGGCACACTGTTCCTTTAATCTCATTTGATTAGCCAAGGCCAGTCATGAGGCAAAATTCAAAGTCAAGAAACAGAGAAATAGAATCTATCCCTTTAGTGGGAGGAACTGCAAAGTCACATGGCAAAAGCTGTGGGTAGAGGAAGATACAAAGAATTGGACCAAACATGCAACTTATTGTAACAACTTTTCTCAGTAGAACCATAAAAGGTGGCAAGACTTCAGCATATCATGGGAGCAAATATTTGTGTAATTTGTCTAGAAGGTAGCTGGGCTTTAGCTAGCCTCACAATGTACTCATATCCCATGGGAATATTTCCTATGACATTGGCCATGGCATAGGTGTAACAGAAAGAGACATACCTGAAGGGGCCATCAAATGGTTATAACCTGGCAATAACCCAACGGCTTAAGGGCTGAGGATCACATGGAATGATGGATGGTCACGATGCATACTTGCATTACTGTATGACAAGCAAAGGCTAGTTGTCTTCTTTCTCCAAAGCTTTGGTGCCATGAAAATCTTCTGGAACTTACACATGATCTCTAGAAAAGAGGATGTGTGTATCACAGGTGGATGGGGTTTGAGGGCACATAGCCAAACTCGTTGAGATTAAGTTTTTAATTTTTTTTTATTATTATTTTTTTATTTTTTTGAGACAAAGTCTTGCTCTGTTTCCTAGGCTGGAGTGCAGTAGTGCAATCTCACCTCACTGCAACCTCCGCCTCTTGGGTTCAAATGATTCTTGTGTCTCAGCCTCCTGAGTAGCTGGGATTGCAGGCGTGTGCCACCATGCCTGGTTAATTTTTTTGTATTTTTAGTAGAGACAGGGATTTGCCATGTTGGCCAGGCTGGTCTCAAACTCCAGGCCTCAAGTAATCGGCCCGCCTTGGCCTCCCAAAGTGCTAGGATTACAGGTGTGAGCCACTGCACCCAGCCTATTTTTTTTTTTTTAAACTTTGACATATGCCAGGCATTGTGGCTCACATCTGTAATCCCAGCACTTTGGAAGGCTAAGGCAGGAGGATTGCTTGGGCCCAGAAGTTCCAGACCAGCCTGGACAACATAGTGAGACCTCATCTATACAAAATATTAAAAAAAATAGCTGAGTGTGGTGACGTATGCCTGTGATCCCAGTTACTGGGGAGGCTGAGGCAGGAGGATTGCTTGAGCCTAGGTTTAGTGAGTTATGATCAAACCACTGCATTCCAGCCTGGGTGACTGAACTAGACCCTGTATCCAAAAAAAAAAAAAAAAGTTTGGCATCAACTAAAACATCTTACAGCTGACCAGTTTTTATAGTCCACTGAATAATTCATTTGCGTACTCCAGCAATAAAGTATTCTAAATAACATAGACCAGAACTGTCCAACAGAGATATAATATAAGCCACATATGTAATTTTAAATTTTCTAGCAGCCACATAAAAAATATAAAAAGAGATGGGTGAAATTAATTTTAATAATACATTTTTACTTAACCCAATATACTGAAAATATTATGAGATTAATTTTATATCACTAGTTGGAATGGGGGACTGAAATAGAAGTTAAGTTTACAATCACATTTCTAGCATACCTGAAGTTCTGGTTTGCAGCTGATACCAGCTATCCCTATGCACTCCCTATTCTTTAATGTATCCACAAGTTGTGTTTTCTGAATAAGTCATTGCTTTCTTATACCTCTCTGCTTTCAATATCAGAACTAGAAGTTGGCTTTCTTGTCACCAAGCAACAATTTTCTCTTATAACTCCATGAAAGTCATTGAATACAGAGTAGAAATCATATCCTTGAGAGACTAGATGATCAATTAAACTCACCCACTAAATGACTTGCTCCAGGACACTAGCTTTGTGACCCATGATTCAGATTCTTGCTGAATGGTCTTAAGAGTTACTTCATAGTCTGGCCCTTCTATATTGCCCTCAAATATTAAATTCAGAAATTTCCAGAGTCTGTGGTGCAGTTTTTCTCGTTTGAGCCATCTCTGAAACTCCTACCCTTCCCTCAACCTCATGAAAGTGAAGAAAGTCAAGGGTAGGTTAGGAAGATTTCAATGAACATTTAAACTTAGTTCTCTTTTTCCTTCTTAAATATGCTCTCAGTACTAACATCAACACAGTTTCAAGTGTTGCTAATATTTCCTAATAAAAGGATCAAAAATGAAAAAAAGATGCTTTGGGCATATTTTACTTTCAACTTTGTAAACAAATTACACTGAAGTTTTACTCCTGGGATAACTATGGTTGGCTTTTCTTCAATTAAAAGAGAAACATGTATTGATTTACTTACATATGGCATCACTTAATATTGGGGTATAGGTCTGTTGAATTAAATAGTTTCCTTGGCCATGGCAAAACTCAGGGTAGGATCGATGTGCAAGTAAAAGGAAGAAGATGAACGAGCAAACAGATGCAGTACTCTTTATTCATTGGCTTATTTAAATCTTAAAAGACCCCGTGAGACACTTGGCATTAACCTCATGTAGCATAATGTTTACAAACCATTCCCATAACTCAGGCAAGTTTTCCTTTTAGAGTAGTTGGCTGTAAGTGATACCTCAGAGATATTGTGGATTCAGTTCCAGACCACAGCAATAAAGTGAATACTGCAATGAAGCAAGTCACACAATTTTTTTGTTTTCCCAGTGCATATAAGTTACTGTACTGTACTGTAGTCTATTAAGTTTTTAATAGTATTATGTCTAAAAAAACCCAATGCATACACCTTAATTAGGAAATACTTTGCTCTTATTAAAAAGTGGGCAAAGGGTCTGAATAGATATTTCTCAAAAGAAGACATACAAATGGCCAACAGGTATATGAAAAAATACTCAAAACACTAATTATCAGGGGAATGAAAATCAAAGCCACAATGAGATATTATCTTACCTCAGAATGGCTATTATTAAAAAGACAAAAATAACAAATATCGATGAGGAGGTGGAGAAATAGGAACTCTCATACACTGTTGGTGGAGATGTAAATTAGTAGAACCATTATGCAAAAAAGTGTGGAGATTTCTCAAAATCTTAAAAAAAAAAAAGAGATCTACCATGCAATCCAGCAATCCCATTACAGGATATTTATGCAAAGGAAAATAAATCAATCTTTCAAAGACATACCCTCCACCCCCATGTAGTCTATACTAGACTGCAGTATAGTGTAAATGTAACTTTTACATGCACTGGGAAAACAAAAAATGTGTGTTACTTGCTTCACTGCAATATTCACTTTATTGCAGTGGTCTGGAACTGTATCCACAATATCTTGGAGGTATTACTTTACAGCCAACTATTCTAGAAGGAAAACTTGCCTGAGTTATGGGAATGGTTAGTAAACATTATGCTACATGAGGTTAATGCCACGTTATTGCGGCACTATTCATAATAGCCAAGATATGGAATCAATCTAAGTGTCCCTCAAAGGATGAATGGATAAAGAAAATGAGATGTATATATACACAATAAGATATTATTCATCCGTAAAAAGAATGCGATCCTATCATTTGCAGCAACATGGATGAAACTGGAAGTCATTATGTTAAATGGAATAGGCCAGGAAGAGAAAGACAAATATTGGAAGTTCTTATTCATTTGTGGAAGCTTAAAGTAGTGATCTCATGAAGGCAGAGAGTAGAACAATATTACCAGAGGCTAGGAAGGGGATGGGGGAATGAAGAAAGTTTGGAAAATGGGCACAAACATACAGTTAGATAGATAGAATACATTCTAGCACAGTAGGGTGACTATAGTTAGCAATAATTTACTGTATATTTTAAAACAGCTATAAGGGAAGATCTGAAATGTTCCCAACACACAAAAAACATTAAATATTTGAGATGATGAATATCCTAAATACTCCGATTTGATCATTACACCATTGTACGCATATATCAAAATATCACGTGACTGATACATATGCACAACTATTATGTACCAAGAAAATGTTAAAAAGTGCTTTGTTGCTAAACAATGCTAATGATCATCTAAGCCTTCAGCAAGTCCTAATCTTTTTGCTGGTGGAGGATTATGCCTTGAGGTTGATGGCTGCTGACTGATCAGGGTGGTTGTTGCAGAAGTTTGGGGTGGTTGTGGGAATTTCTTAATATAAGACAACAATGAAGTTTGCTGTATCAATTGATGCCTCCTTTCACAAAGGATTTCTCTGTAGCATGCAATGCTGTTTGATAGCATTTTCCCCATGGTAGAATTTCAAAATTGGAGTCAATCCTCTCAAACCCTGCTGATGCTTTATTAACTAAGTTTATATAATATTCTAAATCCTTTGTTGTCCTTTCAACAATGTTCACAGCATCTTCACCAGGAGTAGATTCCATCTCAAGAAACCACTTTCTTTGCTCTTCCACAAGAAGCAACTCCTCATCCTTTAAAGTTGGATCCTGAGATTGCAGCAATTCAATCATATCTTCAGGCTCCACTTCTAATTTTAGTTCTCTTGGTATTTCCTCTATATCTGCAGTTACTTCCTCCACTGAAATCTTGAACCTCTCAAAGTCATCTATGAAGGTTGAAATTAACTTCTTCCAAACTCTTGTTAATGTTGATATTTTGACCTCCTACTATAAGTTGTGAATGTTTTTAAGGCATCTAGAGTAGTGAACTCTTTCCAGAAGATTTTCAATTACTTTGCCCAGATCCATCAGAGGACTCACTATCTATGGGAGATATAGCCTTATGAAATGTATTTCTTAAATAATAAGACTTGGAAGTCAAAATGACTCCTTTACCCATGGGCTACAGAATGCATGTTGTTTTAGCAGGGATGAAAACAACATTAATATTCTTGTACATCTTCATCAGAGCTCTTGTGACTAGTGCATTGTCAATTAGCAGTAATATTTTGAAAGGAATCTTTTTTTTTTTCTGAGCAGTAGGTCTCAACAGTGGGATTAAAATATTTGTAAACCATGCTGTAAACAGATGTGCTGTCATCCAGGCTTTGTTGTTGCATTTATAGAGAACAGGCAGAGCAGACTTAGTGTAATTCTTAAGGTCTGTAGGATTGCTGGAATGATAAATAAGCATTGACATCGACTTAATATCACCAGCTGCATTAGCCCCTAACAAGGGAGCCAGCCTGTCTTTGAAGTTTTGAAGCCAGGCATTGACTTCTCACTAGCTATCAAAGTCCCAAATGGCATCTTCTTCTGATAGAAGGCTGTTTTATCTATATTAAAAATATATCATTTAATTGAGCCACTTTCATCAATGACATTTGCTAGATCTTCTGCATAAGTTACTGCAGCTTCTACATCACCACTCGCTGCTTCGGACCTTGCACTTTTGTTTTATAGAGATGGCTTCTTTCCTTAAACCTCATGAACCAACCTCTACTAGCTTCAAAATTTTCTTCTGCAGCTTCTTCACCTCTCTCAGCCTTTATAGAATCGAAGAGAGTTAGGGCCTGGCCTGGATTAGTCTCTGTCTTAAGGGAATGTTGAAGGTGGTTTGCTCTATCCAGACCATTAAAACTTTCTCCATATCAGCAATAAGACTATTTTGCTTTCTTATCTTTTGTGTGGTCACTGGAGTAGGACTTTTAATTTCCTTCCCATTCATGACTTGGCTAACTGTTTGGCTCAAGAGGCCTACCTTTTGTCCAATCTTGGGTTCAACATGCTTTCGTCACTAAGCTCAACCATTTCTAGCTTTTGATTTAAAGTGAGAGACATGCAACTCTTCCTTTCCCTCGATCACGTAGATGGCATCATAGGGTTATTAACTGGCCTAATTTTAATATTATTGTGTCTCAGGAATTGGGAGGCCGAGGAGAGTGAGAGAAACAGGGGGACAGTCGGTGGATGGAACAGTCAGAACACTCACAGTTTTTGATTATGTTTGCCATCTTACCTGGGTGTAGTTTGTGATGCCCCAAAACAATTACAGTAGTAACATTGAAGATCAGTGATTACAGAGCATCATAACAGAGAAAACCATATAATAATAATGAAACAGTTTGAAATATTGTGAAAATTGCCAAAATGTGACCCAGAGATATGAAGTGAGCACATACTGTTGGAAAATTGCCAATAGACTTGCTTGACACAGGGTTGCCACATACATTCAATTTGTAAAAAATGCGTTATCTGCAAAGCACAATAAAATGGAGCACAATAAAATGAGGTATGCCTGTATTAGGACTTGGTGGGGAGCCACCTACATGCATAGGATGTCTGGACGCCAACAGATTAAATTTTTGTGGAACCAGTCATTCATCATTCTTATTGGGTGGTCACCAGGCAAGGGGCTGCCACAGATGGAGCAAAGTTTCTTCTACTTAGAGACTGGTTTTAATGGTTGGACTTACGTGCCTATATTGAGAAGTTCTCTGTTGAGTAGAAGCGAGGCAGTTGCCTGGCAAAGACTTTTGTTCAACGTTGTTCCCCGGGCTCACAGACCACACCCCTTGCACCTTTGCAGCATATGCATTGGGGTGTGCAGCGGGAACGGAGGAAATGCTTATTGAAAAACTCTCCAGTATCAGGTCAAACTACAGAAAACCATGCCAGATCCAGTGTGTTTCTTCCCTTATCTCCCTCCAAGTCCTCACCATCCTCCAACTGGAAAATCACACACACAGTCTCTCTCTTCCAATTTTATGCACAAATGTGAACATCTTAAATCATTAGCACCTGGGAGGAAACCCTCTTTATGCAACAATAACAATGACAACAAAAACAACAACAAAAAGCCTAGGACTTTTCTCATCTCTCCTAGTGGAAAATATTTATTTCTTCCTACAGAGGATGGGGAAGAGTTGGAGGAAGGAGTGGGTTGTCTTTCTCTCTTGAATGGGCTCTGTCACTATTAATGACACTAAAATAAAGAAGGAAAATCTCCATATTTCGTATGAGGTTTTCATATTGGAAGAGGCTGGGTGACTGTATCTTGCTATGCTTCTTCCATGGAACAAAAATTGAAGCACATACAAGTTCATTTACCGAAGTTCCCACAAAAAGTAAATGACAAAATGTACGTTAAAATTCGGGGTTTCTCTGACTCCAACAGTTATGATATTTCCACTCTTCCAAAACATATAGCTTTTGAGTCTGGCTCTGACTAAAGATACATTGTGAGCAAAAGAAAAAAAAATGGACCATTTAAATTTAGCCCTGAGACTTGGGGTATACAAGACACGGAATGCGTTGTGCAGGAAGAAATAAATCCAAATGCCCTCTTTGTTCTTTATTGCCACTCCCCTCCTCTCATATAAATGCTCAGCCCAGAGCTCAGGCAGTAGTTGGATTTGGGAGGGTTAAGGAACGTTAACTAAAATAAGCAAAGCACAGATGCGTTCCAATTCCATTAGAGCTCAGCCTAAAAGCACTTTCCTTTATATGAGGGAAGCAAAGATCAAGTGAAAGACAGTTGCCAGATCCTTTGCTCATTTCCTGGAAGCTAATGGACTATGAGGGGAAGGATGTTTATGCAACTATAGATACAGCCAAAGAATGTGCTCTTAAACTGTTGTCTGGGGGTTACAAATGTGCCTTACTTTCAGAACACTTTGTCTGTGTGATGAAGTCAGGAATTTCAGAAGCCGGTTCCATTCTTTCCTTTTAGCTTGATCCAGATATAGGCATTGTATTGATTGATTGATTGATTTAATGAGCACTAATTAGCTCAGGAAGGAATTACAGAAGTCAACCTGAGACCCAGTGTCTCTCAGCTGGGTTCTTATTAGAGTCAGTGAGTCAATCTCAGGGGTGATTGATTGATTGACTCACTCGTTTATTCACCTGTTTTCCAATCTGCAAGTTTGTGTGCTTTGCAAAGTACTCGGTCAATCATTCAAGATACATGGTTTTTAATCTTTCTCTCTCTCAACATATCGCAAGGTTGAACATTATTTATTAACAGGGTATAGACTGTATTGGAAAGATGTATAACTATATTAAACTCATAATTTTCAATGGTAATTTCTTAGAATGCAACTAAAATACACAATTAAAATACGGTAAGTTTAAAGACAAATTGTAGAGATGAGACTGAACTATGGCAGAAATTCATAAGATAGTTTGTAAATGACTGATATTCAGGAAACATTTCTATGTGCTGTGGGGGATATATGAAGTTACCTTTCCTTGAAGGAGCTTACACTTGATATGAAAAGACAAGACAAGAATTTTACAGAAGAAAACCTATACTATTTTATAGATAATATACTTTCCAAGTTCAGAGGAAGGGCAGGGATGGATGAAGTGGAGACGCCATGGGATGACTTCATGGGTGACGTAGAATGTGACTGGATTTGAAGGACAAGAGGGTTTGGAGGGTGGAGACAGGAATGAAGAACGTGGTGTAAAGAGAATGTAGGGAAGAATCATGGGGTGCACTGTTTAGAGGGGGAATGGACCCACTATCCTCTCCTGAACCTATGGCAAACATACCTGAATCAGTATTGTGAACATTTGCTGGATTAAAAAAAATACTTATTTATTTGTCACTCTGCATCTATTTTTACTTCCTTGATAATGCTTGCTTTCTTTTGGGGCATTAGTTTTTTGTCATTTATGATGGTTTGACAGGATTTTCCATCAAAGTGCCTGTGACTCTTAACTAAGTGGTAGGCCTGTGATCCAAGTTGGCTCATTGAACCCTCTTTGGTGAATTTGAGCCGTTTTTTTTTTTTTTTGAGACGGAGTCTCACTTTGTTGTGAGGCTGGAGTGCAGTGGCGTGATCTCAGCTCACTGTAACTTCTGCCTACTGGGTTCAAGCGATTCTCCTGCCTCAGCCTCCCAAGTAGCTGGGACCACAGGTGCTTGCCACCATGCCTGGCTAATTTTTTTTGTATTTTTTTTTAATAGAGATGGGGTTTCGCTATGTTGGCCAGGATGGTCTCCATCTCTTGACCTCATGATCCGCCCGCCTTGGCCTCTCAAAGAGCTGGGATTACAGGCGTGAGCCACCGTGCCCAGCTGAATTTGAGCCTTTAAGAAAAGATGGACAATCCAGGTGTTAGCTCATTTACCCTTGCAGCTCTGCCCTACCAGAACTTTTCATCAGCTCCTGTCCTCTGGAGTCCCTGGCTCCTGGACCTTCTGAGTCTGGTTCTCAGCTGTTGCCTTGATTCTGTGAGCCACCTCATACCCTCACAGTAAATCCTCTTTCTGCTTCAGTTAGCCAGTGACCAGCTGAGGTTTTTAGTTGCAAGCAAGAGAAAATAAACTCTGGCTAACTTATAGAGAAAAATATTGGGAAGGTATCAAATGGCTCTCAAAACTGATGAGAAGCCTGGGTCAACAAGTTTTAAAACATAGATGGGAAGCAAAGGAAACTGCATAGCTGGAATCATAGCCAAGGTCATGTCACATGAAAAGTCCGTCAAGGACATGTTGGTGCAACCCTGGACACCTGGCCACTTCCTTTGGACACAAATGCTGTCCCTTGCACTATCCTTTGGCTTGTCCCTTGGCCACTGCTGGACACTGGATGCTGTCCCTTCCACTATCCCCACTGGGCGCTGGAAGAAGGTAATTCTGGTGCTACTTACACCAGCTTCAAAATCCTAGATAGAAAGATTTGAAAGATAGAAAGATCTAAAGCTGGAGGACAGATCTGCCCTCTCTCATATAGTGGTAGATTCCTCAATTACAGAAAAGGAGTTCAGGTGTTGGTGAAAAAAATCTACTTTAACAGACATAAGGCTGTGGTACCGAGGTGGAGGGTCTCTAGTGGATCTGATTTTTCTCTCTGGCTTGCCACTTCTCTCATATTTTGAGCTGGAAACATTAGCTTGCATTTTCTGTAAGAAGCATCACAAATTTATGGGTTAATAACACTAATAGTGTTATTGATGATGATGATGGTGATAATGATAATAGCAGCTATTTAGTGAATGCCTCATACTTTCTAGGCATCCTCTTAGTTGGGAATGCATATAATCTCTAATTCTGAATCTTCACGATGACTCTGTGACATAGGTTTCAACACTCTCTTTTTACAGATGAGAAAGTGTAGGTTTAGAGGGATTAAGATCACTCAACCACATGTGCCACAGCAAGGAATGAAATCCATGTGTATCTGACACCAAAGGCATTTGGTATTTCCTTTTCCTTTTTGAAACAGTGTCCGTTGAACTTTTTTCTCAAATGTGGCTAAGAAAGCCATCCCATGGCTAATTTGTACATTGCTTATCTGATTACAGATCAGGGCTGACTGCATCAGTGTGGCAGTTCAAAATGGTGGAAATACCTTCCCAACACTGTTGGGAAGACAAGAGATTGTGCCCAGGCAGCCATCAAGCCTTCCAGTTATGTATTCTTTTAAACGTCGTTACACACACACGCAGAGCCACTGGAGCTCTCTTGAAAAATCTCTGAATTGTGGATTTTACATTAAAGCTACATCTTGTAGCTTTAGGGTAAGGCAGTGGGAACAGGAAGGAGTGAGGTTTACCAAACAGAGGTTAAAAAAAAAAAAAAGGTCTAGGTTTTTCTGCATTCCAGATGTGCTGGAAAAATAAGATTCAGGTTACCATCTGTTTGATTGCAAGACAAGAAATAAAAATAATTTGGAAATCTGTCCTTCAAATTGTAATAATTCCATGCTTGCCTTTGTTATCCCAAGAAAGGGATAATAGAGGTTATGATCTCTCAGTAGGGCTCTGCTGGACATCTCTTATGTAATAACCACTCCAAATGATCTCAGGCCTTTTATTCCAGCCACTTTGGCAACTTGAGGCTTATACTAGCTTCAAGTAGGGGCAATCCAAGTGCTCTTCTCTTACTTCTTGCCATGGACCTATCTGACCTCATGATGTTGGCCACCTATGGGAATAGCCACAACCCTCAAATGCAAAAGAGCCAATGCCCCATGGTATCACCCATGGCCAATGGGAGAGACAAACTGATAAATAAAATGCTCCTTCTTTATTTCCCTAGTGGGTGGCTCAGAGATGCACTATAGTGGGCGTCCAGGAAGGTTCTGGGGAATCAAGGAACCAGGAGCCCCTAGTAGTGACCATCTCAGTAGCACATCCTTGTGTTGACCTTCCTTTCTTTCCTATTTCCCTTCCCCTGTCCTTTACTAATTCCTACTTTCAGGGATAATGTCTCCAGATGAATTATGCACACTTTTAAACATTTGCATCAGGTTCTTTTTCAGGGGGTGACTCAGGCAAAGAAAGATTCTAAGCATAATAATAATGAATAACTCAAATTGGCTTAGTATTTTACAATATACTTAGCTTTTGCACACAATACTCTTATTTGCACAACAACCTTGTACAGTATGTGGTGCATGAATTATTATTATTCTTCTGTCCTAAGCTAAGATTCCAAAAGGTAAGGCAGTTTAATCAAGGTCATACAAAAGTTAAAGGTAGATCTGGAGAAAAGAATATTGTTTCTTGAGTGCTTAGTTCAGTGTTCATTCTACTCTGACTACATTTAGAGTCCTGGAACACTTCCCTAGGGTTGTGCAAACTGGAACAATATTCCAGAATTTTGCCTTTACTTGACTTTAATTGTCAGTATATTAAACTATATGACATGTATAGATTAATGATTCAAATGACTGTCGGTGCCCACTTTATTTGCAGCCCTATGTTTCCTGAAACTTTTCTTTTCTTTCTTTTTTTTTTTTTTGAGATGGAATCTCGCTCTGTGGCCCAGGCTGGAGTGCAGTGGCGCGATCTCTGCTCACTGCAAGCTCCGCCTCCCAGGTTCAAGCCATTCTCCTGCTTCAGCCACCACCACACCCGGCTAATTTTTTGTATTTTTAGCAGAGACGGGGTTTCACTGTGTTAGCCAGGATGGTCTCGATCTCCTGAGCTCGTGATCCACCCGCCTCGGCCTCCCAAAGTGCTGGGATTACAGGCGTGAGCCACCGCGCCCGAAACTTCTTAAGCAAGTGTTGAGCTCTTTCACTTCTATAGGTTTTTATGTGAAGCTAGACTGTTTTATAAGCAGCCCCTTCCCTGGAAAAAAGGCAGGAAGAAGTTATGATAATAAAAATAGCTGCCATTTATTGAGAGTCAGCCACTGACTGACTCAACAAATGAGAGTCAGTCAGTGCTTTCCAGGTTATCTTGATTAATCCTCAAAAGGATCCTGTGAGGCAGGTACCATTAATATCTCCATTTTGAGAAACTGAAGCACAGAGAAATTAAGCAACTTACCCAGGCTCACACAGCTAGTAAGCAGTGTAGTCAGCATTTGAACACAGGCAGTCTGACTCCAGAGCTCACTCTCTTAAACATTATGATATACTTCCTGGGTGAAAAAAGGTATTTGGTATTGCTCATTTTGTCGTTTCATATTAAATGATAACTCTATTGCCTGGTTTCCTTGAGTCTGGAAAAGGATGGTAAAGTAGTTTCTTTTAATGGAATATCACTTCATCAACTCTGTTTTACAAAATTTAGCAAGTCCTGACTATACTGAAGTTATCACTCTGCCTATAACACTAACATTCAACAAAGAACTAAAGAGGAGAGTTATTTGTGAACTTTTTCAAATGTATGGAGTTTCTTATAGGTGAAAGTATGATGAACTATATGAGAAAATATAGGCATCATGTTAAGAAATTAGTTCATCTATTTTGAATCCTCATATGTATTAGAAGTTATTTCTAAAAAGTTGAATCATTCTTATATTAAAAAATTAAACATCAAACTTCTAATGAATTAAATGGAAAAGATTAAGTGTAATATTAATGAATAAGAATTCTAAAATAGAACATCTCCAGGTACATTCTAAGTATTGAAGAGCTTTGATTCTCAAACAGAGGAGGGGAAGAGGTGAATCAGAATCACATGGTATAAGTGGGCATGGCCAGGCGGGGACCCTGGGAGAGGCCAGCAGACTGGAGGGTGCTCAGATTAAACTGACCCCATCCCACAGGCAAGATGGCCCTGCTCTGTCCAGGTCCGAAAGTAAAAAAATAACATATGCTGGCAAGGCTGTGGAGAAAAGGGAACACTTATACACTGCTGGTGGGAATGCAAATTAGTTCAGCCACTGTGGAATGCAATTTGGAGATTTCTCAAATAACCTAAAATAGAACTGACATTCGACCTGGCAATCTCATTACTGGGTATATACCCAAAGGAAAAGAAACTGTTCTACCATGAAGACACATGCAGGCATATGCACATTGCAGTACCATTCAAAGAGGTGGAATCAACCTAGATGTCAATCAATGGCAGACTGGATAAAGAAAATGTGGTACATATATACCATGGAATACTACACAGCCGTAAAAAGAATAAAATCATGTTCTTTGCAGCAACATGGATGGAACTGGAGGCCATTATCCTAAGTGAATTAACGCAGAAACAGAAAACCAAATACCACATGTTCTCACTTATAAATTGGAGCTAAACAGTGAGTACACATGGACACAAAGAAGGGGGCAATGGAAACTTGCCTGCTTGAGGGTGAAGGCTGAGAGGAGGATAAGGATTGAAAAACTTCCTATCAGTTATTATGCTCATTATGTGGGTGATGAAATAATCTGTACACTAAACCCCCATGACATGCAATTTACACATATAACAAAACTGCATATACACCCTCTGAACCTAAAATAAAAGTTGGAAAGAAAAAGAAAATTGCCACCAGTTAAAAAAAAGAAGAATCACATGCTGTATATATACACCTCTGCTTCCTTACCTGTTTGAATGAATCCTGACATTTGCCACAACATGGATGGACCTGGGTGACACTATGTTAAGTGAAATAACTTAAATCAGAAAAAAATATTGCATGATCTCACTTATACATGGAATTTTTAAAAAGGGTCAAATATATAGCATGAAACAGTGGTTACCAGGGTCAGAGAGTGGGGGAGGGAACAGGATGGAGTAGGTCAAAGTATACAAAGTAGCAGATATGTATGATAAATAAGTTTGAAGATCAAATGTACAATATGAGGAATATAGTTATTAATAGCGTATTATATCAGGACTTTTGCTAAATGAGTAGATTGTAGCTCCTCTTGCTACAGGGAAAAAATGGGTAACTGTGAAATCATAGAAATGTCAATTTGTTTCATCATCATAACCATTTACTACACATATGTATCCTATAATATCATGTTGCATGCCTTAAATATACACAATAACATTTATTTATGGGAGACAGGGTCTTACTCTGTCATCCAGGCTAGAGTGCAGTGGTGCAATCTTGGCTCACTGCATCCTCGACCTCCTAAGCTCAGGTGATCCTTCCACCTTAGCCTTCCAAGTAGTTGGGACTATAGGTGCGTGCCACCACACCTGGCTAATGTTTGTTTGTTTGCTTGTTTTTTGGTAAGAACAGGGTTTTGCCATGTTACCCAGGCTGGCCTTGAACTCCTGGGCTCCAGCAATCTGCCTGCCTGGGCCTTCCAAAGTGCTGGGATTACAGGGGTGAGCCACCGTGCCCAGCCTCAATAAAATTTATTTTAAAAAAGAGTCACATGATGAGGATTGTTCTTCAAGGTGATTATAACCAATTTGTAGTTTTTTTTCAGCTATGTAAAGGATGTTCTATTTCCCCACATCCTCCATAAGGCTGGTGTTACCCAGACTTTCTAATTTTGAAAATCTGGTAGATATGAAATGGATGTCATTGCTTTTTAAACATAAAATTTCTTAAATGAAGGAGGTTATTTATGAAGCATTCTTTTAACTTGATGACCTTATTAATAGATCAACTTCTCATCCTACACCCTGCCTGTCATTTAGGCTAAGCCACGAGCTAGAGTTACAGGAGAGAAGAGAGCATGTGCTGCATGGAAGAGCAATGTTCACAAATAGGGATGAAAGAAGGTATGACATGCAGGTAATTCTTATCAGCAGGAAGAGGAGGAGAAGCTTTTCTGGTAGAGATTAGAGGGGAGAGAGCAGAGAGGAAAAAGTCTCCTCCACTCCACTATCCTCCAATCACCAATGGCATGGGATCACCTGAGGTGAGACTACTTAATATTCAATAAAACAAACCAATGTTTTTTTTTTTCCTGCACATATGATTTGATCTTTGTAAAAATGGTGACCCATATCCCCAATATCAACATACCTGAGTTCCATCTGCTAAGCCTTTAATAGAGTGTCAGGTGTTATGCCAACTAACACTTCATCTATACTGTGTAATTATCCAAACTGTCATATAGGAGGTGAGACAATGGGATTTTTCTTCTTTTACGTATGAGGAAACTGAAATATGTGAGGTGAAGGAACTTGCCCAAAGCCACACTGGTAGTAAATAATGGAGCTACTATTCTAATCCAGAGGTGACTAACTCCAGACAGGCACCCCTGACCACTGAATTACCCACACTTTAATTGAAGTACCTGTTGGTAGCAGTCTCATAGGAGAGTGCTGGGTATTAGGACGACAGAATACATTTGAATGCTGTTCCCAGACTTAGAGGTCAGAATAGCTCATGGGACCTTGAGCAGGAAGAGGTTACACATTTTGGTAAGTGATTCTAGCTTGATTGCCTGGGATGACAATAGTCAGTCCAGATAGAGGCAGGCAATTAATTCAGGAAGCCTTCCAGGACATGGTAGATTCCATTATCAGGTGAAAGAATTAACTAAAGGACAATTAAGGATAGTCATTAAGAACTTGGGCTCTGGAGCCAGTTAGACAAAGTTTTGAGTCCTGATCTCTGTTATTTTTTTTTATAACCTTAGGCAAGCCACTCATCTTCTCTAAGCTATTTTATGACCTGTCAAAAGTGGATAATTATATATGCTATATACAAATATATATACTTGTGAATTAAATGAGCTACTGTATGTGAAGTCTTTTGTGCAGTACCAGGTATACAGTAAGTGCTACATAATGGGAGCTGTTAGATAATGAGATGGTAGCTGGCAGGTCTGGCAGTATGCAACAACCATGGAGTAGTACCAAAGAAAATTGCTGCTGACTTGTGCAATGTGAAAACACCATGAGGAAAGTTTGACAAGTAGTCAATGGACATACAACTGTGGACTTTTGAAAAAAGATCTATCGTATTGGCAGCATTTCATCTCAAAAACACATCCACATCCGTGCACCTGGGCATTGAGTTCAGTTGCCGTGCCCATGTGGCTTACTTTGGAAGGAAGGGAGCTGAGGCAGTTTCTTTAATATTACTGCTGAGGGAATGTCTCCAAGGACATCTGTTTTCATAGGTCTTTTATGTTGGCTTCAAAAAAACTTGTAAATGAGGTCAGTACCTCTTGACTATTTTGAAGGTTTGCTCTTTGTAGTGACATGTTCTCAAGTCTTCTAGAGGTGATTTTTAGAAAGTAATGAGAAGAAGGAAACCAGCATTCCAATTGGGTAAAGTCTTACAATTTCCCCATGGGTGGAAAAGGGTATGATTTCTGAATGGGGAAAAGAGATATGATGCTTTGTAATGAGTTGTTCTTTGTTTAAGATAATGGCACTCTTGACCTGCAATCCTTGGCTATGGTGGTTGATTCATTTTATCACTGTTGGGTTGGATCAGTACTGAGCTTTCTACCTTAACACTCCCGAGGTAGATGTTGGGATGATGGTGTTTGGCTGCCTGTCTGGAGAATCACTCTTTATCTCTTGGCCTCATTTTTTCCTGAATGTAACTGTAGAGTTAACCAACAGAACTGACTGGCCATGGCATGTGTTTTATTGCCGTGTGTGTGTGTATTTCCATAAAATTGCAATTTCTCCATTCAGGCCCTAAGAATTAAAATCTTGAGCACAAGAGGAGCACAGGCAGGGAGAATACTGAAAGAACAGCACAAGGTAGTGAAGAATCCTGTCAAGAGGAGATGACTATTTTTATTCTGTCTGCCTGAACAGAGAGCTCTTGTGATACATTGACTCTGAGAGAGCAGGTGAGACTCGGTGCTCAGATGAGACATGAATGGTGAGGCAGCCACACACCCGAAAGGTCAAATGCTCATTGTCCTCCTGTCTCAGAGAGCCTGATATTGACTGCAGAGCTCCCTTGTTGTTTCTTTCCTTCCATCAAACTGCTTTTATACAAGAGCCATTAGCCCCAGCTCTTCCTGTCCTGAAAGGGCCAGGATTAGAGAGGGCTGGGCAGTTACAGGTACTTGGAAATGGCAGCTTTTGTCAGTTTATTGCCTTTGAAAAGTAAGCATCAGAGAGAGGGGGGCAAAGCCCTAAACACTGCCATGGGTAAGGGGATTTAGCACCCTTTATTGAGGACTAAAAGAGTAAGAGTTTTACCTCTTCGTCTAGCTACCCATTTTTTCCTCTCATTAATCTTATAGAGGAGTAAATGTCAACCCAGAGCTTCTGTCTGAACTGACTTTTGTTCCAATAATTATACCTCATCCTACATGTTCTTATGTTCTTTTTGTCCACCCTAAGCATCTTCTCTTGAGCGTTTGCTACATTTAAAACTTTACCCCAAACTTTCCTTTCTCCCCACCACAAGGAAGACTTCTAAGTGTAAGTGAATTTCTTCTCTTTCCTCCCAGCCTAACCGGTGCCTGCTTTGCAGATGTCAGCTGGTCTAGTTTATGCCCAAGTCCTGTTACTGAACATTAAACCTAGCATTCTCTATGGGTCCAGAGTAATTTGCTTTTTAAAGAAACAGGGACAATGTGCTATAATTTGTGTGGTCTGTCACCTATAAAAGGTTGTGAAGGCTTATGATGGTTCTTTTTAAATTGTAACTTAAATGACTGAAATAAATTGCTTTAACAAATGGCCTTGTGAAGCACACTCTTGTCAAACTAAATTTCATTCTCTTGGGGGAATCCACAGAAGAAGATTTAAGTAAAGATGAATGCAGTTGAGTCTTTTTAGACCAGTTCCCAAAGGCAATTCTAGGCCCTCAGATATTTCCCAGAAATTGTTGCCATTAAATCTAAAAAACAGGGAAAGTAGTCTCAATATGAGAGACTCAGAGGCCTTCAGTCAGGTTTGTCTTTGGGCAAGTTCTAACACATGTGAAACATTGTTGAACTGGAAGAAACCATTTTGCTGGAGATCACAGAATTTGGCCTTTATCTCTTGGTAAAATCACAATAAGTTGTTCATTGTAGCTATTTAACAAATGTAAGGAAACCATAGAAATTTAGCCCCTTCTGCTGATTACTACAACTGAAGCAAAATGCTATGTAGAGGCTCATGAAGTGATGAGCCGCACCCCACCTTCAGAGTTTCTTTGCTCTAATCTCAGTAATCATCCTTCACCCAGAAATCCTCTTCCCACACCCAGGATCATCCATGTTGGATGTTGAAGCTTGTTTTTCAAACATCTCTTCTTGGAATGGTGTATTAGTTAGATTTGCTGTATAACACATCACCCCAAAACATAGTGGTTTAAGAAGTAACCATTTATTTACCTTAAAATTCTGTTGGTTAGAAATGTGAGCTGGGTTCAGCTAATTGGCTTTTCTAGTTTGCACTGGATTCATTTATTCATCTTCTGTCAACTGCCAGGCAGTCTTGCAGCTGGTTGGTTTGGTTGGCTTCAGTGGAGATAGGTTATCTTTGTTCCATATGGGAGGTCATCCAACAGCTGGTTAGCCCAGACTTGTCCCTATGGCCACTGGGCAAGATTCTGAGGGAGTGTGGATGTGGAAGCTGCAAGGTTTCTTAAGGCCCATGCTCAGAAACTCACACACATTCCCTATTGCCACATTCTGTTAAGCAAGCAAGCCCCAAGGCCAATCCTGATTGGAGGGGTGAAGAAATAAACTCCACCTCTTTGTGGGAGAATCTGCATAGTCACATTACTAGTGATTTGGATACCAGGAGGGGCATGAATGAGACCATTTTTTTTTTTCAAACAGTGATGTCTATATACGTAGGTTTTTTTTTTTTTTCTTTTGGCCTGGAGGAGACTTTTGCTCACTTGGGATAGCTTTTTAAGCCAATGGAGGCTTATTTTCTATAGAGCTGAGATTGCATTTTTAAGGAGTTTCAAAATATAGGCCTACAGTTTGACAGTCTCCATGGGACTGAAGTGCCGTCTTTGTCTCTAATTACCAATGCCAAGCTCAACACAAGTGCTCAATGGGGCTGTGTTCCTACGGATGTTCACTTTAGTACCTACACCACACTAACATCATCTCTGCTGCTGGTTTTCTGTCATGCCCAAACTAATATGATAAACTATTGCCAAAGGACAGCACACCCAAATTTCTATAATCTAATTACATATGTTTTGCTTTATCTGTGGTGATTCCTAATCACTTGCTCTGTTGGTATTTCCATATTCATTCCATGTGTACTTATTGCACATGCAGATATTATCCAAGGAATGGAGCTGTCTCCATGGCTGGGGAGGTTTGAGTG
Source organism: Homo sapiens (assembly GCF_000001405.40). Classification (NCBI taxonomy): domain Eukaryota; kingdom Metazoa; phylum Chordata; class Mammalia; order Primates; family Hominidae; genus Homo; species Homo sapiens. The sequence goes on along the minus strand of NC_000011.10, from coordinate 43,223,201 downwards.
AGTGAAACCTCGGCTCACACTGCTTTTTTTTTGGATCAGCCTGCTTGAGGAGCTGCCTGGTGCCTGTGTGGGAGCAGATGTAGGAAAGTGCTGTGACCAGGCCGATTGTCCGAAGTCAGGATTTCTTATGGAAAACACATTAAAAACTTTCCCTGAACATCACATCACATACATCTGAGTTCAATGCAAATGTCGAGACAAATCTAAGAGTTGCCTTTTTTTTTTTTGATTACTTACTCTTTTGGACTGACCCCATCTGCTTTCCTTCCTTACAGAATAATCGACAGTTGACGGCATAATGCATGCATGGTACCTTATTTATGGTTTTTTATAGAGCCTGTTGCATGCTTCATTGTGCTTTATGAAACTCTAATCTATTCAGATTATAAATCTTCTCTTTTTTAGAAGCAGCTTCCTGCAGGACTTAAAATGTAGTAAATATTAAAATGGTAATGCTTTAAAATTGTACTGTGGGGCTGAAGAGTTAATTCTCTAATAATAAGGGCCTCCTATGAGACAGGCACTGCCTAGGTACATTAAATGCATAAATACAAAAATAAATAATTCTCACCGTGACCCTTCAAGTTGGGTTTGGTGGTGCTTGTTTCATTTATGAAGTAACTAAAGCTCTTAGCAGTTAATTAACTTAGAAGAGCACAGAATAACTGTGTGGCTAAACCAGAGTGGGAACTAAAGTCAGCCTGACTCCAGAACCAGTTCTTTTTCTACTACAATAGAATTCTTAGTATGATAATGGCCTCTGACTGCTGAGTCACTGCCACCATCATTTTGTAGGAATGCACTTACTTTTTCCTGGAAGAAGCAGGGCAATTTATCCCCTCATCTCCTCATCTTTATGATTTCATGACATAGATACAAAATGGAAGTCATCTTTTAAAAACTCACATGGGATTGGAATGGTAGACATTGCACAGACCTAGGGGAAAGGCACAGACATAGTGGGGGGCATGAGGTGGGTGGAGAGATTCAGGAAAAAAGCTTTTCTGCCAATCTTGAAAGGATGCAGTTTGAAAATTACATATATTAAAACTGAATGCTAAATTGGAAGAATGTACGTCATTAAAAGTTTGGCCAATGTCAGTGTCTTTTAAAAACTCTCAGACATAGGCTGTGGCCAGACTGACAACCTCTTCTCTCTCTCTCTTTTTTTTTTTTTGAGATGGAGTCTCGTTCTGTTGCCAGGCTGGAGTGCAGTGGCATGATCTTGGCTCACTGCAACCTCCGACTCCCTGGTTCAGGTGATTCTCCTGCCTCAGCCTCCTGAGTAGCTGGGATTACAGTTACATGCCACCACACCCAGTTATTTTTTGTATTTTTGTTTTTTTTGGTAGACATATGGTTTCGCCATGTTGGCCAGGATCGTCTGGATCTCCTGACCTCATGATCTGCCCACCTCAGTCTCCCAAGGTGCTGGGATTACAGGCGTGAGCCACTGCGCCTGGCTCCTCTTCTCTCTTGACCCAGAATTGGGTTTGGATGATTTTGCAAGTCCTTGGAGATTTTCTCAAATGAAGGCATCAGGTCAGACTCTTCCTAACACATCTCTTTATTATTATTATTGTTATTATTGTGAGTTGAAGTCAGTTACATCATAGCTGCTCCAACGAATCAGATGATCAGCTGTATGTAGGCAGTCCAGCCTTTCTCTGCACCCTGATGCTTCTAGGAGTGCCATTGCTCCAGAGCAGCATGCTTCACTCCATTAGCTTGGTTCTAGCAGAAAACCATAGGTTTTATTTCAAAGCTCTTTGGTTCCAGAACAGTATTTCCAAAGGGTGTTCCAGAACAGCACTTCTCAAGTCTGGGAAACTGTTGGAAATTAACAACATGCACCGGCCTATGAAAGGCTCATAGAAATGTTGTGTTTAATGCACCTTCTAAACTGTTTAATTCTGGGTAGAAATCAAAAGTTCCATTTTAGACCTGTCATGTTTGAGTTGTGGATTATGTATTTGAATGGAGGTATCCAGGGAGCAAGTGGATCTACGAGTCTGGCCCTCAGGGGAGAGATAAAGACTAGAGAGAAATGTTAGAAAATTATCAGCATATACATGTTTTCTAGTGCACTGGGAATCCCCCTATTATAAACAGAAAGGAGAAGAGGGCCCAGTCTGGAGCCGGGAACACTCTAGGGAACACATGGTTTCAAGGTGTAATAAAGTCACATTAAATAGGATGGAAAACTTAAAAAACACACACACACAAAGGAGATGTATTAATTATACTATTAAAACTTAAAAGCTGACCTAGATAATATTCATTTATATAAAACCATGGAAAGTATTCAGTGCTTTTACATTTAACTTTGGGCCTAATAATTTCAAAACAGTGACAGCTTTGCTGAAAATAATGTCTTAAAGAATTTTTCTTCTTCTGACAAACTCTCTTCTCAATAGTCCATAAGAGAGAATAGACAAACTTTTATTTACAGGTCCTGCTGTTTATGGTCCTTGTGGAGCCTCCTGAATTTTGGGTCTGGATGAATTGCTTTGGCTTCAGAGGTTGTGGGGAAGATACAGAAAAGTAGAAGAAAGAAATAAAAGAAATAAAAATGCAAGCTGAAATGAGCAAGGGGACACATTCATGGTCACACATACAAATGTACAGAAAGTAGTGGGGAAATGTAATAATTAATACGTGCATCATTGAAGGAAGAAATGTAAAAATATATTCACCAGAACCTACATTCAATGGGGGACAATTAAATTATAATGAGCATCATGAAATCATATATTTTCCCTGACTTTTAAAAAGTAATTTTTAAGGTGATACTATGGAATATTGGAAAAATGTTCCCCAAAGATGTGTGATATGGTTTGGCTGTGTCCCCAACCAAATCTAATCTTGAATTGTAACTCCCACAATTCCCACATGTCATGGGAGACACACAGTGGGAGATAATTGAATCATGGGGGCAGGTCTTTCTTGTGCTGTCCTTGTGATAGTGAATAAGTCTCATGAGATCTGATGGTTTTATAAAGGGGAGTTCCCCTGCACACATTCTCTTGCCTGCTGCCATGTAAGACGTGACTTTGCTCCTCATTCACCTTCCACCATGATTGTGAGGCCTCCCCAGCCATGTGGAACTCTGAGTCAATTAAACCTCTTTCCTTTGTAAATTACCCAGTCTTGGTCATGTCTTTATTAGCAGCATGAAAATGGATGAACACAATGTGAGTAGGACTCTTTAGTTCTCTTTTCTACTTTCCACATTATTTTTCACATGACTTCTCCCAGATTTCCAGGCTCTTATCCTGCTTGATCATCTCTGTTAAAGAAAACAATCCTGAGAACCAATTTACACAGAATATACAGTAGTCCCTCCTTGTCCACAGTTTTGCTTTTTGAGGTTTCAGTTACCCATGATCAACCGTGGTCTGACAATATTAAATGAAAAATTCCAGAAGTAAACAATCAATGAATTTTAAATTGTGTAACATTCTGGGCACCCAGGGTCTCACCCAGTCCTGCTGTTCCACCTAGGATGGGAATCATCCCCTTGTCCAGCATATTCACACTGCCTACACTCCCCACCCTTTACTCAATGAGTAGCCAGCTCGGTTATCAGATCGACTGTGATGGTATTGCAGTGCTCGTGTTTGTCACCCTTATTTGATTCCATAATGGCCCCAAAGTGCAAGGGTACTGATGCTGACATATTGCTGTAATTGTTACATTTTATTATTGTTGTTGTTAATCTCTTTCCGTGCCTCATTTATAAATTAAGCTGCATCATGGGTATGTATGGATAGAAAAAAAAACCCAGTTTTTATAGGATTTGGTACTACCTATGGTTTCAGGCATCTACTGGGGGTTTTCAAACATATGTCCCACGGATAAGGGGGGACTACCATACAATTAATTCATTTATTCATTGATTGCTGATTAATTTACTCATTCAGCAAACACTATTGAGCACTTACTACATCTTAGGCACTGTTCTAGTTCCAAGATTACAGCTGTGGACAAAATTCTATATATAAAATGTCTGCTTTCATGGAATTTACATTCAAGTTGGAATGGAGGTAAAATAAATAAATATAGAAATAAGGGACATATGTGTCAGATGGTGGTAATGCTATGGAAAAAAATAAAGCTGGAAAGAGGAGGGATGGTGGTGGGGTTGAAATTTCAGTAGGGCCATCATGGAAGGAATTGCTGACATTTGAGCAAAGATCAGAAGAAAGTAAAGAAGAGAGCTGTGCAGATATCTTGGGGAACATAACTATTATCTTTGTTGGAGTAGCAGGGAGAAGAAAATGTTAAACTTAAAGAAGTAAAATGTTAATAATGGCATTTCAGATGATAACTAGGAAGAAAATTTTGTTGCAAAGACCTTCTTGGAGTCCTATGTATCATGCCATGGAAGTCACTGCCAACACTACCAGTGGGAAAGGTCAATCCAGGATAGAAGTTTTGAGTCATTACTTACAAAGATGAAGACTCTGCTCTCTGGCAGATGACAGCCAATGAATGGATCTATTGTAAAAAGTGAAAGGCTCCCAGGAGCATGATAGGATGACAGGAGACATTTGAACATTATTAAGCAGAGAGAGAGAGAGAGAGCAAGAGAGTGAGAGAAAAGAGAGAGAGAGAGTCCACAGGGATTTATTTACCCATATCATCACAAACAGGGCTGGTTGCTTTGAGCAGTCAGGAAACCTGGTTTGGAGTGAGAAATAGTAGTTGAGTGTGAAGGCCAAGCTCTGAGTGGTAGACATAAGGCAGGTTTCTGGATCTGCTCTCACAGAGGTGAAGTAGGCTGCCCTTCCACTTTTGTGTGGACTGGGAATTGTGTACAGCTCATTGTTTTTGGGTTAAGAGCAAAAGCTTTGGAGCCAGATTTCTAAGATTCAAATTTAAATTATATCCCTTACCTGCTGTATGAACATAACCAATTCCCTTAACTACTCTGTGATTCAGTTTCCTCATCACCATCTTCTTTGTCATCGTTGTTGTCGTCGTCGTCGTCATCATCATCATCATCATCATCATCTGATTCTGGTTCCTATTCTTTCAGTGGCTTTTCCCATTAGTTGGACACTTTTGTCTGCAGCTTTTTCTCTCCCTGTATATTTCTGTGCCTGCCAAGTTATTCCCCAGCACCAGATTGGGCTTTCCTCGGTGTCTGGATTCCTCCCGAGTAGACATCCTGGATATCACCTGGATACAGGCTGTTTCAATTCAATTGGATCCAAAGTCAACAGACTGTTCTCCCTACAGGAGGAGAGGGTTGGGGGTTTAATATGTTCAGAAAATAAACTCATAGCTAGCATAAAAAGAAAACATTTCCCTTAACAATCTTTGTGAACTTATTTAGTTTAGGGTTTAAAGAAAACGTAGAGGCATCATATGTATCATAAAAATGATAGCTATTATTTTTTGAACATGTACAATGCACTTGGCACAAGGCTGGATTTTTAAAGAGTACAAATCTCTTAGCAATTCTGCTAGGTAGATATTCTGATGAGGAAGTATGAGGAAACTGAAACTCATAGTAATGACAGATTTATAAGGGACAATGCTAGCTCATGTTCTTTCTCTGACACAATTTTCTCCCATATATTGGTTTGATCATTTTTCCTGACCTCTGGATGCCCTATACATGTGTATGAAGCATAACTTAGTTTTAGATGGTAAGGGCAGCTTTTTTCAGTTAACGAATTTAATTATTTTCTTACCATGAAAGTAATACATGTCCAATATGGAAAATTTTGACATAGTAGATAAGTTGTCCAAGGTCATGCTGATGATAGGTGGCAGAGTTAAGGCTCAGCCTTTCCCAGAAACTATGTTCTCAGCCACTATTGTACGAAACCATTTCCCTATATTGGTCTCCTTTGGCTGACTCACCCACAGGGTCAAATACATTGGTATTTAACATACTGGCACATCTCAGTTCAGGGCACTTGTTTGGTTTTGTACACAGTTTCATCTGTCTTTAACATAGATTAACAGTATGGAATTTCTCTTTGCCAAATAGGCTGCCAATTTGGGGATAGTAACATTCTCCAGATTAAAAATGTAACTGAAAAAGCCAGTGATGCTAATGGAATTGATGTCCATACATGATAACTTGACTGCTTTTAAAGATTGTCTAGTGATCTGTGAAGTCATGTCTATGCATATTGATAAATTGTTTGCATTGTTTGGCTGGGGGTGTCTCAGGTCACCTCCTTCTTTACCTGTAGTTCTCCAAAGTCTACTTCTGCTAATTGGGATTGTTTTTGAGAATAATACCTTAGGCAGTGGTGGATAAATACATCATCACAATTAGTTTACTTTGTAAATATTTGTTTACTTCTATTTGTTTTCAGTCATAATTAAATGCAGTGAAAGCCCTATAAAGTGATAGAAAATGTGAATCAGGGCCTTAGACCCTTGCTTTGTACATTATAAGTTACACTAGCCAATAACTAGTGACTTTTCCATTTCTCAGATTACTTAAAATCCTCCATCAATCACAACAGTAGGAGAAATTTTAGTGCCTGGGATCATGTTTTAAACAATTTTTGGAGGAAGAGGGTGGTAAAATTGGATATATCTCAGAAAATATTGCAAATTCATTTCCTGTCAGTTGCAGAGAGTGAAGTTTTGTGATCTTCATCAGTTGATGATTGGAGGATAATACTCATGAGAACCTGAAATCAGAAGGAAAGCTGATTTTTAGCAAAGGCATCAACACGTCATGATATTAGGGACTGGAACCTATTTCTCATGCCTGAGGTGGAATAAAACAAAATACAGTTTCTTGTCACAAACATATTTAGAGAAATTTAAGAAATCTCCAGTTACAGTTTGATTGTGGCTCATAAGAATAATACTGCATTTATCTTCTCTAATCTATGAGTCTAAATGGAATGTAGACAGAAGTAATGACTGTCCAACTACTTGTCATGGTGGAGCTTCTTTGAGGGTGCTGGTGCAGTAGGAAGAACACTGGTGGTGAAGGCTGAAAGATTTCCTTTGATTTTCAGTTACTCCTCTTACTGATGTGTGACCTTAGCCATGTTATTTAATTTCTCTGAGTCCACATATTCTTATCTATAAAATGGAACTAGTAAAACATCCCTCAGATGTTTGTTATAAATATTAAATTTTAATGCATGTTAATGCCTACTGCTCAATAAATCTAGGTCCACAATTTAATTTTCAAAATTGTGAAATCTAAAAGTGGTGAAGGTTGTATCCTTGAAACCCTTTGGATGGCAAAACCTGAACTGTCTGATTTGATTTCATTTGGCAGAAAATTTTTTCCTAATCATGTTGTATTAGTTCATTTTCACACTGCTAATAAAGACATACTTGAGACTGGGTAATTTATAAAGGAAAGAGGTTTAATTGACTCACAGTTCAGCATGGCTGGGGAGGCCTCAGGAAACTTAACAACCATGGTGGAAGGGGAAGCAAACATGTCCTTCTTCACATGGCAGCAGGAAGGAGGAGTGTTGAGCAAAAGGGGGAAAAGCCCCTTATAAGACCATCAAATCTCGTGAGAACTCACTATCACGAGAACAGCATGAGGGTAACTGCCCCTATGATTAAATTACCTCCCACCAGGTCCCTTCCACAACACAAGGGGATTATGGCAACTCCAATTCAAGGTGAGATTTGGGTGGAGACACTGAGCCAAACGACATCACATGTGAAGCTATTTATAGTCTTTTTCCACCCTGTGTGAATATTAATAGGTATTGGTGAATTAATACTAGTGTTTGATTATTTGTGTTGTCTCAGACTCTACAAGGGGTGGTACATAATGTACAATTTAATATATTTCTAAAATGTAAAAAAATCCTGAATTCTGAACCATATGTGACTCCACGAATTTCTGATAAGGGATTTTAGACCTGCATTTCTTTCCTTTTAGAATGAAGGAATATCATTTTTATATTGGCTTATTCTGGTTAACATTATAATATCACAGTCATTTTGAGAAAATAATCTTTAGGATTTTTAAAAATAATTTTTGAAGTGATATTTTTACACTGCCTGAACTAAGATTTATGATCACAGTCTGAGAACTATCTTAGAATTCTTCACAAAGACCTTAAGACCTAGAACCTAGTAGCTTTTATGATGAGATAAAAATATCTCAAATTCTGATTTAGTTTGACTGAGTTAAAAGAGACCCTTTTACATTAGTCATAGTTACTTAATAAGTATCTGTTGAGATGAGTTGAAATCCTAAGAAATATGCATGAATTTTAGAACAGTAAGACAGTAGATGGAGGAAGAAAATTTGAATAGATTCTCATTTTTAACATGCCTGACTCAACTTTTGGTCTCTTTTCTGATAAAGTTATATTTTTTATTTAAAAAGACAAATCAGGTACTTTCTTGATTCTTAACTGCTGACTCACACATAAACATTATTCTTACACTTAGCATTGAGTTTGTGTATTTATTGCCAGAAATTGTGAAGACCAAGAAAGTTGCAGATACATATACTAGACAACCCAAAGGTAGGGACTAAGGGTGTCGGGGGGTGGGGGGGTGGAAACCAGACACTATCCATGGTACTGAAGCAGTCTGGTTCTTTTGCCAAGAGCATAGGCCACTTGCTGAATTATAACAAAAATCAAATGATGAATTGCCTGAAGTACCTGTAGCTCATTTAAAACAAATTCTGGGTTTAATTGAGCCTGTATCAAATAGATCATCCTATATTGAGAAGATGTTTTTGTAGTTTAAGATTTGTAAGAGAGATTATCAGTAGTACTCCAAACACATAGTGAATAGACCAGTGTAACTCACAAGCTACTAAAGAGAAATTATTTTGTAGGCTACATACTCACTGGGTAAAAACTAAAGTAATTTATTTAATTATCCTTTCGAGAGCTCTCTACATTAATTTTATGAATGCAATAGAAACACTGAAAAGCCACAGGAAAAAGAGGAAATTAACTTATATGAAAGTTGGTTATTAATTTTCCCTTCATATAGAAATACATTTTACTGTGTTTACAACAATGTAATTTCAGAGACAGTGAAAGTGTCTTAACTCACAAAGGAATCAAATAGAAATGGAATCAGAGAAAACATAGTCTGACCCTTTGAAGTGATGGGGGTTTCAGCATGTTAAGGTGCTTGATTTTGGTTCTTAGACCACTCTTGGTGCAACTTTCTTCTAAGATAGATAAATAAATATGAGTAAAGGCACAAGGGTAGGTTTTAGGTAAAACCAGGAGGTAGTAGAAGTGTGTTTTAATAAATTTATTCACCTTCTTTTTCACCTGTGGAGTATTAGTGCCTCCTCAATTCTCTTTTCTCTCTTTTATCAAACCAGCGCTTCCAGGAATGTTTGAATTGGAAACTTTTCCTTGAATTATAGAATGAAAGGCCTTTTTGTGTAATATGATTACAGACACCACAGAATAGGAGGTTTTCCAGGCAAGAGGATTATCTTTGTGCCCATGAAATCACCCAGTGAACTTGCTAAGAGCATGCCAGTTATGACATAGAATATTTTTAGCTCATATTCTGTGGAAAAAGTCTAGTAATGACTGAAATCTTGCATTTTTTAGCCTCCTACAATCCATTTTTTTTCACAGTGAGTCAGAGGGACCTTTGAAAAATACAAATTATATCACATTCTTTGTCCTATTTAAAATGATTTAATGGATTTCCTTTATCCTCAGAAAAAAAGTAGCCAGGGTTGTAACATGGCCTATGAGGCAGTGTAATAATATGGCCTCTGGTACTTCTCTTCACTCTTGGCAATCCAGACACATTGGTCTTGTTTTAGTTCTTTGAGAACTGCAGGATGGCAGGAAGTAGGTTTTTTTGAGTGCTCTATTTTCTAGTGCCTAGTGAGGTGCCATGATTAATAAGCAGTTTTTTTTTTTTGAGACATAGTCTCGCTCTGTCACGCGGGCTGGAGAGCAATGGCACGATCTCGGCTCACTGCAACCTCTGCCTCCCAGGTTCAAGCAATTCTGCCTCAGCCTCCTGAGTAGCTGGGATTACAGGCACCCGGCACCATGCGCAGCTAATTTTTGTATTTTTAGTACAGACAGGGTTTCACCATGTTGGTCAGGCTGGTCTCGAACTCCTGACCTCAGGTGATCCACCCACCTCAGCCTCCCAAAGTGCTGAGATTACGGGCATGAAATAAGTACTTTTTAAATGCATAAATGAAAGAAGGAATGAGTGCAGTGTTGTCACCATTCTAGTCTGTCTTGATAAAACTACCCCTGAAGATGGCTGACTACAAGCAGCAGCTTTCGGAGACTCCTGTCGAAAAAAAAAATTAGCGTGTGAATCCTTCACCGGCAACCAAAGTATCCAGGTTCTCTCATCAAAGTTGACTAGAAAGCTGGAGTGACTCACGGAGAGAAAGAACAGTGTGGTGCGCGGCCCACTTGAGAGCCACACGGGGAAGGGGAACCTCCTCCCCCTAGCCAAGGGAGGTGGCGAGTGAGTGTGCTACCCAGCCAGGGAAACTGTGCTTTTTCCACAGAACTGTGCAACCCACGGATCGGAAGATCCCACTCGCGAACCCATGCCACCGAGGCCTAGAGTCCCAACTCTGGCATGTGCAGATTCTTACAGCCTCTTAGCTGGAATCTGCTCAAGCCTACCGAACTCGGGAGGGGAGGGGCGACCAGCACCGACTGGGGGTGCCTGCTGACTAAGCCATTGGAGCTCCCTGGGGGAGGGACAGCAGCCAGCACTGGGACTCGCAACTGCCTAGCACGCTAAGATCCCTGGGCGGGGGAAGGGCGACACACATTTCTATAGCTCCAGGCTGTGTTTTTCCCCTTCTGGAGCCAGAGAGGCAGGGCAGCTTGGTCCCAAGACTTGTCCCCACAGCCTAACACACTGGCTGTGGCAGTTTCTGTGGCCAGAGTGCCTCTTCAGGCCTAAACCTGACCCAGCCTTCCTCATTGGGCGGGGCTTCCCTGCAGGATCTCCAATAACTCCAGCCAGAGGCTCAGGGACAGAATTGGAATTGGGGGAGGTGTCGCAGCAGTCTCTCTGGACCAGCGGACTTGGCCTCTTCTCCTGGCAGTTCTGAAGAATCCGGGCAGCCCAGATGAGAGGGATTCCCCCCAGCGAAGCACACCTTCTCCACCAAGGGACAAAGTGCTTCATTAAACGGGTCCTGCTCCCCATGTCACCCAACTGGGTGAGACCCCCCAACAGGGGTTGTCAGACACCCTTTACAGGAGTGATCCTACTGGCATCAGGTTGTTGCCCCTTGAGGTCAGAGGTCCCAGAAGGAGCAGGCACCAATCTTTGCTGTTCTCTAGCCTCTTTGAGTGACATCTCCTCGCTCGGTAGCAAATCAGATAAATAGGGCCTGAAGTGAACCCTCAGCAAACTGCAGCAGCCCTAAAGAAAAGGGACCTGACTATTGAAAGAAAAACAAACAAGCAGAAAGTGACAACAACAGCATCAACAACACAAAAGGCCCCCATAAAAACCACATCCAAGGATCAGCAGCCTCAAAGACTGAAACAAGACAAACTCTCGAAGATGAAAAAGAATCAATGAAAAAATGCTGAAAACCCAAAGGTCAAAGTACTTCTTCTCCTCCAAATAATTGCAACGTCTCTCCATCAAGGGTGCAGAACTGGATGGAGGATCAGATGGACAAATGTATAGAAATAGCTTTCAGAAGATGGATAATAAAAAACTATGCTGAGCTAAAAGAGCATGTTTTAACCCAATGAAAGAAGCATCAACAGTCGAATTGACAAGTGGAAGGAAGAATATCAGAGTTTGACATCTACCTTACTGAAATAAGACAAGTATACAAAAATAGAGAAAAAAGAATGAAAAGGAATGAACAGAGCTTGCAAGAAATATGGGACTTCATAAAAAGACCAGACCTATGATTGATTGGAGTACCAGAAGGAGACAGGGAGAATGGAAATGACCTGGAAAACACACTTCAGGATATTGTCCAGGAGAACTTCCCCAACCTAGCAAGGCACGTCAACATGCAAATTCAGGAAATACAGACAACACCATTAAGATACTCCATGAGAAGATCAACCCCAAGACATATAATCATCAAATTCTCCAAGGTTGAAATGAAAGAAAAACTGTTAAGGGCAGCCAGAGAGAAAGGCCAGGTCACCTATAAAGGAAAGCCCATCAGACTAACAGCAGATCTCTCACTAGAAACTCTACAAGCCAGAAGAGAGTGGGGGCCAATATCCAACATTCTTAAAGAAAAGAATTTTCAACCCAGAATTTCACACCCAGCCAAACTAAGTTTCATAAGCAAAGGAGAAATAAAATCCTTTCTAGGCAAGCAAATGCTGGGGGATTTCGTTGCTACCAGACCTGCCCTGCAAGAGCTCCTAAAAGAAGCATGAAATATGGGGAGGAAAAACAGGTAGCAGCCACTGAAAAAACACACCAAAATATTAAGATCGATGACACTATGAAGAAACTGCATCATCTAGTGTGCAAAATAACCAAATAACATCATAATGACAAATCAATTTCACACATAAAAATACTAACCTTAAATGTAAATGGGCTAAATACTCTAATTAAAAGACACAGACTGGCAAATTGGATAAGGAATCAAGACTGCAGGTGTTGTGTATTCAAGAGACCCATCTTACATGCAAAGACACACAGAGGCTCAAAATAAGGGGATGGAGCAAAATTTACCAAGCAAATGGAAAGAAAAAAAAAAGCAGGGGTTGCAATCCTCATCTCTGACAAAACAGACTTTAAACCAACAAAGATCAAGAAAGAGAAGGGCATTACATAATGGTAAGGGGAACAATTAAACAAGAAGAGATAACTGTTCTAAATATATATACACCCCATACAGGATCACCCAGATTCACAAAACAAGTTCTTAGAGACCTTCAAAGAGATTTAGACTCCCACACAATAATAGTGGGAGACTTTAACATCCCACTGTCAGTACGAGACCCTTCAATGAGACATAAAATTAACAAGGATATTCAAGACTTGAACTCAGCTCTGCATCAAGTGGACCTAGTAGACATCTACAGAAGTCTCTACCCCAAATCAAGAGAATATACATTTTTCTCAGTGTCACATGGCACTTATTCTAAAATCGACCACATAATTGGAAGTAAAATGCTCCTCAGTAAATGCAAAAGAACTGAAATCATAACAGTCTCTCAGACCACAGTGCAATAAGACTAGAACTCAGGATTAAGAAACTCACTCAAAACCACATAACTTCATGGAAATTGAACAACCTGCTCCTGAATGACTCCTGGGTAAATAATGAAATTAAGGAAGAAATCAAGAAGTTCTTTGAAACCAATGAGAACAAAGAGACAATGTACCTGAATCTCTGGGACACAGCTAAAGCAGTGGTAAGACGGAAATTTGTAGCACTAAATGCCCAGATCAGAAAGCTAGAAAGAGCTCAAATGACACCCTAACATCACAATTAAAAGAGCTAGAGATGCAAGAGCAAACTAATCCAAAAGCTAGCTGAAGACAAAAAATAACTAAGATTAGAGAAGAATTGAAGGAGACAGAGACATGAAAAACCCTCCAAAAAATCAATGAGTCCAGGAGCTGGTTTTTTGAAAAAATTAACAAAATAGATAGACCACTAGCTACACTAATAAGAAAAGAGAAAAGAATCAAATAGACACAGTAAAAAATGATAAAGAGGATATCGCCACTGACCCCACAGAAATATAAACTACGACCAAAGAATACTATAAACACCCTTCGCAAAATAAACTAAAAATCTAGAAGAAGTGGATAAATTCCTGAATGCATACAGCCTACCAAGACTAAACCAGGAAGAAGTCAAATCCTTGAATAGACCAATAACAAGCTCTGAAATTGAGGCAGTATTTAATAGCATACCAACCAATAAAAGCCCAGGACCAGATAGATTCACGGCTGAATTCTACCAGAAATACAAAGAGGAGCTGGTTCCCTTCTTTCTGAAACTATTCCAAACAACTAAAAAGAAGGGACTCCTCCCTAACTCATTTTATGAAGCCAGCATCATCCTGATACTGGCCGGCAGAGACACAACAACAAAAAAGAAAACTTCAGACCAATATCTCTGATGAACATTGAGGTGAAAATCTTCAGTAAAATACTGGCAAACTGAATCCAGCAGCACATCAAAAAACTAATCCACCATGATCAAGTTCACTTCATCCCTGGGATGCACAGCTGGTTCAACATATGCAAATCAGTACACATAATTCAACACATAAACGGAACCAATGACAAAAACCACATTCTTATCTCAGTAGATGCAGAAAAGCCCTTTGATAAAATTCAACATCCCTTCATGTTAAAAACTCTAAATAAACTAGGTATTGATGGAACATATCTGAAAATAATAAGAGCTATTTATGACAAACCCACAGCCAATATCATATTGAATGGGCAAAAGCTGGAAGCATTCCCTTTGAAAAACAGCACAAGACAAGGATGCCCTCTCTCACACCTCCTATTCAACATAGAATTGGAAGTTCTGGCCTGGGCAATCAGGCAAGAGAAAGAAATAAAGGATATTCAAATAGGATGAGAGGAAGTCAAGTTGTCTCTGTTTGAAGACAACATAATTTTATATTTAGAAAACCCCATGATCTCAGCCCCAAAACTTCTTGAAATAATAAGCAACTTCAGCAAAGTCTCAGGATAAAAAATCAATGTTCAGAAGTCACAAGCATTCCTTTACACCAACAACAGGCAAGCAGAGAGACAAATCATGAAAGAACTTCAATTCACAATCGACACAAAGAGAAAAAAACACGGAGGAATACAGCTAACAAGAGATGTGGAGGACCTGTTCAAGGAGAACTACAAACCACTGCTCAAGGAAATAAGAGAGGACACAAACACGTGGAAAACATTCCATCCTCATGGAGAGGAAGAATCAATATCATGAAAATGGCCATACTGCCCAAAGTAATTTATAGATTCGATGCTATTTCTATCAAACTACCATTGACATTCTTCACAGAATTAGAAAAAAACTATTTTAAATTTCATATGGAATTGAAGAAGACCCCATATAGCCAAGACAATCCCAAGCCAAAAGAACAAAGCTGGAGGCATAATGCTACCTGACATCAAACTATGCAACAAGACTACAATAACCAAAACAGCATGATACTGGTACCAAAATATACAGACCAATGGAGCAGAACAGAGACCTCAGAAATAACACTACACATCTACAACCATCTGATCTTCAATAAACCTGACAAAAACAAGCAATGGGGAAAGGATCTCCTATTCAGTAAATGGTGCTGGGAAAACTGATTAGCCATATGCAGAAAACTGAAATTGTACCCCTTCCTTACACTATGTACAAAAATTAACTCAAGATGGATTAAAGACTTAAATGTAAAACCCAAAATCATAAAAACTCTAGAAGAAAACCTAGGCAATACCACTCAGGACATAGGCATAGGAAAAGCTTCATGACAAAAATGCCAAAAGCAATTGCAACAAAAACCAAAATTGACAAATGGGATCTAATTAAACTAAAGAGCTTCTGCACAGCAAAAGAAACTATCATCAGAGTGAACAGGCAGCCTACATAATGGGAGAAAACTTTTGCAATCTACCCATCTGACAAAGGTCTAATATCCAGAATTTACAAGGAACTTAAACATATTTACAAGAAAAAACAAACAACCCCATCAAAAAGTGGGCAAAGGATATGAACAGACATTTCTCAAAAGAAGACATTTACGTGGCCAACAAACATAGGAAAAAAAGCTCAACATTTCTGATCATCAGAGAAATGCAAATCAAAACCACAATGAGATACCATCTCATGCCAGTCAGAATGGCAATTATTAAAAAGTCAGGAGGGTGGAGCCAAGATAGCCAAACAGGAACAGCTCCAGTCTACAGCTCCCAGTGTGAGCCATGCAGAAGATGGGTGACTTCTGCATTTCCAACTGAGGTACTGGGTTCATCTCACTGGGGAGTGTCGGAAAGTGGGTGCAGGACAGTGGGTGCAGTGCACCGAGCATGAGCCAAAGCAGGGTGAGGCATTGCCTCACCTGGGAAGTGCAAGGGGTCAGGGAATTCCCTTTCCTAGTCAAAGAAAGGGGTGACAGATGGCACCTGGAAAATCGGGTCACTCCCACCCCAATACTGCATTTCCCAATGGTCTTAGCAAGTGGCACACCAGGAGATTATATCCTGTGCCTGGCTCGGATGGTCCTATGCCCACGGAGCCTTGCTCATTGCTAGAATAGCAGTCTGAGATCAAACTGCAAGCTGGCAGCAAGGCTGGGGGAGGGGCCCCCCGCCATTGCCAAGGCTTGAGTAGGTAAACAAAGTGGCCAGGAACCTCAGACTAGGTGGAGCCCACTGCAGCTCAAGGAGGCCTGCCTGCCTCTGTAGACTCCACCTCTGGGGGCAGGGCATTGCCAAACAAAAGGCAGCAGAATCCTCTGCAGACTTAAATGTCCCTGTCTGACAGCTTTGAAGAGAGTAGTGGTTCTCCCAGCATGCAGCTGGAGATCTGAGAACGGGCAGACTGCCTCCTCAAGTGGGTCCCTGACCCCCAAGTAGCCTAACTGGGAGGCAGCCCCCAGTAGGGGCAGACTGACACCTCACACGGCTGGGTACTCCTCTGAGACAAAACCTCCAGAGGAACGATCAGGCAGCAACATATGCTGTTCACCAATATCCACTGTTCTGCAGCCTCTGCTGCTGATACCCAGGCAAATAGGGTCTGGAGTGGACCTCCAGCAAACTCCAACAGACCTGCAGCTGAGGGTCCTGACTGTTAGAAGGAAAACTAACAAACAGAAGGGACATCCACACCAAAACCGCATCTGTATGTCACCCTCATCCAAGACCAAATGTAGATAAAACCACAAAGATGGGGAAAAAACAGAGCAGAAAAACCGGAAACTCTAAAAATCAGAGTGCCTCTCCTCCTCCAAAGGAACGCAGCTCCTCACCAGCAATGGAACAAAGTTGGATGGAGAATGACTTTGACGAGTTGAGAGAAGAAGGCTTCAGACAATCAAACTACTCCGAGCTAAAGGAGGAAGTTTGAACCCATGGCAAAGAAGTTAAAAAACCTTGAAAAAATATTAAACAAATGGTTAACTAGAATAACCAATGCAGAGAAGTCCTTCAAGGACCTGATGGAGTTGAAAACCAAGCCACAAGAACTATGTGATGAATGCACAAGCCTCAGTGGCTGACTCGATCAACTGGAAGAAAGGGTATGAGTGATGGAAGATCAAATGAATGAAATGAAGTGAGAAGAGAAGTTTAGAGAAAAAAGAATAAAAAGAAACAAACAAAGCCTCCAAGAAATATGGGACTATGTGAAAAGACCAAATCTATGTCTGATTGGTGTACCTGAAAGTGAAGGGGAGAATGGAACCAAGTTGGAAAACACTCTGCAGGATATTATCCAGGAGAACTTCCCCAATCTAGAAAGGCAGGCCAACATTCAAATTCAGGAAATACAGAGAATGCCACAAAGATACTCCTCAAGAAGAGCAACTGCAAGACACATAATTGTCAGATTCACCAAAGTTGAAATGAAGGAAAAAATGTTATGGGCATCCAGAGAAAAAGGTCGGGTTACCCACAAAGGGAAGCCAATCAGACTAACAGCTGATCTCTTGGCAGAAACTCTACAAGCCAGAAGAGAGTGGGGGCCAATATTCAACATTCTTAAAAAAAGAATTTTCAACCCAGAATTTCACATCCAGCCAAATTAAGCTTCATAAGTGAAGGAGAAATAAAATACTTTACAGACAAGCCAGTGCTGAGAGATTTTGTCACCACCAGGCCTGCCCTAAAAGAGCTCCTGAAGGAAGCACTAA
Source organism: Homo sapiens (assembly GCF_000001405.40). Lineage (NCBI taxonomy): Eukaryota > Metazoa > Chordata > Mammalia > Primates > Hominidae > Homo > Homo sapiens. The sequence goes on along the minus strand of NC_000011.10, from coordinate 43,205,388 downwards.
ACATGGAAAGGAAAAACCGGTACCAGCCACTGCAAAAACATGCCAAATTGTAAAGACCGTCAAGGCTAGGAAGAAACTGCATAAACTAATGAGCAAAATAACCAGCTAACATCATAATGACAGGATCAAATTCAAACATTACAATATTTATCTTAAATGTAAATGGGCTAAATGCTCCAGTTAAAAGACACAGACTGGCAAATTGGATAAAGAGTCAAGGCCCATCAGTGTGCTGTATTCAGGAAACCCATCCCATGTGCAGAGACACACATAGGCTCAAAACAAAGGGATAGAGGAAGATCTACACAGCAAATGGAAAGAAAAAAAAGGCAGGGGCTGCAATCCTAGACTCTGACAAAACAGACTTTAAACCAACAAAGATCAAAAGAGACAAAGTAGGCCATTACATAATGGTAAAGGGATCAATTCAACAAGAAGAGCTAACTATCCTAAATATATATGCACCAGATACAGGAGCACCCAGATTCATAAAGCAAGTCCTTAGAGACCTAGAAAGAGACTTAGACTCCCACACAATAATAATGGGAGACTTTAACACCCCACTGTCAACATTAGACAGATCAACGATGCACAAAATTAACAAGGATATCCAGGAATTGAACTCAGCTCTGCACCAAGTGGACCTAATAGACATCTACAGATCTCTCCACCCCAAATCAACAGAATATACATTCTTCTCAGCACCACACCGCACTTATTCTAAAATTGACCACATAGTTGGAAGTAAAGCACTCCTCAGCAAATGTAAAAGAACAGAAATTATAACAAACTGTCTCTCAGACCACAGTGCAATCAAACTAGAACTCGGGATTAAGAAACTCACTCAAAACCGCTCAACTACATGGAAACTGAACAACCTGCTCCTGAATGACTACTGGGTACATAATGAAATGAAGGCAGAAATAAAGATGTTCTTTGAAACCAACGAGAACAAAGACACAACATACCAAAATCTCTGGGACACATTCAAAGCAGTGTGTAGAGGGAAATTTATAGCACTAAATGCCCACAAGAGAAGGCAGGAAAGATCTAAAATTGACACCCTAACATCACAATTAAAAGAACTAGAGAAGCAAGAGCAAACACATTCAAAAGCTAGCAGAAGGCAAGAAATAACTAAGATCAGAGCAGAATTGAAGGAAATAGAGACACAAAAAGCCCTTCAAAAAATCAATGAATCCAGGAGCTGTTTTTCTAAAAAAATCAACAAAATTGATAGACTGCTAGCAAGACTAATAAAGAAGAAAAGAGAGAAGAATCAAATAGACGCAATAAAAAATGATAAAGGGGATATCACCACCGATCCCACAGAAATACAAACTACCATCAGAGAATACTATAAACACCTCTACGCAAATAAACTAGAAAATCTAGAAGAAATGGATAAATTCCTTGACACATACACCCTCCTAAGACTAAACCAGGAAGAAGTTGAATCACTGAATAGACGAATAACAGGCTCTGAAACTGAGGCAATAATTAATAGCTTGCCAACCAAAAAAAGTCCAGGACGAGATGGATTCACAGCCGAATTCTACCAGAGATACAAGGAGGAACTGGTACCATTCCTTCTGAAACTATTCCAATCAATAGAAAAAGAGGAAATCCTCCCTAACTCTTTTTATGAGGCCAGCATCATCCTGATACAAAAGCCTGGCAGAGACACAGCAAAAAAAGAGAATTTTAGACCAATATCCCTGAGGAACATTGATGCAAAAGTCCTCAATAAAATACTGGCAAACCAAATCCAGCAGCACATCAAAAAGCTTATACACCATGATCAAGTGGGCTTCATCCCTGGGATGCAAAGCTGGTTCAACATATGCAAATCAATAAACATAATCCAGCATATAAACAGAACCAATGACAAAAACCATATGATTATCTCAATAGATGCAGAAAAGGCATTTGACAAAATTCAACAAAGCTTCATACTAAAAACTCTCAATAAATTAGGTATTGATGTGACATATCTTAAAATAATAAGAGCTATCTACGACAAACCCACAGCCAACATCATACTGAATGGGCAAAAACTGGAAGCATTCCCTTTGAAAACTGGCACAAGACAGGGATGCCCTCTCTCACCACTCCTATTCAACATAGTATTGGAAGTTCTGGCCAGGGCAATTAGGCAGGAGAAGGAAATAAAGGGTATTCAACTAGGAAATGAGGAAGTCAAATTGTCCCTGTTTGCAGATGACATGATTGTATATCTAGAAAACCCCATCATCTCAGCCCAAAATCTCCTTAAGCTGATAGGCAACTTCAGCAAAGTCTCAGGATACAAAATCAATGTGCAAAAATCACAAGTATTCTTATACACCTATAACAGGGAAACAGAGAGCCAAATCATGAGTGAACTCCCCTTCACAATTGCTTCAAAGAGAATAAAATACCTAGGAACCCAACTTACAAGGGACGTGAAGGGCCTCTTCAAGGAGAACTAGAAACCACTGCACAATGAAATGAAAGAGGATACAAACAAATGGAAGAACATTCCATGCTCATGGGTAGGAAGAATCAATATCGTGAAAATGGCCATACTGCCCAAGGTAATTTATAGATTCAGTGCCATCCCCATCAAGCTACCAATGACTTTCTTCACAGAATTGGAAAAAACTACTTTAAAGTTCATATGGAACCAAAAAAGAGACCGCTTCGCCAAGTCAATCCTAAGCCAAAAGAACAAAGCTGGAGGCATCACGCTACCTGACTTCAAGCTATACTATAAGGCTACAGTAACCAAAACAGCATGGTACTGGTACCAAAACAGAGATATAGATCAATGGAACAGAACAGAGCCCTCAGAAATAATACCACACATCCAAAACCATGTGATCTTTGACAAACCTGACAAAAACAAGAAACAGGGAAATGATTCCCTATTTAATAAATGGTGCTGGGAAAACTGGCTAGGCATATGTAGAAAGCTGAAACTGGATCCCTTCCTTACACCTTATACAAAAATTAATTCAAGATGGATTAAACACTTACATGTTAGACCTAAAACCATCAAAACCCTAGAGGAAAACCTAGGCAATACCATTCAGGACATAGGCATGGGCAAGGACTTCATGTCTAAAACATCAAAAGCAATGGCAACAAAAGCCATAATTGACAAATGGGATCTAATTAAACTAAAGAGCTTCTGCACAGCAAAATAAACTACCATCAGAGTGAACAGGCAAGCTACAGAATGGGAGAAAATTTTTGCAATCTACTCATCTGACAAAGGGCTAATATCCAGAATCTACAATGAACTCAAACGAATTTACAAGAAAGAAACAAACAACCCCATCAAAAAGTGGGCAAAGGACATGAACAGACACTTCTCAAAAGAAGACATTTATGCAGCCAAAAGACACATGAAGAAATGCTCATCATCAGTGGTCATCAGAGAAATGCAAATCAAAAAGACAATGAGATACTATCTCATACCAGTCAGAATGGCAATCATTAAAAAGTCAGGAAACAACAGGTGCTGGAGAGGATGTGGAGAAATAGAAACACTTTTACACTGTTGGTGGGACTGTAAACTAGTTCAACCATTGTGGAAGTCAGTGTGGCAATTCCTCAGGGATCTAGAACTAGAAATACCATTTGACCCAGTCATCCCATTACTGGGTATATACCCAAAGGATTATAAATCATGCTGCTATAAAGACACATGCACACGTATGTTTATTGCGACACTATTCACAATAGCAAAGACTTGGAACCAACCCAAATGCCCAACAATGATAGATTGGATTAAGAAAATATGGCACATATACACCATGGAATACTATGCAGCCATAAAGAATGATGAGTCCATATCCTTTGTAGGGACATGGTTGAAGCTGGAAACCATCATTCTCAGCAAACTATTGCAAGGACAAAAAACCAAACACTGCATGTTCTCACTCATAGATGGGAATTGAACAATGAGAACACATGGACACAGGAAGGGGAACATCACACACTGGGGCCTGTTGTGGGGTGGGTGGAGCGGGGAGGGATAGCATTTGGAGATATACCTAATGTTAAAATGATGAGTTACTGGGTTCAGCACACAAACATGGCACATATATACATATGTAACTAACCTGCACGTTGTGCACATGTACCCTAAAACTTAAAGTATAATAAAAGAAAAAAAAGTCAGGAAACAATAGATGTTGGCAAGGCTGTGGAGAAATAGAAATGCTTTTAAACTGTTGGTGGGAATGTAAATTACTTCTCCATTGTGGAAGACAGTATGGCAATTCCTCAATGATCTAGAACCAGAAATGCCATTTGCCCAGCAGTCCCATTACTGGGTATATACTGAAAGAAATGTAAATCATTCTACAATAAACACACATGCACATGTATGTTTATTGCAGCACTATTTATAATAGCAAAGTCATGGAACCAACTGAAATGCTTATCAATGATAGACTGGATAAAGAAAATGTGGTACATATACACCATGGAGTACTATGCAGCCATAAAAAGGAATGAAGTCATGTTCTTTGCAAGGACATGGATGAAGCTGGAAGCCATTATCTTCAGCAAACTAATACAGGAACAAAAAACTGAACACAGCATTTTCTCACTCATAAGTGGGAGTTGAACATTGAGAACACATAGACACAGAGAAGGGAACCACACATACAGGGTCTGGTGGGTAGGTGAGGGATGAGGGGAGGGAACTTAGAGGATGGGTCGATGGGTGCAGCAAAGCCCCACAGCACACGTATTCCTATGTAACAAACCTGCACATTCTGCACATGTATCCTGTTTTTTTTTTTTAGAAGAAAAAAAACTACCCCCAATTCTGGTGTTGTCCTTCATTTAACAAATAACATATTGAGTACTTGCTATGTGATAGGCACTCTACTAGGTGCTGCTAAACGACAAGTACAGTATATAGTAACCAAGCTGTTGGGAATTAAGGGTGGCCTCCTAGGGTAGGTTACAATTTCAGATTTAGAGATCTAGTTATGCAGAAATTATGGAGAGTATGACTGTAAAACTCTGCATTTTGGCTGCTTTTAGACTTGACAGAAGACTCAATCTCCAGGGAGGCATAACTGTTATTAAAACAAAAGTGAAACGATGTTTCTTTCCAACAAGAACAAATTAATGTCAGCCACTAATTATGTTTGCAGAGTGAAAAGTGATGAGATCCATATGCCTTTGCTACCATGAGGTTCATAAGGGCAGAGACCTCAGGCTCCATTGACTCATTTTCTGCCCCCTAGCCATTTTATCTTGGACTTAATGGGAATGAGATCATGGGCTGTTCTCCCAAAGTCTATTCTAGGCCTGAAGGCATTAGATGCCTTACTGTGTCATTTTATTAACAAAGTGCTCAAGGTGTTCAAAATTTATTTGGCAAGTTGCGGCAGAATGATCACCTCTTCCAGAGAAATTTCAGTGTATTAGAGAGAAGGGGCATTAGAAGGAAGCTAAGTTAGAACCGATCCGTTTCTACAAGAAATTGTAATTGAAGACTAATTTAATGTTAATTTTGGATTCGTAGAAAATTTGTATCTGTTGCATGACTTGTTCCAAATTGGCTTTTAGGGAAAAATTTAATTCTCTCCTCTTGTGCTACTAGTGTATATGTGTAACAGATAAATATTTATAGGAATGATATACATAGATATGAATTGTTTGATTTCATTAATTTTATAAAAACAAGTAATTTGAATATGACTATCTGAATACAGTTATTTTCTGATAATAATGATACTAAATTGCTGCAAAGTTGGCCATTCACATAGGGTACTGTGTCAGCCAGATTTATAACTTTATAACTTCAATTTTGAAGTATAATTTTAAGACTTTAAGAAAGAAAAGTGGGACCTTAAGACATGATTGCTTTTTAGTCTGCCTCCAGAAAAGAATAATTTGCATAAAATTAACTTTATGATAAATATTATCCTCTGTTTGATTCTTGGACTGCATGCAGCAGTGTCTCCATGAAGAAGTCTTTATTCTAGAGAGTTTTACAAAAAAAGGAATCGCAGTTCCTCATCTGTATGAAGGGCCATCATTGCTTGCACGTTTTAGTCAACCTCATATAATTTCACATTACAGTCACAGTCTTTGAGTCTGTTCTCTCAGTTAAATCATCTTCTGTTCGAATATTATACTATCTCCACTTGACACACCAACAAACATTATCAGTCACAGAAATTATAGGTATTAAAGTACTTGGCTTCCTTGTCTTATGTTTTTCTTTTGACAGTTAAGATATCTGTTATCATCTGGTTATTACATCGGTAGTTAAGTGCAAGCTTCAACATGGCAATATTCTCTTTGGATCATGTATGCTAACTTCCCATGAAACTAGGCTGGAAAATCGAGAAATATGCCCATATGAACCTCATGGTAGCAAAGATCTTGGAAAATTCTGTGTAATATATGACGACTCTTGGAAATCCACAATGCATATGAACAGGTTAAGGTCTCCTGAGAAGTGCTTCAGTAAAAAATTCGTTCCCAGGATTTTCTGAACTTAGTTGACTTTTGAACCTCTTTCAGTAATATCAGTTAGTATACCACAATGGAAGTACTCTTTTAGTCCAATCTGTTGAATTTAGGCTCTCCCAACATTCATAAATAAGCTTGGAATTTAACTCTGGGCCTAAGGATGTGTATCATCTCATATCTGTTACCCTATGGATAACTACCTCTGTGGCTGGTTTGGATGATCAGATAGCTTAAGTAGATATTCTATTCTCTCTACAATGTTTTAGGCACACATTTCTATTCCACTGAGGAGAACAACTTTCTCAGACAGAGGAAAACTTTTCCTTAGAAAACAGTACAACAGTAGTTTTCTTTTCCTACCATAATACAAACATATCTTTATCCCCATTTTTTTTTGAAATATGGAACTTTGATTTGAAGTTTTTCACAAGCTTGTTAGGAATGTTAAAGTTGTGACATCTTTGCCCATTAACGTTTACTTTTTAAAGAATAGTATAAGCACAGGGCAGGATGATCCAATGAAGTTCACTGAGTGGGTCTGGTCAGAGTGGAACTGAGGATCTGTTGGAATGTGAGCACTAGAGAAACTCTTCAAATGGTCTAGGTATATTATAAATGTGAAGTTTGGCTTGATAATAGGTTGAATGTACTTACAAATCACTTAGTGACTTCATATGATACACTATTCTATTCCAGAAATTTTCATCTTTGTCTTCAGTGTAGACTCCTGGGCAACCCTCGTTACTGCCTGTCATCACAATATACTCCTATTTTACCCCATTTTTATTCCCAATGCCCCTTCCTCAGGCCTGATGACCAATCTGGGGCTGTTTCTGTAGTTTAATGAAGAATGTAGAGTCACAATTGATATTTTATCAGGGCCTCCACTTTGCAGGTTTAAAATATTCCCTGTGGTATTAGTAAAATCAAAATAATTTTGGCTTGCATACTGTCATGCAGATGAATCTAGTACCACATTCTTCCTGGTCTTAGATGCTGCTTGACCTCTACCAGAAGACAGCAATTATCCCCTACTGCATGCTCCTCAACGTACTTCTTAGAGAAATGATTGACACCTGTGCAAGTAAATCCACTGTAGAAATTAAACAAACTGGTTTGGGCCTCTTAGAGGAGGTAATTTGCAATGTCAGATATGAGGGAGAATGGCTTTTCTGCAGGAAAGAGTTTCAATGGCATAAGAAAGATAAATAGTGCTGAATGAAAGGGTGAATAAAACCCTGGACAGTTTGAAATTCCTTAGGAAGAACCTGGGAGTTAAACATTTTCTTTCTTCTTTTATCTCTTGTCTGTCTCATATTTCAGTTTTATTGCCCCTCTTTCGCTGCCCATGGTGCTGAATTATGATGAGCCCTAGACTTAGTTTAACCTTAGCAATTTCCTGACCCACACTTTCTTTTAAGGTAGAAAATGACTCAGACTACTTCTTTCTCTGCAGTCATGACTATTATTAAATCTTTTACAATAGTCATATCTAATTTCTTTTTATGCTTCCCCCTCACCAATGCACTGGGCAATATGTCTGGCAGGGAGAGCATAGACACCATCTTTGGTGAAAATTACATCAAAGGCTGAAGCTAAGATCCAATAAGTGTACTCATTTAATTAGAAAAGCAGGCCAGGATATTTCAGAGTACCTGTGGATGGCCTTTTCCTTTGCAGAGGTTTCTAATTCTGGCTTTATATTTTACTAGCTGTATTGCCTAAAGGCAATTACATAAACTTACTTTCATTTGTTCATTTTTCAATTGAGGAAACAGAAATTCCTATATTGTAGGGTTATTTTGAGTATAATGTGAGATAATATAATGTTTAGCACAGAACCTGACATAGATACACAATTAATATTAGTTTCTTTTCCTTCTTTGAATACCAGTGGATACTGTCTTAATGTTCCAGAAGGAAGTTGGTGATCTTGATGACAAAGCTATAAATCTAAGGTTTTTTTTTGGTATTGAGTTTCCTAACATTGTTTCAAATGACAGAAGCTCTAAGATCTGATATTCGGGCTCTCTAAAGAAAGCATATAGTAATGAAGGAAAAAATTTATTTGAGAAAAAGCTCTGGATCATCCAGGTTGAAACAAAGTAGGGAATTTCAGATTCTTTAAACAATGGTAGTAGATACATGCTAAATGTCATCTAACATGTTTAACAATGTAAGTACATTTGTAATCTTTTTTTTCGGTCATTGGTGGCAGTATTGGTGGTGATGGTTCTAAGAAATGGCCTTTCCAGTGACTGAGTTTAGATGGGGCTTGAATCTTGAATTGGGCTTGGTTATCAAAAGCTAGACCAATTTTCTGTCTCCACCAAATAGGCAAATTTCTGGAGAAGCTCAAGTAGTAAGATGAGTGCTGGATGGGGTAAATAAGTCAAAGGCTGAGTTTCACAGGCTTGGGCAAAGGTGTGTGTGTGTGAGTGTGCTGGGAGGGATGTGAGGCAATGTTGTGTCTATACTTTATCCATATAGAGGCATTGAGCACTCACAGGAAGTATGTTATGGTTTAGGGCACCAGTACTGGCAATAGACAGACCTGTGTTCAAATCCCAGGTCTACCACTTATTTTGTCCAACACTTAATAAAAACACACTTAATAGAAAACTCAACTCTGGTTACATTTAAGGATAAGATTGCTTATTTTCTCACACATCAATAAATACTGAAAATAAGTATTTCCTATGTCTAATATGCCAGAGCTCTGACTCTATCTCTCTGTGATTCTTTTCGTATTCTTTTGCTTTTTTCAGCAAGTTGGTTTAATATTTAAGTTGGCAGAAAGATGGCAGCAGCAGTTCTAGGTACCACATCCAGGCAAGAAAGTCTTGAGGAAAAGAAGAGAGATTAGTTTCTTTCTGTGTCTCTTCTGTAGGAGTGACACAACTTTTCAAAAAATGCCACAGCAAACTTCTTCTCACTTTTCTCTGACCAGAATAGGCTAATATGTCCATTTATAAATCAATCATAATAGGAAAACAAGATCATTATGATTAACTTAGAAGAAAAAAAATCTACTCTAAGAGCTTGGGATGAGTATCACACTTAATCTTTTGATGCAGGGTGGATACCTGAACAAAATTTGTGCTCGCTTAGGAAGAAAGAAGGGACAGGAAACCAGCAGTATATGCTGCAACTTGCTAGCTTATTTGAGATTCAGATTTTCCATTTGTATAATGTGCACGTTACATACGTAGAAAAGATTTAATGAAATAACAAAGGTAAAGTATTCCGCACAATACCTGATACAGAGTAAACATTTAATAAAAACAAAATACTTGGCGGTTGAGATACCACATTTATTGGCTACAAGACTGATTCAAAACTTTTACTAATTTGTGTGGTTATATTCCTGAGAAGCTTTCTGAACTTGTCCTGACTGGCTAAGAAACTAGAATAATCTTGAAATTCTAGATAAAGTCAATGGCTCTGTTTGGGGTTGAGTTCAGATGGTAGTGCCACTGAAGATGGCCTTTGGTCCATTTCTTATACAGATAGACTGAGTTTGCATTAGGAAGTGGGAAAATGCTTTGATAAAATCAGTGTGCCATTGTGGTCATGTGGACCTGTGTGTGGGAGTTTGCGTGTGCAAGTGTGTGTGTGCCTGCACATACCTTATGTATGCTATGTTCAGCTTTTATCTTGCTTCCAAGTCACTTGGCTGAGCACTTCAATTATTTTAAAAGTATCAGTAAAGTATGAGGACTATAGCAAGATAACAAGAGGGCACAAGGGCAATGTCAGCAGAGCTGCCACACTGCACAACTCCAGGGTTGTCCCCCAGGGCTGTGTAGTACAGGGTTTGTGCAGCTATGTGTGATGGCCCTAGATGTCAGTGACTTTTACAACAGGATACAAACTTTGCACAGATAATTGCATGGGAGAAGAGGGCACATGGTTTATACTCATTAACTTAGTTCTCTTGTAGTTAATTGCTCCCTCATAAAGTGCGTGGTATGTGGATTCTTTCTTCTTTAATAAAAGGCAGAATGACTCATCCTTTACCGTTTTATCCAAAATAATTTTATCAGCACACAATGAGTCTATGATGCCCTGATATTAACTATCTCTTAAAGGACTTGAATACTCTTACAATCAGAAGTTAATTCTTATTCTTTTTTTTAAATAAGTGAGAAATAATTTATTTTTCTTTTATCTTCTTTATTTTTGGCTTAATTATTTTCTTAAGAATCCATTTCCCATTTTTGTACCCTTATTTATTTATTTATTTATTTATTTATTTATTTATTTATTTATTTATTATACTTTAAGTTCTAGGGTACATGGGCACAACATGCAGGTTTGATACATAGGTATACATGTGCCATGTTGGTTTGCTGTACCCATCAACTCATCATTTACATTAGGTATTTCTCCTAATACTATCCCTCCTCCAGGCCCCCACCCACTGACAGGCCCTGGTGTGTGATGTTCCACACCCTGTGTCCAAGTGATCTTATTGTTCAGTTCCCACCTATGAGTGAAAACATGCATTGTTTGGTTTTCTGTCCTTGTGATGGTTTGCTGAGAATGATGGTTTCCAGCTTCATCCATGTCCCTGCAAAGGACATGAACTCCTCCTTTTTTATGGCTGCATAGTATTCTATGGTGTATATGTGCCACATTTTCTTAATCCAGTCTATCATTGATGGACATTTGGGTTGGTTCCAAGTCTTTGCTATTGTGAATAATGCCACAATAAACATACGTGTGCATGTGTCTTTATAGTAGCATGGTTTATAATCCTTTGGGTGTATACTCAGTAATGGGATTGCTGGGTCAAATGGTATTTCTAGTTCTAGATCCTTGAGGAATCACCACACTGTCTTCCACAATGGTTGAACTAATTTACACTCCCACCAATAGTGTAAAAGCATTCCTATTTCTCCACATCCTCTCCAGCATCTGTTGTTTCCTGACTTTTTAATGATTGCCATTCTAACTGGTGTGAGATGGTATCCCATTGTGGTTTTGATTTGCATTTCTCTGATGACCAGTGATGATGAGCATTTTTTCATGTGTCTGTTGTCTGCATAAATGTCTTCTTTTGAGAAGTGTCTGTTCATATCCTTTGCCCACTTTTTGATGGGGTTGTTTGTTTTTTCTTGTAAATTTGTTTGAGTTCTTTGTAGATTCTGGATATTAGCCCTTTGTCAGATGAGTAGGTTGCAAAAATTTTCTCCCATTCTGTAGGTTGCCTTTTCACTCTGATGGTAGTTTCTTTTGCACGCAGAAGCTCTTTAGTTTAATTAGATCCCATTTGTCAATTTTGGCTTTTGTTGCCATTGCTTTTGGTGTTTTAGACATGAAGCCCTTGCCCATGCCTATGTCCTGAATGGTATTGCCTAGGTTTTCTTCTAGGGTTTTTATGATTTTAGGTCTAACATTTAAGTCTTTAATCCATCTTGAATTAATTTTTCTATAACGTGTAAGGAAGGGATCCAGTTTCAGCTTTCTACATATGGCTAGCCAGTTTTCCCAGCACCATTTATTAAATAGGGAATCCTTTCTGCATTTCTTGTTTTTGTCAGGTTGAAACAAATAATTTTTAACAGCTTTGCAGAATGTGTTATAGTGTGGTGACTGAGCCTGTAGATTCTTGCTTAAGACTGCCTGGATTCAGATACCAACTACTTTACTATCTGCAACTTTTGCTGCCTCTCTATCACTTTCTTCCACTGTAAAATGGGGATAATTATAGAGCTGACCACATGAGATTGTTTGGAAGTCTAAATGAATTGATAGATGCACAGACCTTAGAATAACGCCTAGGCCAAAGTAAACAGTCAATAAAATTTGCTGTGGCCTGGCACAGTGGCTCACACCTGTAATCCTAGCACGTTGGGAGGTCGAGGCAGGTGGATCACCTGAGGTCAGGAGTCTGTGACCAGCCTGACCAACATGGCTAAACCCTGTCTCTACTAAAAATACAAAAATTAGCCAGGTGTGGTGGCAGGTGCCTATAATCCCAGCTACATGGGAGGCTGAAACAGGAGAATCTCCTGAACCAGGGGGGCAGAGGTCGCAGTGAGCAGAGATGGCACCACTGCACTCCAGCCTAGGCGACAGAGCAAAATTCTACCTTGAAAAAAAAAAGTTTGCTGTGATTATCATTATAATACCCAACACATCAATACCCAAATAACAGTAGCTTAACTAATAACGACATACGTATTATGCAGTAAAACGTTCTCAGGCAATTTTCAGTGGCTCAATGATGCTATTAAAGACTAAGACTTTTCCGTCACTCTAGGTGGGTTGATTCACCTTCCTTGTGTTTGTAACTTCACGGTCACAAGATGGCTACCAGAGTTCTAGGCACTGCGTCCCTAGCATCCCAAGTGGTAAGCAGAATATTATGTGGGAAAAGGATCTCCTTTTATTAGTGAAGAAAATTTGTTCCAGAAGCCTACTAGATGTTCCCTTATGCCTTATTAACCAGAGCCAAGCCTTGTAGCCATTTCTAGTTGCAAAGGGGGCTGAAAAAGAGACTATTTGGCAAAGGAGAATGAAGTTGTCATGATTGATTTAGAGCAATCATGACTTATCTTTTGGAGCTGGGCACATTGAAGCCTGAACAAAATACTTTTTTTTTTTTTTTAAATCTACGAAGACTTTGGGGCAGAAGGCACAATGGCTATAGGACAGGAAACTAATAGTGTCAGTTACAGGTAGGGATTGTGCCTTTCTTTCAAAAAATATCTAAGCCTGACCCAACAATCTCCATAAATATTGGAATAAATAAAACCCCTTTAGCAGATAAGCTGAGGGCCAGAGGGCAGAAAGTATATGACTTTCCTAAGACTACACAGCTGGTTAGAAGAATAAGTGGAACTAAAGGTCCCCTGTGTTAACTTCTGGCCTGGAGTTCTTCCTACTAGCAAAGCCATATCCTGGGTTTGTCTTACTTTTTATGGAAAATTTATTGCAACATGTTTTCTTTCTATTTGTTTGATAAAATGGTTCAACCTACACAAGATAGGCATTTCTCTTCAGAGTTAGGTAAGGGATACAGAGTTCAATCAACCATGTCCCTCTTTTACTAAACCATAATCATGGGGTAATACTACTGGCATGTAATAGACTGAAACTCCAAGCCACACTGATCTGTATTGTTTCACTTACTTATTAGGATGATTAAATATGAAATGGAAATATTTCAGAACTTAAAGAACTAATATTGAGGCCTGCTACATGCCAGATGTAGTGCTAGCCATTTCAAATAAAATTTAGATATTATCCTTTTTATTTTGCAGGTGAGGAAACTGAGGGTTATATAAGTTGTGACTTGCTCAGGGTCATAGAGCTATAAAGTAGTGGGGTTGGGATTCAAATCTGGAAAAGTTGGACTTCAAAATGTGTTATTTTAACTTAAAACAGAATTACTATTTGATCCAGAAATCCCTTTATTGGGTATATACTCAAAGGAATATAAATTGTTCTACAGTAAAGACACATACATGCATATGTTCATTGAAGCACTATTCACAATAACAAAGACATGGATTCAATCTAAATGCCCATCAATGGTAGACTAGATAAAGAATGTACGTATACACCACAGAACACTACACTGCCATGAAAAGAATGAGATTATGTTTTTTGCAGCAACATGGATGCAGCTGGAGGCCATTATCCTAAGTGAACTAAGGCAGGAACAGAAAACTGAATGCCCCATGCTCTCTCTTATCAGTGGGAGCTAAACGCTTAGTGCAAATGGACACAAAGAAAGGAAAAACAGACACTGGGGCCTACTTGAGGGTGGAGGGCGAGAGGAGGATGAGGATGAAAAACTATCTATTGGTACTATGCTTATTACTTGGGTGATGAAATAATCTGTACACCAGACTCCTGTGACATGTAAGTTACCTATATAACAAATCTGCACATGTACCCCTGAAATTAAAATAAAAGTTAAAAAAAACCAATAACAACAACAAAAAAACCAAATGAAAAAACAACTAGGGAAAAAATGTGTTACATAGACATCATGGAATACTACACAGACATGAAAGAAAAAATGAAATCAAGTCCTTTGCAGCAACATGGATGGAGCTGGAGGCTATACTCCTAAGCAAATTAATGCAGGAAGAGAAAGTCAAATACCACAAGTTCTCACTTCTAAGTGGGAGCTAAACATTGAGCACACATGGATATAAACATGGGAACAATAGAAGCTGTAGTTTACTAGAGGGAAAGGAGTGGGGAGTGGTTTGGAAAACTACCGATTGGGTACTATGCTCACTATCTGGCTGCAATATACCCACGTAGCAAACCTGCACATGTATCCCCTGTATCTAAAATAAAAGTAGAAATTGAAAAAAATAAAAGAAGAAGAAGAAGAAGAAAAAAAAAGCTTGTGATTTCCCTCTTTCTCTACTGCCTGAACCTTCTGTCCTGGGCTCGGGCGTGACAAGAATCAGACTTCAATGAGCTCCCACTCTGTACTAAGAAGCCCTTAGTAGTTAGACAGAGACTTAGTATATGTTCAAATAATATTTTGCTTCCAAGTTGTTTAAGAATTAACATTTTAATATTTTGCATGTAAAAAGTGCTTTATGTGTTTTATAGACTGAATAGTTTTATATGACTGTCCATTATCATTATCCTCACTCCAAAATTCAGGTTGGCTTTCTTGGAATTTCAATGTAGGCCTTTAAAAATTTTTGTATGGTATTTTGAATTTATTCTTATTAATATAGAGAAGTAAAACATATATTATGAATTGTTTAAAGATCTCAGCAGCTATTATGCATCATAATGTGTACTGAAGTTAATTCTAAAGCATGTCTATAGCTCATTTTATTTTATGTCATGGGACCTTGTTTATAGTATAGTGTATTTATGAGTTACAAGATCTTTAAATATTCTGGTCTTATGTAGTTGTTTTTTTCCTTCCTGATAAAATTTTAAAATGACACTTAATGTTTTAAAAAACATTGTAGTTGAGGTGCAATGCTGTTGTATTATTCTGTTACAAGCTAGCCTTTTTTCATAATCATTAGTATCTTACTGATCTGGCTTGTATTAAAGTTTCATTCTTCTGATTTTATGGTTTTAGCTTGTAGAGGTTTGTAGTTAGAATAAGCAATGTACTATGTTAAATGTAAAAGCTTTAAATATAAGTCTTTAACACTATAATAGCAATATCATAGGACTAATTATTAGAATGGTTCAACTTATACAAGATGTATACAAGATATATGTTTCTCTTCAGACTTAGGTAAAGGATAGCATATTTCATGGGACTAATAATTAGTCCTATGTTATTGCTATTATAGCAGGGTAAATCTTCACATATTGAAAAATTTCTGTTCAGAGATAATTCTCCATTGGTCCCTTGAATTTCTGAAGACTTTATGAGCAAGGAATTGGCTCACTTTGTCTTAGGCTATATTTCCAAGGATGCTTATGTCACAACCAGCCTTGGAAGATAGATATGGTGTCTCCCTCTGGAGCAATGGCAGATTGGCTTATGACTTTGGAAAACAGTGTCCAGAGCATAGACCAAGCAGTCTTACCACCCATTAGAAAAGATTTAGGTTCCATAAACCCAGTGTTCCTCTTCTGTAATACAACCTTCTTTGTATTGCCCTGGAAGTTGGGAAACTGACACAAGTGCTGACACCCTGGCCACTGCTGTTGCCATTGAGTAATAAAGTCTTTTGTTTCTGACCCAGAAGTCACACACCTTCTGTTGGCATACATGAGACTGTGGCAGTCTATCTGGTTAACTTACAAGTAGGGTAAGCATCTCAGACCCTTCATAGATGTTGACAATTCCCAAACTAAACTATCTTGAGCCCTCCACCTAGATTAGCAATTGTAAGACAAGTGAACTCTTATACTTTTTAAATTTAAATTTTGAAGAGGATTTAAAGTTCAGAAAATTTCAGAGACAAATATAGGAAAGAGCTATCAATAAAGAATAAAATTTCATCATATTCACATCAGCTTTAAAATATAAAATAATTTAAATATTACAAATAAAGTTGAATTCTACTTTGTCCATTTCTCAGAATGCCTCTACTTCCCTTCATGGAGGCATTCACTATCTTGATTTTGGTGTGATTTAATGCTTTCACAATATATCCATATAAAAAAATGTAGTCCTAGCTTGTATTTTTAAAAATTACATAGTTTGTTTCATAGTGTGTGGTTTTTCAACTATCTTTTCTCACTAAACATTATTTTAGATGTTTTCATGATGATAAATCATGATCCAGTTTGTTCATTTTCTCTTGCTGCATTATAAAAATTTAACATATTTTATGCATCTCAACACTAATAATTAGACATTTGGGTTGTTTCCAAATGTTTGTTTTGATATTACAAACAATAATGTGATGAACATCTTTGTGTCTTGGCACAATGTGGACAAATTTCTCTAGAATAACTAATAGAATGTGTCAGAATTGACACTGTGCCAGTCTGGGCCTAAGAAAGCAAGGCAAGCTCTACTTTTGCTCTTTAGAGGAAGCCAGTTTCTATGTAAGAGATCCAAGTACTCTGAGACTGCCATGCTGTGAGGAAGTACAAGCTAGCCATGTGGAGAGGCTATGAGGAGAGAGAGAAAGACAGAGAGAGACATCCTTCCAGCCTCCCTCCTGTTCCAGCCATCCTAGCTAAAGTGCCAGACATATGAGTGAAGAAGCCACCTTGGGCACTTCAGCCACAGCAAATGACACATGGGGCACACACAAGCTGTCCCCACTGGGCTCTGCCAAAACTACAGAATCAAAAGTAAAGCAATGATAATTGCTTGGAGCAACTAAGTTTAGATAATCAAGACACCCATTTTTCTTGCAGATATTTTTTTGGATTAATTATAAATATTCTTTATATATCACAGACACCAAGTACTGGTGTTTTAGTGAGGAATTTCAGCTCATCAAGATATAAACCCAAATGGTTTCACTTTTTTTCTGTTAACTAGTACCAGTTGTACTGTATTGAAAGCTCCTTTTCCACTGGGACAGTATCTTGGCATCTTCATTACTTTTCAGCCATATTCCATTATTAGAACAGACTTGTTGCATTTTCTGAGATTTATCTCTGTGTATTTTAAAGTCTAAATCTCCTATTTGATTTAAAAATTCTCCATATTTTCCTTCTATATAGATGAGACTTGCAGCTCTAGGAATTTGGAGTGGTGTGTATGTGCAAGACATTGCCTAATTTTACACACTGTAGGATGTTGGGGCAGACGGGAGTGATAAATGAGGCAGATTCTGCCCTGTTCTACTGCTCCTGAGGTGTTGAGGTTTAGTTTTTTTTTTTTTCCTGGTTGGGCTCTAAATGGCATTTGAGGTGGGCTCCACAGGGCAAGGAATAACTCCAGCAGGTTGAGCTGATGATGGCCTCACTCCCAAGCAGCTTTAGAAGGCATTGGATGCTCCTTGAATGATTGAATACATCTTCCACTGGCCCTCAATTGGCATGATCACGGATCATGTCTTTAATGTATGTGCCTCTGCCTCATGATGTAACTGTCACCATCAAGACCATAACCCCAAATCTGAGTCCTCTTGGAAATCTGAACTCAAGATGGAAATGCAGGAATCCTGGCCTTCTCTTTGCCCTCCTGTATCCCATCACACCCTCTCTCTCAGTCCTTTCTTTTCCCACTCAAAGAGTGTAACAAAGCAGATTGGTAAGTTTAGTGGTCAAGTAAATATCCTACCAGGAATTAAAATATCAATATGATCTTCTTACAGGCATCTTTCAGCTTCACTAATCATTGTCTTGAGTCCTCGCTCCCTAGGTTTTGAAAGAGTGGTAGCTCCTCTTTCCCTTCTGTGATGGTTCATACTGAGTGTCAACTTGATTGGATTGAAGGATGCAAAGTGTTGATCCTAAGTGTGTCTGTGAGGGTGTTGCCAAAGGAGATTATACATTTGAGTCAGTGGACTGGGAAAGGCAGACCCACCTTTAATCTGGGTGGGCACCATCTAATCAGCTGCCAGAACAGCCAGGATATAAAGCAGGCAGAAAAACATGAAAAGCCTAGGCTGGCCTAGCCTTCCAGCCTACATGCTTTTCTTATGCTGGATGCATCCTGTCCTTGAACGCCAGACTCCAAGTTCTTCAGCTTTGGGACTCGGACTGTCTTCCTTGCTCCTCAGCTTGCAGATGGCCTATTGTGGGACCTTGTGATCATGTGAGTTAATACTACTTAATAAACCTCCCTTTACATATATAACTATCCTATTAGTTCTGTCCTTCTAGAGAATCTTGGCTAATACACCTTCCCTCAGAGAGAGCAGAAAGGAGGGACACAGTCTCTATTTACAAAAAAAAAAGGCAAACTAACAGAGGTTTGGGGGTGACTGCAGTGCCAGCTCTGTTGAAATGCACCTCTCTGCAAGTTCTGAAGAGAATGACCAACCCAGATGGCTGGAGGTTTCTCACCTGGAATGTGCAGTTCTCAAACCTGTTTTTCTCAGGCAGGTCTTGATTTTCTTAACAGTATCTTTTCATATAATCAATTCTCTGTCAAACATGTTGCAAAAATCTCTTTCCAATCTGTTGGTTGTCTTTTAATTTTGTATATTGTGGCTTTGATCTTGCAGAAATTTTGATTTTGGTGAGGTTAAATTTATGTTATCTAAGAAATCCTTCCCTAAAGTCATAAAGATATTTTTCTATATTTTTTCCCTTAATAGTTGTAAAATTTTGCTTTCTATATTTTGGTCTTTCATCCATCCTGAAACTTATAAAAATTTGTGTATTATCTGATAAAGGGATATAATTTATTTTATATGGAAAACCAATTGTTCCAACACAATTTACTGAATAGTCTATCCTTTCCCCAGGAATTAAAAATACCAGTTTTATTTTATGTCAAATTTCCTTATGTGTACAGCTGTTTCTGGCATCTTTATTCTGTTCCATTGGTATGTTGGTTCTTTATTAAGCAAAACTGCACTACCTTAATAACTATGGCTTCTTTTTTTTTTTTTCTTGAGATGGAGTCTTGCCCTGTCACCCAGGCTGGAGTGTAGTGGTGTAATCTTGGCTTACTGCAACCTCTGCCTCCCGGGTTCAAGCGATTCTTCTGCCTCAGCCTCCTGTGTAGCTGGGATTACAGGCACGCGCCACCACGCCCGACTGATTTTTGTATTTTTAGTAGAAATGGGGTTTCACCATGTTGGTCAGGCTGGTCTTGAACTCCTGACCTTATGATCCACCTGTCTCAGCCTCCCAAAGTGCTGGGATTACAGGCATGAGCCACCGCACCAGGCCCTAATAACTATGGCTTTATGTATTTTAATATCTAGTAAGGCAAGTCTCCCATTTTTGTCTCTACTTTATTTCAAACTTATCTCCACTATACTTGGCTCTTTACTCTTGTGTGTGGATTTTAGAATTGGCATATCCATTTTACAAAAAATAAATGGTGAGATTTTGATTAGCAATGCTTTGGATTTATAGATTAATTTGGGTATGAACTAACTCTTTAATTTTAAAAAATGAATTCAGTAGTTACCTAGTAGTCTAAATGCATCAGTGTTTCCATTTAGCGCATAATTAATTTATCTTTCTTACTTTGAAATATTTTTAGGAACACTATCTGTTGTTGTGGTCAATGCCCAACACAGAGCTTCTCTCAATAAATATTTGTGAAATCAATGAATGGACCATCTGTAGACATTTGTGCTAGGCATTCTGTAACTTAGACAGAATGTGTTATGGGAACTCAACTCCATTAGCTATAAATTTTCCAAATTACAAAAATGTTCTTCATGATTTAGTGTGAGACTCTAGTCTCATAGCAAGAATGCCTAATTTGTAATTATTAAAGCTGCACTAAATCAACATTTTGCATTTCCTGTGGTCCTTTCTGAGTGATTATTATATCATTGCTGCTTATTTGTTGAGGGTGGTAGAACGAGTTATGCCTCAAGATTTTAAATGCTTTGGATTCATATTTATTTACAAAAACTCCTCCCTCAAGAAAATTGAACTAGTGAATTTTTAAATTTCACTTTCCTCTTTACTGATATTGTATACTTAATACATAGAATATACCTTCATATTTGTTCATGTCTATTCCAATCCCACATAAAAGTATATTTTGGCTTCTGTGCCATTTATTCATGTATTTGTTTATCAAATATAATGGGCCCTGCACTATAATATTAGGCTTTTAGTTCATAGAGAAGAATAAATAGATACATAATATCCATAGTTAATTTTAAGTTGGTTCTCTAAAATTTTTCTGGGGAATTCCTTTTCATTCTTTTGTATATTTGTTTTGTTCTGAAGGAGTGTCTTTTTCAAAAAATAATTTCAAATTTTATTTGACACTCAGGGGGTACATATCCAGGTTTGTGTTACATGGGTATGTTGTGTGATGCTGAGGTTTAGGGTATGGATCTCATCACCCAGGTAGTGAGCTTAATACCCAATACGTATCTTTTCAACCCATGTCCTCCTGGGAGTTGTGAAAGTGAAAAGACTCTCCTTAAGAAAGGAGAAAAGATGCCTGATATGGTTTGATTCTGTGTCCCCACCCAAATCTCATCTCCAATTGTAATTCCCATGTGTTGAGAGAGGGACCTGGTGGGAGGTGATTGGATCACGGGCATGGTTTCCTCCATGCTGTTCTCGTGATAGTGAGGACGTTCTGACAAAAACTGATGGTTTTAAAAATTGTTTGGCAGTTCCCCCTGTGCTCTTCTTTCTCACCTGCTGCCATGTAAGATGAGCCTTGCTTCCTCTTCTCCTTCCACCTTCCACCATGATTGTAAGTTTCCTGAGGCCTCCCCAGCCATGCAGAGTTGTGAATCAATTAAACCTCTTTCCTTCATAAATTACCCAGTCTCAGGTAGTATCTCTATAGCAGTGTGAGGACAGACTAATATAACGCTCCTTTCTTAACCTATATTTTCCCTGCCAGTTGAAATCCTTTTCGCTTTTCCATATATGCAACTGATGGCACCTTCCCTGAGGTCACTTTTTTCAGATCCTCAGCCATAATGAATCTGTCCCTCCCATGTGGTCACAGAACACTTGACCCATACATCTTGTATCAGTTTTCTAAGGCTACCATTAACAAGTATCACACACTGAGTGATTTAGAACAAGAGGAATGTATTTTCTCACAGTTCTAGCAGTCCAAGATCAGGTATTGGCAGGGCCATGATCTCTCTAAAGATGATGGGGAAGGATCTGTTCTAGGCCTCTGTCCTAACTTCTGGAAGTTTCTCGGCTTGTTGCAGTATAACTCAAACCTTCACATAGCATTCTTCCCATGTGCATGCCTGTCTCTTCACATGACATTCTTTTTATAAGGATGACAGTCAACTGGATTAGAGGCCAACTCTACTTCAGTAAGATCTCATTTTAATTTAATTAGTGACATCTGCTATGGTCCTACTTCCAAATAAGGTCACATTCTGAAGCACCAGGAGTTAGAATTTCAGCACATGAATCTTGGGTGGAATACAATTCAAACCATAACACATCTGTTAGGGCACCCGCTATATCTTATAATTATTATAATCATTTTTTACATATCAGTATCCTTTCAACCCTCCATAGAATATACATTCCTTCAGGAATTCCTTCTTAAGCAGGAAAAAAAAATTCCCAGTGATTAGCCAGTTTTCTGATATGGAAAAAGGCAAAATATTAGTTGAATGGCTATTTTAAGTAGCAGACTTTGATAGCCCAAGGTCTAGGATTTCCATACTTCCTTTATTATAGTGACATTTTATATCTACCCAAACTCTAGTTATTTGATTGCTTCCAAATAAGATTATCTTTTACCATTTTGACAAGTAGTTAATATGGCTCTAATTCAATCTAATAGGGCAGTGTGATGGAGAAACAAAACCAGGCTTTTCTCTGTTGATCATGTCATTTGGCAATCTGAGTAAGGAAATTCATCATTAAAAATTCCTCAAGATGTTTTCATTTAATTTAGAAATTGAGGAGGACATATTTAACCTCAATAGCTTCAATATTTTGTTACCTGCTTTAATTCGAATTTAAAAGTGATTGGACACAGAAGGTCATTAGCTACATGAGTACGCATTCTAATTTTGGGAATTCATGGTGAATTCCAGTGCTTGAAAGTAAGTTTACTGTAAGCTTTGGATATGGAATGGTAGAATCCATTTATCTTTCCGTTGTGGTTCCTCATCACCTGAATCTTTTTTTCGGTGGGGAATCTCCCCTGCCCTCATTTTGCATCTTGTTAGGTGCTTGAGATGCCTCTTATTACAAACACTAAAAATGTCCAGTCCTTACTTTCCTAGACTTCCTTGTAGTTTAGGACTCTTGAGGAACTCTCCAGCTGCAGTGCTGCAGGGAGATGAGAAACTGCAGTAACAATGGTGGCAGCCAGTATTGGGTGCCAGCTGGGCTTGTGATGCAATGCTGTGTTTGGTGCAGTGCCAATGGTGTCTTCCCCAGACCAATTGTGCAGCATGTTTAGTATGTTTCTTCTGACTGCATGACTTCTACAGGGCTGTCATGTTGCAATGAACAAGGTGCATGGCTAGGCTTGAAACTAGTACTTCAGTTATCCTGGTGAATCTGAAATAAACACAATATTTTCAATAAATTCCTTTTGCCTGCTTAAATCAGCCAGTGGTAACTCCTTCAGCTTGCAACTAAGAGCTTTGACAAACACAGGGATGTGCAGTATTTAACTGATCCACCTATCATGACATTTGAGAGGTGTGGACCAAAATAAATTGCTCAGAGTTATCTACATCATGAAGACTTCTCATACTTCAGCTTCCATGCTGGTTTTTATTTCCACTCGTTTTGCTATTCTTTATTTTATTTTTTGAGATGGGGTCTCATCTGTAGGCCAGGTTGGAGGGCAATGGTGCGATAGCAGCTCACTTGAAACTTCCAGGCTCAAGTATTCCTCCCACCTCAGCTTCCCGAGTAGCTGGAACCACATGTGTATGCCACCATGCCCAGCTAATTTTTTGTATTTTTGGTAGAGACAGGGTTTTGTCATGTTTCCCAGGCTGGTCTCAAACTCCTGAGCTCAAGCTGTCTGCCCGCCTTGGCCTCTCAAAGTGCTGGGATTACAGGCATGAGCCATCATGCTTGGCTTCTTTTTGCCGTTTGCAAAGTCTCATATATTTATTCAGCAAATATTTCTTATGTGCCTATGTATTAGTTCCTTATGGCTGTTGTAATAAATTACCACAAACTTAGTAGCTTAAAACAACACAGATTTATTCCTGTATAAATCTGGAGGTCAAAAGTCCAGAATCAGTTTAACTGGGCTAACACCACGGTGCCAGCAGGGCTGGTTCCTTCTTGGAGGCTCTAGGGGAGAATTGGCTTCCTTGCCTTTTTCTAGCTACTGGAAGCTGCCTGCATTCCTTGGCCTGTGACTCCTTCTTCACATCATTCCAACTTCTTGCTTTTGACATCTCATTGCCTTCTCTTCTTCTGTATCAAATCTCCTTCTACTTCCTTTTCATAAAGACATTTGTGATTACATTTAGGGACCACTCAGACAATCCAGGATAACCTCCCCATCGCAAGATCTTTAACTTAGTCATACCTTCAAAGTCCTTTTTCTCATTTAAGGTAATGTTCCCAGGTTCCAGGAATTAGGACCTGAATATCTTTGGGGTCCATTGTCAGTCTACGGTACTCTGCTATGACCTATGCATTGGAAACATATACAAGTTGGAAAAGATGACTATTTCCTCTGCCCTTATAGAGCCAATGAGATATACACAGTTAAAAATTATACAAATACATATATACATACACAGCCTAGTGGGATAGACACCTTTACACAAATAATTCTGAAGTTCACTTATGCTGAGTGTTCAAAGGAGAAATGTAAGATGGGATAAGAAAATATAACAGATTGACCTGGCAAGGTGATCATAGAAAATTTTCCGAAAAGATAATAACAGATAATACTTCCTGTGTACAATAGTTGTGCTCAGTGGGTTATATGTATTTATTAATTTAATCTTCACAGCTATCCTATGAGGTGGGTACTTTTACCATTTTGAGATTAAAAACTGAGGCAGAGATACTGTAAGCAATCTACCCAAAGGTTGCTGGCTATTAACTGGCAAAGGAAGAAACATTTAAAGTCGTTCTTAAGTGGAGTGGATTTCAGTTGTTTTGCCTGCCTACCATTATTGTAGTAATTGTGTCCCGATTTTCTTGGGAGGAATTTTTGCTTCTGCATTGTGTGCAAGTACTCAGCCCTCTCCTAGTCAGGGGTGAGCCTATGTCCCAGCCTAGCACTGACTCTTCTCCTGTGAACAAGCAAAATGAAAACAGCTGAAGATGATTCACCCTCTGGAAGAGCTTGTCCATCATTTCCTTCCATCTTAATTCCTTGGACTCCCTTGGCTTTTGTTCTTTTCCAGCTGTGTTTTAAATGAATTGTTTCTTTAGTATTTGTTTGTGTGAGCTACCCTCTACCCTTCCAATGAATTCACTTTCTGCTTGTTTCTGCTAGTTTCTGTTGCCTATAAGCACTCCAAGAATAAGGAGAAATTAGCCATGTGAGGATGAGAAGAGGCAAGCAATTCAAAGGCAAAGGGAAAAGTATGTGCCTGAGGTGATAAGCAGCTTATATTTTGAGAAGCTTCCAGAAATCTACCTGGCTGGAGTTATTGTGTGGGTGTAGGTGGGGGTTAGCTTGAGATGGAGTTCACAAGATTGGCAGGGACCTGATATGCAAACACATGCCTTGTGAGGATTTGATTATCTTAAAATCAATCATGTAGTTTTTAATTTTAATTTTATTTATTTGTTTTTTAAAGCAAGACACTTGTAAGTAACACATTTCCCCCCCTGAACTTGGTGGTGGTCACGAGCAGAAAGCAACTTTTCTTTCTCACCAGTTTCTGTTAAACTTGCTCCACTGAGTCATTTTTTCCAAGATTCCAAATGAGATTTGGCTAGGTAGCATTGCCTTTCTCATCCATCTTGGATATAAATGTTCTATCTCTTTTTTTCAGTTATAAATGTCTAGTTCAGTCTAATATCAACTTCACGTTTTCATCTGATTATGAAATTATTTTCTTCCCTTAGCTCAGGCCTGAGGCAGGCTTTGAGCTTACATCAAGGAAGGAGCATGGTCATCTACTTCTTCATATTGCTTTTCTCCTCTCCCTTGCCCACTAACCGTGCTATCTCTGGCTCCTCCAGGGTTGGAGGCCAGGAAAGGATGGGGCTGTCCTCATCTGGAAAGATTTCTCTGATGCACCTCGTTTCTTTTTTGCCAGCAGTGCTACTGTGGCTGGGCACCAATGATCAACCCCTGCCCTCAAACTCTGAGTTCTACCAGTTCAGGGTTAGCCCCTTTCTGCTGATCTCACCTTCCACCTTGTGATGGTTAATACTGAGTGTCAACTTGATCGGATTGAAGGATGCAAATTATTGATCCTGGGTGTGTCTGTGAGGGTGTTGCCAAAGGAGATTAATGTTTGAGTCAGTGGGCTGGGAAAGGCAGACCCACACTTAATCTGGGTGGGCACCATCTAATCAGCTGCCAGCATGGCTAGAATATAAAGCAGGCAGAAAAAAAATGTGAAAAGACTAGACTGGCCTAGTCTCCCAGCCTGTATGTTTCTCCTATGCTGGATGCTTCCTGTCCTCAAACATTGGACTCCAAATTCTTCAGTTTTGGGACTTGGACTGGCTCTCCTTGCTCCTCACCTTGCAGATGGCCTATTGTGGGACCTTTTGATTGTGTGAGTTGATACTTAATAAACTCCCATATTTATACTTTATCCTATTAGTTTTGTTCCTCTAGAGAACCCTGACTAATATACACCTCAAATGGTTATTTTGGATGAAATCCCTTTAAAGGAAGCTTAGGGTTGGTGGAGGCATCAGGCAAACTGTAGGAGGAGGCATGCTCCCTCTTTCATCAAACTTCAAGAGTGCAACTCTTTCCAAAACAGCCTCACTCTTCACTCTGCCATTAGGCTGGCCAGACTCTTGTATTTGGATTTCTTTTTAGGCATGCTTCAGTTTACCATCTTTGTTTTCTCACAAGTTCCAAGCTTTCCAAGTATTTCTCCTGAAGCTCCCCATGAACTTGGGACTGCCACAGAATCCACCGAAGGTTTCCCAATCACTCCTCAATTGGCTGATTGAGCCTATTGGGTTAAGATTTGCAAGACTTGTTTTGGATTATATTCTTTGCATACCTAGGACCTTGCTTTCTAGTGTGGTTGTAGCTGGCATCTTTTTTCTTAAATCTGGGGCTTTAGTTCAAACTGAGACAATAGGAAAACTGCCATTTTAATATTCTCTTCCAAAGTGATATGATCAGATGTCTATTATTTGCATAATATTGATGAATACAGTCTCCAATCACATTACTTCCCCAACCCTCATACAAAACAAACAAAATGCTTATCCCTCTTATATTAAAAAATCAGAATATTTTATAAATCTGGCCAGTTTTGCATTTCTTTGCCTTAGACAGTATTAAATTAGTCAAACAATTCCTTCTTCAATACTCTACAGGAAGTGTGGGGCTCTTTATCTTCTTTGGTTTAAAAAAAAGCTCAACCAGCTGTCAAACACTTGAATATGAACCAGACATTTAAATATTCAGTGAAAATTCAAATGTATTGTATAAAGCGCTCAGCAAAGTGGAAAGCCCTCTGACCAATTTCAAAATAATCCAAGCAAACAGCAATTAGGGATATATTCTACTTCTTCCCATTTGTTCATAGCTCCGCAGGACATAATGTGATCTCCCATGCATATTGTGAGGGAAATGGACAGCACTTAGATTTTTCCTTACTTTGATGTGTGACTGTCAGGGTTGCAAATAATGTGCCTGCAAAAGAAAATTGCCTCCTGGTTCACCTGAAGATGGAATTTTAAAAAATGTTTCTTCTTCCTTCCTTTTCTCTTTCTATTTACTCAGCATTACGTGAGTTGGCTGTTAAGCACCTGAACAGAGGAAGAAATTGTTTATAGGTGCCCCAATGGGATGAGTCTAGACTAAGAGAAAACAGCCAACATAGCAAAGAAGTGTTTACAGCATTTATTAGGTATGTATTTATTAAGCACCTGTTGGGCACAAAGAACATGAAACATGGAGACTGCTTGTTAGCGGCTTTTAATCTGGTTGTGGGGATAGGATATACATGCACAATGAGTTAAGTTGAAGATTTGTGATATTGAAAGGAGAGTCAGCTCATACTGTGAGCCTGCAAAAGACAAAGCTACAAACAGGGACTGGGTAGAAGCTACAGAGAGATAGGTCTGGGTTAAATGTAAGTTTCTAACAGAGCTGACCAACGATAAGTTGGAAGGCCTAATAGAGAGGTGAATTTCTTATCATGCGCTGTGTGTAAGCCAGTCTGGATGAGCACTTAGGAAGGGTGTTTGTAGAGAGCATTATTGTATCTCTGATGGGTGGTTTCCTTTAGATGACCTTTATAATACTCATATGACTTTGTCATTCCATGATTTTGTGAGTCCTGAGGACAGTGAGCATGCATGAGCTCATAGAGTGACCAGGAAAGAATCTTTTGAGGTTGAAGGATGAAGGAAGGAACAGATATAGGATGGAAAAAGGGAGGCAGGAGGGAGCTATGGGCAAAGGGTGCACTGTGAGCTTAATGAAAAGTCTGGGTTTTTTTTCCTTGTCCATATATCGCAAGATGAAACCACCTTATCTCTAATCGCATTTAGAGTACACACACACACACACACACACACACAGACACACACATGGATTTATCATGAGGAATTTGCTCACATGAGGCTGAGAAGTCCCATAATCTGCCATCTACAAGCTACAGGATAGTCAGTGTAGTCAGTGGTGTAATCCCATTCTGAGTCTGAAGGCCTGAGAACTAGGAGGGTCTATCACATAGATCCCAGTCCATGGGTACGAGAAGACCAATAACCCAGCTTAAACAGGCAGACAAGAAGTGAAAGGGGTGAATTTGTTTCCTTCCTCCTTTTTGTCCTATTCAAGCCTTCAATAAATTGGATAAATGCACAGCCACACTGGGGAGGGCAATATTGAGTCTCCGAATTCATATGCTAATCTTTGCCAGAGACACTCTCACAAACACACCCAGAAAATAATGCTTAATCTGGGCACCCTGTGGCATAGTCTAGTTGACATGTAAAATTAATCATCACAGTTATACAGGAGCTTAAGAAACACTATTTTAAAGAGTGATTCTTTACTGGCTGAAAATTTGGAAAAGTTGACCCATAAAATCAAGATTGAGGAATGGGCTAGGGATTTTGTCTAGTTCACCCAAATAAAATTTTGCTGAGTGTCTAATGTATCAGGCACTGGGAGTGTAAAGATGAAAAGAGACACAGTTTCTTCTCTTGAACAGCTTGTTGTCGAGTAGAAGATTTTAAAAAGCCCATTCTAAAATGTTTCCTGATGAAGACATACTAAATTTCCTTAAAGTTTTATGATCACTTAAATAATAGCTTTCTTTGTGAAGTACCTTCTAAGTGCTAGGTATAATGTTGGTCTTTTTCCAGTTCTTATGACAACCATTCAAGGTAGACATTTTATTTTTTCTGCTTTTCAAAAAGGAAATTGAAGCTCAGAAAGGACAGGCATATTACCCAACTATTAGTAAGTGGCTAATTGAAAATTCAAAGAGTAGCTAAATGAATGAGTAACATGTTCTAGGCACTTCACTTGATGCTGGATGCATAGTATCTTACAGAGTCTTCACAACCACTGGAGAAAAGAGATACTACTGTTATCTTCATTTTATGGCTGAGAAAACAGAGACCCCCTGGAAAATTAAACAAATTGCCCAGGGCCACACAGTCAGTGTAGAGTGAGGATTCAGGCTCAGCCTTCTTGGTTCCAAAGCTGATATTTAACCGCCATGCTACCCTTCCTCTTGCCTTGTGCCTTACAGTTCACAGCTTCACTCTGGCTTTGATTTCCATGTTTGATGGGTTCTTTTGTACTTTCCTCTCCCTTTACCAAAAAACAAACTGAACAACAAAACCATCTTGAGCATCTTCTTGAAAGGAGTGAATTCGGCTGAAGGAAAATTTCCATTAGAATTCTGAGGCTCAGCATTAGGCCAGGGAGGTAAAAATGCCATGCTAATTAAGTAATTACTGAAACTCATGATTAAAACATGCCTTTCTAAGAGAATCCCCAGAATAAATGGTATTCTTCATTTTGCCTTGGAGCTTGGTTGGCTTGGCTTCTAAGAAATTCACCTTTTTTCTGGAGATGTAATGGGGAAGCAAAGACTTCTTATTCCTTATCTTTTTGAATCCTTAGAACAACTCTTTGGAGATACATGAGGAAAATTTTAATTTGGGATTTTAGTGGTTAGTTAATCAGTTAGTCTCTTGCATTTGAATCCTGGATCATTTGAGAAACATATATATATGTAATAGTCAGGGATTACAATTTCAGGATTATTGCTTGGATTGGATCTCATGTCTTGAATGTATACCCAAATGCTCTTCCTCATACTCCCTTGAAACCCTTGCTGAAGCTGGATGTTGGGATCTGCATTTGGGAAGGGTCACATCTAGGGCCAGTTGAGTAGAGAAACATGGCTGCCTCATACCAGGTGCATGCGGGGAGCCAGGGAGAGGAAGGTCCTCAAGGCAAGAGAGCTGTAGAATTTTACCCCTCCAGAATAAAGAGAGGTGGATGACTGAATGTTTGCCTCTTACTTTTTCACCTGCTGGATGAATCATTCTTGCTCCTGTGAGGAGAAGCCAATGAAACTGTAGAGAACAACAGATTCTGCCAATTACACCCAAGTGGTGTTTTATTGGCTGACAAAATCATAGGGAGAGAGAGCATATGGCTTTCACTACAGTCTCTGATCTTGCTTTTTTAAAATTTATTGCCCTCTCTTGATTTGACATGTGGAGAATTACAATTTGAGGTTCAGAGAAGTTAATGATTTGAAAGTCACACTTCAGTGACTAACCCAGGCCTAGACTCCAGCCTGTCAAAGGGAGTTTAGAGCTCAAGAAGTCAGACCCTTCAGATTATAAATGGGCCAAGTGCTTGACAGAGATAGCATATGACTTGTCTAAGACCAAATTGCCAAAACTAGAAACTCAGGTCTTCTGACTCCTTCTGATGCTCTTTTTAATATCTTACAGTATTCTCCTTTGTAACCCTGAGACATTTGTGCTGCTGGCTTATGGGACTGATCTTCTGGATTTCAGTCCTGCTTCTGAGCCTCTCTTTTCTCAATTATAAAAGGAGGATCATAGAAGTAGTGTCTGCCTCTTTGCCTTCTTGTGGAAACCAAATGAGGCTGGGTCTGTGCAAATGCTCTGTGACTGTAACATACTCTATAAATGTTGGAATATTGTTTTTGAGGTTGTCACTCTTATTGCTGTCCTCTCAGATGGGCCCCATTTTTCTCCTTTTATTTTTAGTTGACATGTAATAATATTTATGGGCTAAGAGTGATATTTTGAAACATGCATACAATGTGTAATGGTCAAATCTGGATAATTAGCATATCCATCATCTCAAACATCATTTCTTTGTGTTGGGAACATTCAAAATCCTCTCTTCTAGATTTTTGAAATTATACACTAAATTATTGTTAACTATAATCACCCTACTGTGCTGCAGAACACTAGAGCTCATTCCTCCCATCTAGCTATAAATTTGTATCTGTTAACCAACATCTCCCTATCCTCCCCTTACCCCACCAGAATTTCTGTCCTCTAATAACTACTATTCTAGTCTGTACTTCTGTGAGCTCAATTTTCTTTTTAGCTCCAGTTTATGAGTGAGAACATGTGGTGTATTAGTCCGTTTTCACACTGCTGATAAACACATACTCAAGACTGGGTAATTTATAAAGAAAAAGAAGTTTAATGGACTCACAGTTGCATATGGCTGGGGAGGCCTCACAATCGTGGTGGAAGGTGAAAGTCATGTCTTACCTGGCGGCAGGCAAGAGAGAATGAGAGCCAAGCCAAAGGAGAAACCGCTTATGAAACCATCACATCTTGTGAGAACCGCTCCCATGGTTTGATTATCTCCCACTGGTTCCCTTCCACAGCACGTGGAAATTATGAGAGCTAAAGTTCAAGATGAGATTTGGGTGGGAACATAGCCAAACCATATCATGTGGTATACATCTTTCTGTGCCAGAGTTATTTCATTTAACATGATGTCCTCCAGGCCCATCCATGTTTCTGTGAATGACAGGATTTCATTCTTTTTATGGCTGAATACTATTCCATTGTGTATACGTACCACATTTTCTTTATCTATTCATCTGTTGACGGACATTTAGATGGAGTCCATATCTTGGCTATTGTGAATAATGCTGGAATAAACATGGGGACATGAGGTGCAGATATTTCTTCAATATATTGATTTCCTTTCCTCTGGATAAATACCCAGTAGTGGTGTTGCTGGATCATATGGTAGTTCTTTTTTTGTTTGTTTATTTTTGGAACCTCCACACTGTTTTCTACAGCAGCTGTACTCATTTACATTCCCACTGATGGGCCCCATTTGAAGCAGCTGTTACAGAGGTGGGTCGGAAGGAAGCCAGGTACTAGGGAAACAATGCTTTAGTGCAGTGGATTTCAACTCTGGCTGCACATTAAAATCACCTGGAGAGTTAAAAAAAAAGCCAATGCCTGGGCATTACACCCAGAGCAATTAAATCAGAACCTGTGGGGAGGGGTTTGTCACTGTTATATTTTTAAAGCTTTCCAGGTGGCCTCATGCAAAGAAAGGTTGAGGGTCATAGTCTCGGTGGCTTCAAACTCTTGTTTGTTTTGTAGCAGTGGTCCTCTCTTGGAATGCAGAGATGATGAAAGATTGTGTTACCAGGTGGATGGTCTGTCTATTAAGATTGGAAACCTAAATCCAAGCCTCAGTGCAGCCCTGTGTGAGCCTCTTTGCCTTACTAATGATAATTCTTTACCTAAAGATAGATTTTATAGAGGAGAAAACTGAGGCCCTGAGAGGTTATTTTTCCATCAGCTAGTAGGCGCTAGAGTCAGAATTAGAGTCCAATTCTTATGGTCTGGGATGGCATATGGAAAATGCCTGACCACAGGGGCTTGTGCCAGAAACCATCTCTTTCAAGGCACCAAGTCTACTTTGTATTCAGAAATTTGTAGCTTTCTTTCTAAAAAATGGTATCTGAAATGATATAAACTTCAACCTGTATCTGTCCATAAGCCCAACTATAGTGGGTGCTCAGAAGTGAGCAGCGTTCTCTTCTAGACTGCTGGGGTCTCATGAGTGGAAGGAGAAGAAAGACAAGGAACAGGCAAAGTGAGACGTGGACCACCCATTTCCAGTGGGGCCATATTAACCCTCTTCCTGGCTAATCCCCTTCTTAAGACAGACTGTGACTCCCTTCAAGGGGCTCTGCTGAAACATGGGCTGAAGGAAGGGGTACACCCTCTGAGATATTGAGAGTAATATCATCCTCTCCCCACCTAAAGATTAAAAACAATGACATGGGAGTAGGGGTATTGTACACCTCCGACAATATTGGGAATAATATCACCCTCTCCCTCCCTGGATATTAGGAACAATATCAAAGGGGTCGTGTACACTCCCTGTGATATTGGGAATAATATCATTCTAATCCCTCCTGGATATTAGGAACAATATTATGGAGGTGCTGTACACCCCATGCCATATTGTGAGTCACATTATTTCTCTTCTCCCGGATATTAGGAACAATATCACAGAGGGTGTGTCCCCTGTTATGTTGGAATTATTATCATCCTCTCCCCCACTGAATATTAAAAACAATTATCACAGAAGTGTTGTGACCCCGGTGATATGGACAGTAATATCCTTCTCTTGCCCCCTAAATATTATGAACAGGATCACAAGAGGGGTGTGCACCCCCTGCGATATTGGGAGTAATACCATCCTCTCTACCTTTGGATATTAGGAACAATATCACGGGGGAGATATACGCCCCTTGCGATATTGGGCATGGTGTTATCCCCTCTTTCCCTGGATATTGGGAACAATATCCCAGGGGGGGGAGTACAACCACTTCGATATCAAGAGTAATAACATCCTTCCCCTTCCTGGACATTAAGAAGAATATCATTTGGTGGATGTACCCCTCTTGCGATATTGGGTGTAATATCATCCTCTCTTCCCTAGGATATTAGGAATAATATCACAGGAGGGGTGTACAGCCCCTGCGATATTGGGCATAATATCATCATCTCCCAACGTGGATATTGGGAATAATGTCACATTGCGGGGGGGGGGCGGTAGTGTACACCTTCTTCGATATTGGGAGTCATATCATCCTCTCCCCACCTAGATATTAGGAACTGTATCACAGGAGGCTGTACACTTATTGTGATATTGGGAGTAATATCGTCCTCTGCCATCATGGATATTAAGAACAATATTACAAAGGAGGTATACACCCCCTGCGATATTGAGAGTCATATTATGCTCTTCCCTTCAGGATATTAGGGAAAATATTGCAGGAGGTGTGTACAACCCCTGCAATATTGGGAGTAATATTATCCTCTCCCCCCTGAATATAAGAAACAATTATCACAGGAGGATGTACACCCCCTGTGATATTGGGAGTAATATCATTTTCTTCCCCTCTGGATAATCAAAACAATATCACAGTGGGTGTGTACAGTGCCTGCGATATTGCCACTCGTATCATTGTCTCCCTCCCGGGATATAAGGAACAATATCACAATTGGGTGTATATGCCCTGCGATATTGAAAGTAATATCTTCCTCTCCCCCGCTGGCTATTAGGAACAATGTCACAGAAGGGGTGTACGCCCACTGCTATATTGGGAATAATATCATTCTCTCAGTCCCTAGATATTAGGAACAATATCACTAGGAAGTGTACACCTCCTGCGATATTGAGACTAATATCATCCTCTCACCCCATGGATATTGGGAACAATATCACAGGGGTGGTGTACACCCTCTGAGAAATTGAGAGAAATATCATCCTCTCCACCTTCGGATATTAGGAGCAATATCTCAGAGAAGGTCTACGCCCCCTGCGATATTGGGAGTAATATCATCCTCTCCCCAACAGGATATTAGGAACAAGATCACAGAAGGGATGTACACCCACTGCGATATTTAGAGTAATGTCATCCCCTACGCCCTGGCTATTAGGAATAACATTATAGGGGGGTGTACACCTTCTGCGAAATTGGAAGTAATATCATCTTCTCCCCACGTGGATATCAGGAATAAGGATATTAATTATTAATATGAATAAATATAATAATTACTAGCAATCATTGATATTAATAATCATAATGACAAACTAATATTAATTATTAATATTAATGATCACTATTTACAATTAATAGTATTATGATCAATAAAATATCAGTAATTTACATTAATTAAATTTAAAATTAATAAATAATACACATATACAATTGATGGTTAATATTAATACTAGTAATTAATATATTGATAAAAGATTTTAATTATTAATAATTATATAATCATAATTACATATAATTAATAATGTATAACTATAAAATTAATTGTTAATAATTAATATTATATTAGTAGTTAATATTAATTAATACAACATGGATAATTACATTGAAATTAATGATTAATAATTAATAATATTATCACTCCTAATACTGCACAGGATGCTACTCCTACCTGCGATGTTGTTTCTAATATCCAGGGGGAGAGAGGATGATATTACACCCTATATGGCAGAGGGTGTACACCCGTCTTTAATATTGTTCATAATTTCTAGGGGAGAGATGATATTACTCACAATATCATGAACACTCTGTGTGTCCACTGTGGATCACAATATCCAGGGAGGGATATTACTCCCCATGTCGCAGGGGGTGTCCATTCTGCCTGTCATATTGTTTCTTATATCCAGGGGGAGAGGATGATATTACTACCAATATCGGAGAAGTACATGCCCCCTGTGATATTGTTCCGAATATCCACGTTGGGAGAGGATGATATTACTCTCAATATCACAGGGGATATACACCCCGCCTGTGATATTATTCCTGCTATCCAGAATAAGAGAGAATATTACTCCCAATAGAGCAGGAGGTGTATACTTCCCATGTGATATTGTTCTTAATAGCTAAAGGAAGAGAAGATAACATTATTCTTTATACTGCAGAAGGTGTACACCCACCTGTGATATTGTTCCTAATATCCAGGGAGGGAGAGCATGATATTATCCCCAATATCGCCATGGGTGTACACCCATTAGTTGACATTGCTCCTAATATCCAGGGGGTAGAGTATGACATTACTCCCAATATAACAGTGGGTGTACATCCACCAGGGGATATTGCTCCTAATATTCAGGGAAGGAGAAAATGGTATTACTCCCAATATGGCAGAGAGTGTACAACCCTTCTGTGATATTGTTCCTAATATCCAGAGGGGGAGAGGATTATATTATTTTCAATATCGCAGGCTGTGTACACCTACCCTGTGATTTTGTTTCTAATATCCAGGAAGGGAGAGGATGATATTACTTTCAATATAGTAGGAGGTGGAGACCAACGCTGGGATATTGTTCCTAACGTCAAGGGCGGAGAGAGCCTGATATTACTCCCAATAGTGCAGGGGGTGTACATCCCTCCCTGTGATATTGTTCTTACCATTCAAAAAAGGAGAGGATGACATTACACCGATATTGAAGAATGTGTAAACCCCTGTGTGATAGTGTTCCAAATATCCAGAAGGGGAGAAGAGGATATTACTCACCATATCACAGGAGGTGTACACTCACTCTGATATTTTTCCTAATATGCAGGGGGGAATAGAATAACAATCCTCCCAATATTGCAGGGGTTGTACACGCCCCTGTGATATTGTCCTTAATATTCAAAGGTGGAAAAGATAATATTACTACCAATATTGCCGAAAGTGTACACCCCCCAGTGATATTGTTCGCAAGATCCAGAAGAGAAGAGGATGATATTACTTTCAATATCACAGAAGGTGTACACGCCCCCCAGTGATATTGTTTCTAATTTCAAAAAGGGAGAGGATGATATGGCACCCAATATTGTAGGGAGTATAAACATTCCTGTGATATTGTTCTTAATATTCAGGTAGAAAGAGGATGATATTACTCCCAATACTGCAGAGGGTGTACACCCCTCTGTGAAATAGTTTGTAATTTCCAAGGGGGGAGCTGATATTACTCACAAAATCATAAACATGCAGTGGAACCACCGTGGATCATGCTATTACTCCCCATCTCACAGGGGGTGCCTCACCCCCCTGCGATGTGGATCATAATAGCCAGGTGTAGGGAGACCCCCTGAAACTATTGCTACAGAATAAAAGATGAAATGCTCCTGATTATTGTAAATACAAAGTTGCATGCAGGATTGTGTAAAGACAATGCCAGATTGGACTGCCAGAATGAGCCAACAGCACGTGATGTGCTTCCCCCTGCAGAGAGCCCATGAACAGATGTGCAGTCAGGGAGGTTTCACATCACCAAGTTTCCTTTCCCAGAAAAGCAGATGTTCATAGCTCTGGGAATGGAATGCAACCCTTGCAGAGAGCCTATAAATGGATGCATGAGGGGTGCCTGTTCATATGGATAAGATAGGGCTATAAACACCCTCATCTTGCCACGGCTCTTCTAGGCCTCTTCAGGGTTAAGGCATACTCCCTTCTGAGAATTTCTTGTCTAACCGGTTGTCTAGCTTCACATCCTGTTTCTATGGATTGTTTGTAGTCAGCTTTTGCTGCAACTGTTACTGTTGATTAATATCTTGCTAATCATAGGCTATGGAAAGACTGTGTTTCTGTTTTAAGGCTCTGTTAGAAATTACTGATGCACACACTATACTGTAAATCCTTATCTCTGTATACTGTACTTCTGCATACAGATGTTATGTTAAAGAATTACTTCATCCCCATGTGACCATCTCACCTCATAATCAAACAACCCTAAATCCCTCACTAACCTACCCCCACCCTCACTAAACTTAATAATGAATGCTGCTACATCCAGTGCATTGGCAGCACCATGGGACCAGGAGGTGGTGACCCCCCGGACCCAGCTTTCACTATCTTGTGTGTGTCTATTGTTTCTTGATCTGCTGATCCACCTGGGGACAAAGAAAGAGCCCTGTTGCATTGCAGGCTGCTAGCCAGATCCCGCAATATCTGGCGCCCAACATGGCCTTCTTTGTTTCTCAGCTCAGTGCACTCTGAGTGCAGGTTCATGACGACTAGTCTTCAGTCTTGACGGTAAGGTCTCTGGGTACTCTTTTTCCGACTCTCCCCTCTTTTCAGGTTTGTCGACCGGTATTATTCCAGGGTTATTATGGGACAATGACAATCTAAACACCAGGCTTATCTGTCTTTTATTAAACTTCTTCTTAAACAGGGTGGAATCAAGGCTGATTCCAATAACCTTATTCTCTTATTTCAGACTATTGAAAAATATTGTCCTTGGTTCCCTGGCAAAGGTTCTATGGACCTGTTAGACTGGGATAGAGTTGGCGCCATGCGTCACCAACTCATGAAAGATGGTGTTTTACTTCCTATTTCTGTTTGGACCGACTGGGCTCTTATTCATGTTGCTTTACTTCCTTTTCAGTCTGGTGATCCTCTTCAACTGCCACAAGTTAATGCGGATGGTGAGCCGCTCCCTTTACCTCAGGTAGCTGACCCCCCTACCAGTCCTCCTTCTGATGATGAGGAGGAATTCAATCTTTCCTTGTTTTCTCCCCAAGAGGAGGAACCTGGTGATGATCTCCTCCCTCCACCTCCTATCTTGGAACCTGTATATGTTAACTCTTCTTCTACTAAGCCGTTGCCCCCTCTGCCAGAGGAGGACATGTGGCATTCAGCTAAATGGCCTGTTTCTCATTCCTCTTGTCCTTTTGGACCTCTCCACTCTTCTAAGCCTACTGTTTCTTTTGATGTTCTGGGACCCCTTCCTTCAGAGGCTTGGAATCCTGCTTCCCCCCAGTCCACATCCCGGTGTCCTCACTCTCTTCTCTCTTTTCCTCTGCCCCTGCATAATGGGTGTGTGAGTTACCTGTTTAGGTAGGGCAGTGGCTGCTTTCCAAACACAAGTTGGAGGCTTTAATTGAAATTGTTAATAATGTACTACAAGCAAACACTATTGAGCACTCCTTGTCTCCATGGAACTTGCCTGTGTTTGTTGTACAAAAAAAGTCAGGAAAATGGAGGATGGTAACAGACTTAAGAGCTGTTAATGCAGTTATTAAACCTATGGGGGCATTACAACCCAGTATGCCCTCCCCCTCCATGATTCCTAAGGAATGGCCTTTAATTATCATTGACCTTAATGATTGCTTTTTTCATATTCCTTTAGACAAGTCAGACTGTGAAAAATTTGCTTTCACTATACCTTCCATTAACAATTCAGATCCCGCAGCTAAATATCAATGGAAAGTTTTACCTCAAGGAATGATTAACAGTCCTACTATTTGTCAGTTGTTTGTCAGTAGTGTTACAACCTATCTGACAGACTTTTAAAAATAATTACATTCTTCATTACATGGATGATATACTGATTGCAGCTCCCACTAAAGATGAATTAATTCAATGTTTTACCTCTTTAAAATTAGCTGTTGCCAATGCAGGACTCCACATTGCTCCTGATAAAATTCAACAAGCCACTCCTTTTCTGTACTTAGGAATGCAGCTAGAAGCTCACTCCATTAAACACCAAAAAGTCCAACTTCATACTGACAATTTAAACACCTTAAATGATTTTCAAATTTACTAGATGACATCAATTATCTCAGACCAACCCTAGCCTTCCCTACTTATGCATTATCTCATCTATTTGCCACTTTATCAGGAGATACAGGTTTAGAACTGTCCTTGCTCTCTCTCTGAACCAACAAAACAAAAGTTGTCTTTTGCAGAATAATGAGTGAGAGAGGCACAAGTCTCTCGTATTGACCCAAATTTGCCTTTACAATTTTTAGTTTTTCCTTCCATCTACTCTCCTACAGGACTTATTATACAAAATGATTCTCTAGTTGAATGGGTATTCCTTCCTAATTCAGTCTCTAAAACTCTTTCAATATATCTTGATCAAATGGCCACTTTAATTGGGTTAGGACGTCAACATATCACTAAAATTTCCGGCTTTGATCCAAACATTATTGTGGCCCCTTTGTCAAAAAATGAAGTTAAAAATGCCTTTTCTACATCTTTGTGCTGGCAGACTAATCTCTCTGACTTCATTGGCACTATTGATAATCATTTGCCTAAGTCAAAATTCTTTCAATTTCTACGAAATACTTCCTGGATTCTACCAAAACTTACACATTCATCACCACTAGAGGCAGTCATTACCATTTTTACTGATGGATCCAGTAATGGAAAGGCAGGGTATGCAGGACCAAAAGATCAAGTCATTTCTACTCCATACACTTCTGCTCAAAAAGCCGAGTTGTTTGCTGTTATCTCTGCATTACAGGATTTTGATCAGCCTCTTAATATTGTCTCTGACTCAGCTTATGTAGTCCATGCCACTAAGGCAATAGAAACAGTTACCATCAAAAATATTGCTGACACTATTCTGTTTTCCTTGTTCTCTTTGTTACAAAAGACTGTCAGAAACTGAAACCACCCTTTTTTCATCACTCACATTCAATCTCATCCTAATTTGCCTGGACCTTTATCCAGTGATAATCATAAAGTTGATACTCTAGTTTCTCTAGCCATTACAGATGCAGAACAATTTCATCAACTCACTCATACTAACGCCTCAGGTCTTAAACATAAATATTCTCTCAGTTGGAAACAAGCTAAACAAATTGTACAATGCTGTTCTCAATGTCAGATTCTTGTCTTAGCCACACAATCTCCTGGAGTTAATCCCCAAGGCCTTTCTCCTAATGCTATTTGGCAAATGGATGTTGCTCATGTTCCTTCTTTTGTGCAATTAGCTTATGTGCATGTCACCATTGACACATTTTTCCAATTTCATCTGGGCTACCTGTCAAACTGGAGAAGCCACTTCTCACGTTAAAAAACATATGTTTTCATGTTTTGTGATTATGGGAATTCCCAGTGAGCTCAAAACAGACAATGGTCCAGCCTATTGCAGTAAAGCTTTTAAAAATTTTCTTGATCAGTAGCATATTAAACATATTACTGGTATTCCTTATAACCCACAAGGCCAAGCTAATGTAGAAAGAAGTAACAGAACTCTAAAATTACAATCACTTAAACAAAAAGAGGGGGATAAGGAGTTGTCTACCCCTCACATACAACTAAACTTGTGATCCAGTGATCCAGGTCCGGCTCAACCTCTGCCTCTTCCTGATGACACTGATCCTTCTACACTCTGTCACTCCACAGACTGTTAAAAACTATACATATTGGGCCTATATTCCTTTTCCTCCTCTTATTCAAGCTGTGACATGGATGGATGCTCCTATAGAGGTCTATGTTAATGATAGTATTTGGATGCCTGGTTCTATAGATGATCATTGTCCTGCACAACCTTCAGAAGAAGGAACCCCTTCGGATATCACTTTAGGTTTTAGGTATCCACCTTTGTGCCTGGGACCCACTAATGGATGTCTCGCATTAGATATTCAAACTTGGGCAGTCACACTACCATCTGGTCACTCTGTGCCTCCTTTGGGACACTTGGTATCAGGGCTGTCAGTAAAACCTCTAAGACAGATCAAAACAGGAATCACTGATTGTATTCACACATCCCGATATAACCCTTTAGGATCTGCATGTCTTCTCAACTTGTCTTCAAATGCTAACAAATTAATATGGAAGGATTGTGTTAGTTCAGAAGGAACTGTGTTATTTAATTCTTCTCACTACACCATTGTTGATTGGGCTCCCAAAAGTCATATTACTAATGATTGCTCTCAAGGTCACAGAGATTGTCAACATTTTCTCTATGATATTACTTATCAAAAAAGTAGTGACAACCCTTCCCTTTCATATCTTAGATTTAACTCCTTTTGTCCTTTTAAGTGGAAAGAGGTAGTGGTTGCCCCTCCAAAGCCAAGGCTCATTGTTCCCCACTTACAACGTGAGCATTTAGAATTATGGAGATTAACCACAGCTATGACTGGTATGAGAGTTTGGGCTGGAAAAAGTGTTATAAGTAAATCCACCTTGTCACCTTGAAAACTAAGACAACAGATTAATTTACACTACTATTTCCAAACAGCCAAAAATATCACTATGGCAATCATCAAAAGGTCAATCCAAAGATGGGACAGTAAAGATTATGAGGACTTATACCTCCCCGTTGCTAATGTCCCCCCACCACCTCTCATACAACCTATTCCCCCACCCCACATTCACAAACAAGAGTACCATCCTGAAATATATATACTATCTATATGGAAACTGACAAAACTATACCACTTAAAAGTTGTGTTAAACCACCATATATGTTTTTAGTAGGAAAGATGCATATTAGTTCAAAAACCAACATAATTACCTGTGTTAATTGTTACTTGTATGCTTGTATTGACTCATCCTTTAATCAATATCATAGTATTTTAATACTCAGAGCCAGAGAAGCTATTTGGCTCCCTGTAGCCTTACATAGGCCTCGGGAATCTTCCCTTCTATCTGTGTTATTAACAATATTCTACAAAAAATTCTTAAAAGGAATAAATGATTTATTTTTACATTAATTGCAGTAATAATGGGCTTGATTGCTGTTACTGCGACTGCTGCTACTGCTGGAGTTGCATTACATCAATCTATTCAAACTGTTCATTTATGGATAAATGGCAAAAAAATTCCACTCAGATGTGGAATTCTCAGTCAGGTATTGATCAAAAATTGGCCAATCAAATTAATGATCTAAGACAAACTGTTATATGGATGGGAGATAGAATTATAACTTTAGAACATAGATTACAAATGCAATGTGATTGGAATACTTCTGATTTTTGTATAACTCAGTTTCAATATAATGAGTCTGTTCACAATTGGGAATCAGTAAAACTCCATTTACAAGGAAGTGAAGATAATTTAAGTTTAGACATAAGCAAGCTAGAAGAACAGATATTTGAGGCCTCTCAAGCACACTTAACTGCTTTACCCATTGCTGAAGTTTTAGACGGTATCTCTAAGGGGTTATCTAATCTCAACCCCATTCAATGGGTAAAATCTTTGGAAGGATCCACTATCATTAATTTTGTTCTGTGTATAATTTGTGCTATTGGTTTATTGTTCATGTGTAAAATTGGAAAAAAAATTCTTCAATCCAATCATAATCAGCACCAAGCTATGATTGCTATGGTTCATTTAAATCAGAGAAAAGGGGGAGATGTAGGGAGACCCCCTGAAACTATTGCTACAGAATAAAAGATGAAATGCTCCTGATTATTGTAAATACAAAGTTGCATGCAGGGTCGTGTAAAGACAATGCCATGTTGGACTGCCAGAATGAGCCAACAGTGCTTGATGTGCTTCCCCCTGAAGAGAGCCCATGAACGGATGTGCAGTCAGGGAGGCTTCACATCACCAAGATTCCTTTCCCAGAAAAGCAGATGTTCATAGCTCTGGGAATGGAATGCGACCCTTGTGGAGAGCCTATAAATGGATGCATGAGGGGTGCCTGTTCATATGGATAAGATAGGGCTATAAACGCCCTCATCTTGCCACGGCTCTTCTAGGCCTCTTCAGGGTTAAGGCATACTCCCTTCTGAGAATTTCTGGTCTAACCGGTTGTCTAGCTTCACATCCTGTTTCTACGGATTGTTTGTAACCAGCTTTTGCTGCAACTGTTACTGTTGATTGATATCTTGCTAATCATAGGTTATGGAAAGACTGTGTTTCTGTTTTAAGGCTCTGTTGGAAATTACTGATGCACACACTATACTGTAAATTCTTATCTCTGTATACTGTACTTCTGCATACAGATGTTATGTTAAAGAATTACTTCATCCCCATGTGACCATCTCACCTCATAATCAAACAACCCTAAATCCCTCACTAACCTACCCCCACCCTCACTAAACTTAATAATAAATGCTGGTATATCCAGTGCATTGGCAGCACCATGGGACCAGAAAGTGGTGACCCCCCTGGACCCAGTTTTCACTATCTTGTGTGTGTCTATTATTTCTCGACCTGCTGATCTGCCTGGGGACAAAGAAAGAGCCCCCTTGCATTGTGGGCTGCTGGCCAGATCCTGCACTAGCCAGGGAGTGAGAGGGTGCTTTACTGTGTACATCAAGAGGTGCCCACCATCCTTCTATATGGGGATTAATATCATCCTCTCTTCTCCTGTATATTAGGAACAATGTAACAGGGAGTGTGTGCACCCGCTGCGATATTGGGAGTAATATCAACCTCTACCCCACGGCATGTTGGGAAAAATATACAGAGGGGTTTACACACCCTGTAATATTGGGAGTAATATTTTTCTCTTTTCCCTGTTCATTAGGAACTATATCACAGAGATCTATACACCTCCTGTGATATTGGGATTAATGTTGTCCTCTCTCCCACTGAATATTAGAAACAACATCACACAAGGGTGTACATCCCCTATGATATTGGGGGTAATATTATCCCCTCCCTTCCTGGATATTAGGAACAATATCAAAGGGGTCATGTACACCCCCTGTGATATTGGGAGTAATATCATTCTAATCCTCCTGGGTATTAGGGACAATATTATGGAGGGGCTGTACACCCCTTGCCATATTGTGAGTCATATCATTTATCTTCCCCCGGATATTAGGAACAATATCACAAGGGGTGTGTCCCCTGTTATATTGGAATTATTATCATCCTCTCCCCCATTGAATATTAAAAACAATATCACAGGGGTGTTGTGACCCCTGTGATATGGACAGTAATATCATTGTCTTGCCCCCTAAATATTAAGAAAATTATCACAAGAGGGGTGAACATCCCCTGCGATTTTGGGAGTAATATCATCCTCTCTGCCTTTGGATATTAGGAACAATATCACAGGGGGTGTGTACACCCCCTGCGATATTGGGCATGATGTTATCCTCTCTTTCTTTGGATATTAGGAACAATATCCCGGGGTGGGGGAGAGTAAAACCTCTTTGATATCGGGATTAATAGCATCCTTTCTCTTCCTGGACATTAAGAAGAGTATTACTGGGTGGGTGTAAATCCCCTGCGATATTGGGTGTAATGTCGTCCTCTCTTCCCTAGGATATTAGGAACAATATCACAGGAGGTGTGTACAGCCCCTGCGATATTGGGAGTAATATCATCCTCTCCCCCTGTTGACATAAGGAACAATATCCCAGGGTGGTTGTACATCCCCTGCAATATTGGGAGTAATATCCTCTCTCATCATGGATATTAAGAACAATATTACAAAGGAGGTGTACACTCCCCGTGAT
Organism: Homo sapiens; assembly: GCF_000001405.40. Lineage (NCBI taxonomy): Eukaryota > Metazoa > Chordata > Mammalia > Primates > Hominidae > Homo > Homo sapiens. The sequence goes on along the minus strand of NC_000011.10, from coordinate 43,160,551 downwards.
ATTGAGAGTCATATTATGCTCTCCCCTTCAGGATGTTAGGAACAATATCGCAGGAGGTGTATACAGCCCCTGCGATATTGGGAGTAGTATTATCCTCTCCTCACTGAATATAAGAAACAATATCACAGGAGGATGTACACCCCCCTGCAATATTGGGAGTAATATCATTTTCTTCCCCTCTGGGATATTTGGAACAATATCACAGCGGGTGTGTACACCCCCTGCGATAGTGCCACTAGTATCATCGTCTCCCTCCCGGGATATAAGGAACAATATCACAATTGGGTGTATATGCCTTGCGATATTGGGAGTAATATCTTCCTCTCTCCCGCTGGCTATTAAAAACAATGTCACAGAAGGGGTATACACCCGATGCTATATTGGGAGCAATAGCATCCTATCAGTCCCTGGATATTAGGAACAATATCACTGGGGAGTGTACACCTCCTGTGATATTGAGACTAATATCATCCTCTCACCCCATGGATATTAGGAACAATATCACTGGGGTGGTCTACACCCCCTGCGAAATTGGGAGAAATATCATCCTCTCCACCTTAGGATATTAGGGATAATATCACAGGGGAGGTCTATGCCCCCTGCGATATTGGGAGAAATATCCTCTCCACCTTTGGATGTTAGGGACAATATCACAAGGGAGGTCTACGCCCCCTGTGATATTGGGAGTAATATCATCCTCTCCCCATGAAGGATATTAGGAACAAGATCACAGAAGAAATGTATATCCACTGCAACATTTTGAGTAATGTCGTCCTCTACCCCCTGGCTATTAGGAATAACATCATAGGGGGGTGTACACCTTCTGTGAATTTGGGAGTATTATCATCTTCTACCCCCCGGATATCAGGAATAATAATATTAGTTATTAATATGAATAAATATAATAATAGTAATCTCTGATATTAACCAGAATGACAAAATTAATATTAATTATTAACATTAATGATCATTATAAATAATAGTAATATCATGATTAATAATAAAATAATATCAGTAATTAATATCGATAAAGCAAATTATTAATTAATAAATACTACTGATAATAAAATTGATAATCCATATTAATATTGATAACATGTTCTGAATACATAATATTAATATTAACAATCAATTGTTTGTAATTACAATAACTAATTATTAGCTATTAATATGATATTAGTAATTAATGTATATCAACATTGATATTATTATTAATATTAATAATTAATGTTTTATAATTAATATTATTGCTTCGAATACTCCTAATACTGCAGGGGGTGTACACCTACCCTTAATATTGTTCCTAATATCCAGGGACAGGAAGCATGATATTAGTTTTAATATTCCACTAGGTGTACACTCACCCTGTGACACTGATCCTACTATCCAGGGGATAGAGTATGACATTACTCCCAATATAGCAGTGGGTGTACATCCACCCTGTGATATTGCTCCTAATATTCACGGAAGAAATGTATGATATTACTCCCAATATTGCAGGGAGTGTACCCATCTTCTGTAATATTGTTCCTAGTATCCCGAGGGGGAGAGGATGATAATACTTTCAGTATCGCAGGCTGTGTTCACTCACCCTGTGATATCCTGGGAGGAAGAGGATGATATTACTCCCCATATAGCAGTTGGTGTACACCCACCCTTGGATATTCTTTCTAATATCTATGGAGGGGAGAGGCTGATATTACTCTTAATATCGCAGGAGATGTACATCCACCCTGCGATATTGTTCTTAATATTCAAAGGCTGAGAGGTTGATATTACTCCCAATGTCATAGAAAGGGTACACCCCCGTGTAATATTGTTCTTAATATTCAGAAGGGGAGAAGATGATGTTATTCTCCATATCGCAGGAGGTGTACACCCACTCTGTGTTATTTTTCCTAATATACAGGGGGCAGAGGATAATATTATTCCCAATATCGCAGGGGGTGTGCACCCCCCCGTGATATTGTCTTTAATATTCCAAGGCGGAGAGGATATTACTCCCAATATCGCATAAAGTGTACATCCCCTGGTGATATTGTTCCCATGATCCAGGAGGGAAGAGAATGATATTACTTTCAATATCACAGAAGTTGCACACGCCCCCAGTGATACTGTTCTTAATTTCAACGTGGGAGAGAATGATATTACTCCCAGTGTCGCAGGGGTTATAAACACTCCTTCGATATTGCTCCTAATATCCTGCGGGGGGAGAGGATGATATTATTCCCTATACTGCAGAGGGTGGACACCCGTCTTTGATATTGTTCCTAATTTCTAGAGGGGGACATGATATTACTCACAATATCATAAACACGCTGTGTGCCCACCGTGGATCATAATATTCATGGAGGGATATTACTAACCATATCGCGGGGGGTGGCCATTTGGCCTGTCATATTGTTTCTTATATCCAGGGGGGAGAGTATGATATCACTACTAATATCGAAGAACTGTACACGCCCCCTGTGATATTGTTCCGAATATCCACGTTGGGAGAGGATGACATTACTCCCAATATCACAGGGGTTGTACACCCCGCCTGTGATATTATTCCTACTATCCAGAATAAGACAGAATATTACTCTCAATAGTGCAGGGGGTATACACTTCCTATGTGATATTGTTCTTACTAGCTGAAGGAAGAGAAGATAATATTATTCTTTATATTGCAGGGGGGTGTACATTCCTCTGTGATATTGTTCCTAATATCCAGGGAGAGAGAGCATGATATTACCCCCAATATAGCAGTGGGTGTACACCCACCCTGTGATATTGCTCCTAATATCCAGGGGTAGAGTATGACATTACTCCCAATATAACAGTGGGAGTACATCCACCAGGGGATATTGCTCCTAACATTCAGGGAAGGCGAAAATGATATTACTCCCAATATGGCAGAGAGTGTACAACCCTTCTGTGATATTGTTCCTAATAACCGGAGGGGGAGAGGATATTACTTCCAATATTGCAAGCTGTGTACACCCAAGCTGTGATATTGTTCCTCCCAGGAAGGGAGAGGATATTACTTTCCATATGTTAGGAGATGTACACCTGCGCTGGGATATTGTTCCTAATATCAAGGCGGGGAGAGCCTGATATTACTCCCAGTATCGCAGGAGGTGTACATCTCCCCAGTGATATTTTTCTTACCACTCAATGGAGGGGAGGATGACATTACTCCAGATATTGAAGAAAGTGTAAACCGCCATGTGATACTGTTCCTAATATCCAGAAGGGGAGAAGATGATATTATTCCCCATATCGCAGGAGGTGTACACTCACTCTATGATAGTTTCCCTAATATGCAGCGGGGGAGGGAATAATAATGTTTCCAATATCGCAGGGGTTGTACACCCCCCTATGAGATTGTCCTTAATATTAAAAGACGGAGAGGATGATATTACTACCAATATCGCAGAAAGTGTACACCCCCCGGTGATACTGTTCTCATGATCCAGGAGAGGAATGGATGATATTGCTTTCAATAATACAGAAGGTGTAAACGCCCCCAAAGATGTTGTTTCTAATTTCAATGTGGGAGAAGATGATATGACACCCAGTATCGTAGGGAGTATAAACACTCCTGTGATATTGTCCTTAATATCCAGGGGGGAGGAGGATGATATTACTCCCAATACTGCAGAGGGTGTACATCGTCTGTGAAATAGTTCGTAATTTCCAGAGGGGGAGATGATATTACTCACAATATAGTAAACACTCTGTGTGTCCACCAGGGATTGTAATATTTAGGGGAAGAGAGGGGGGTGATATTACTCCCCATATAGCGGGGGTTGTCCACCCCCTTGTGGTGTGGATCGTAATATCCAAAAGGGGAGAGGGGGGTGATATTAGTCCCCTGTCCACCCCCCTGCTATACGGGGAGTAATATCCTCTCCCTTCCTTGATATTAGGAACAATTTCTCAGGGTGGGTGTACACAACCTGCAATATTGAAAGTATTTTTTTCTCTTTCTTTGGATATTAAGATCAATATCACAAAAGGGGTGTACACTCCCTGCGTTATTAGAAGTAATATCTTGTGTTTCCCTGAATATTTGCAGAATTATCACAGGTTGGGTGTACACCCACTGCTATATTGGGGATAATATCCTACTCTACCCACTGAAAATTAGGAGCAATATCACCGGGGGTGGGTACAGCCACCGTGACATTGGAAATAATATCATGCTCTCCCCCACTAGTTATTAGGAACAATATCACAGGGGGTATGTACACCCACTGCGATATTGGGAATAATAGTCTCTTTCCCGCTGGATATTAGGAACAACATTACAGGGGGTGTGTATAACTCCTGCGATATTGGGAGTATCATCAGCATCTACTTCGCTGCATATTAGGAGTAATATACCGGGGGGGGGGCGTATACCCCCAGCGATATTGGGAGTAATATTATTCTCTTTTCCCCGTGCGTTACGAACTATATCATAGGGGGGCTGTACACCCCCTGCGATATTGGGATTAATATTATATTTTCCCCCACTGAATATTAGGAACAATATCACAGAAGGGTGTGCACCTCCTCCGATATGGCCAGTAATATCATTGTCTCCTTCCCTGGATATTAGGAACAATATCACAGGGTGTGTACACCCCCTGCGCTATTGGGAGTAATATTATTCCCTCTTCCCCTGAATATTAGAAATAATAACACAGTAGGAATGTACACCCCACCCCCTGCGATATTGTGTGTAATATCATCCTCTTTTAACCTGGATATTAGAAACAATATCACTGGGAGTAATATAATTTTCTACCCCTATGGATATTGAGAATAATATCACAGAGGAGGTGTACACCCTTTGCGATATTGGGAGTAATATTATCTTAACCCCTCCTGGACATTAGGAACAATATCACAGGGGTTTATACACCCGCTGCAACAGGGGAAGTGAAATATCCACCTTCCCCCCCTGGATATTAAAAACAATATCTCATGGGGGGTGTATAGCTCATCCCATTTTGGGAGTTAAATCTTTCTTCATTGCTGAAACAATATTACAGGGGTGTTGAACACACCATCTGATAATATCATAGACTCCACCCCTCTGAGATATTGGGAACAATATCAAAGGGGGAGTGTACACTTCCAGCGATATTGGGATTAATATTATGCTCTCCTCCCTGGATAAGAGGAAGAATATCAAAGAAGGGGTGTCCACCCCTTGCGATATTGACGGTAATATCATCCTCTCTCTCCCTGGATATTAAGAACAATACCACAGGATTGGTGTACACTCACTGCGATATTGGGAGTAATATCATCCTATACCTCGTGGATATTAAAAACAATATCACAGAGGGAGTGTATACCTCCTGCAATATGGCCAGTAATATCATTGTCTCTCCCACTGGATATTTCACAGGGGTGTGTTCACCTCTTGCGCTATTGGGAGTAATATAATTCTCTCTTCCCCTGCATATTAGGAGTAATGTCACAGACGGGGTGTACACCTCCTGGTATATTGGCAGTGATATCACTCTCTCCCAACCTAGATATTAGGAACAATATCACAGCGGGGTGTACACCACCTTCGATACTGGTGGTAACATCATCCTCTCCTTCCGTTGAGACAGGAAACAATATCTCAGGCGCGGTGTACACCACCTGCAATATTGAGTGTAGTATCATTCTCTTCCTCCCTGGATATAGGGAACAATATCACAGGGTGGGTGTACACAGACTGTGATAATTGGGAGCAATATCATCCTCTTTCCGGTGAATATAAGGAGCAATATCAAAGGGAGGGTGTACACCCACTGCTATATTGGCAGTAATATTATACTCTACCCCCTGAAAACTAAGAGCAATATCACAAGGAGGCTGTACACCCACTGTGATATTGGGGGTAATATCATGCTGTCCCCCCATGGATATTAGAAACAATGTCACAGCGGAGTGTACACTTCCTGCAGTATTGGGAGTAATATATCCTCTCTTCTCCTGGATATTCGGAACAATATCACAGGGGGGGTGTACACCACCGGCGATATCGGGAGTAATATCATCCTCTCACCCCCTGGATATTAAAAACAATATCACAAGGAGGGTGTTTACCCCCTCTGTTATTCACAGTAATAATCCTCTCCCAACCTGGATATTAGAAACAATATCACAGGGGCAGTGTACACCCCCTTCGATATTGGTAGTAATATTATTCTCTTTTCTTATGGATATAAGAAACTATATCACAGGCGGGGTGTACACCCCCTGCAATATTGGAAGTAATATCGTCCTCTTCTTTCCTGGATATTAGCAGCAATATCACAGGGGATGATGTATTGTTCCTACGATTATGCATATTAATGACATCCACTCCCCCTCTGGATATTAGAAACAATGTCATGCGGGGGTGTACACCCCCTGTGATATTGGGAGTAATATCCTACTCTGACCCCCTGACTATTAGAAACAATATCACAGAAGGGGTGTACACTCCCTGTGATATTGAGAGTAATATCATGCTCTTCCCCCCTGGATATTAGGAAAAATATCATGAAAGGGTATTGGGAGTAATATCAACCTCTCCCCCCAATGGATATTAGGAACAATATCACAAAGTGGGCGTACACATCCTGCGCTATTGAGAATAATATCATCCTCTCTTCCCCGGGATATTAGGAACAATATCACAGGCGGGGTGTACACTCCCTGTGATTTCGAGAGTGATAGCATCCTCTTTTGACCTGGATATTAAGAACAATATAACAGGAGGGGTGTACACCACCTGCGATATTGGGAGTAATATCATGCTCTCCCCCCATGGATATTGAGAACAATATCACAGGGAGGTTTACACCCCCTGATATACTGGGAGTAATATCATCCTCTCCCCACCTAGATTTTAAGAACAATATCACACTGGGGTTGTACACCCGCCGTGACATTGGGAGGAATATCATCCTTCCCCCCATGGATATTATTAAAAATATTGCAAGGGAAGTGTATATCCCCTGCCATATTGAGAGTAGTATTATTTTCTCTTGTGCTGGACATTAGGACCAATATCACGGGGAGGTGCACACCACCTGCGATATTGCCAGTAATATCATAGTCTCACCCCCGGGATATTAGGAACAATATCACAAGGGGGGTATACACGCCCTGCGATATTTGAAGTAATATCCTCCACTCCCCCTCTGGATATTAGGAGCAATATCACACCCTCTCCCAACCTGGATATTAAAAACAAGGGTGTGTACACCCCCTGCGCTTTTGGGAGTAATACCATTTTCTCCTCCACTTGATATTAGGAACAATATTCCAAGAAGGGTGTGCACCCTCTGCGATATTGGGAGTAATATCATCCTATCCCCCACTTGATATTAGGAACAATATCCCAGAAAGGGTGTACATCCTCAGCGATATTGGGAGTAATGTTATTCTCTCCTTATCTAAATATTAAGAACAATATCACGGGCGGGGGGTGTACGCTCCCTATGGTATTGGGAGTAATATCATCCTCTCCCTTCCTGGATATCAGGAACAATATCTCAGGGGGCGTGTACACGCCCTGGATATTAGGAACAATATCATGGAGGGGATGTACACCCCCTGCCATATTGTAAGTCATATCATTCTCTCTACCCTTGGATATTAGGAACAATATCACAGAGGGTGTGTCCCCTGTGATATTGGAATTAATATCATGCTCTCCCCCACGGAATATTAAAAACCATATCACAGTGTTGTTGTCCACCCCTGTGATACGAACAGTAATATAATTATCTTCCCCCCTAAATATTAAGAACAGTATCACAATGGGGGTGTACAACCCCTGCGATATTGGGAATAATATCATCCTCTCTACCTTTGGATATTAGGAACAATATCACGGGGGGGTTGTACACCCCCTGCGATATTAGGCATAATGTTATACACTCCCCCTTAAATATTAAGAATGATATCATAGGGGGTGTGTACAAACCCTTTGATATTGGGAATAATATCATCCTTTTCCTTCCTGGACATTAAGAACAATATCACTGGGTGGGTGTGCACCCCCTGCGATATTGGGAGTAATATCATCCTTTTCCCCCTAGGATATTAAGAACAATATCAGAAGGGGGATGTACAGCCACTGCGATATTGGGAGTAATGCCATCCTCTCCCCCTCTCGATATTAGGAACAATATCGCAGGGTGGTGTACATCCCCTGCAATATTGGGCATAATATCATTGTCTCCCAACCTGGATATTGGGAACAATATCACAGGGGGGGTGTACACCTCCTTCAATATTGAGAGTAATATCATCCTCTCCCTCCCAGATTGTAGAAAAAGTATTGATGGGGTTTTACAACTCGTGCGATATTGGGAGTAATATCATCCTCTCCCCACCTAGATATTAGGAACTGTATCTCAGGAAGCTGTACGCTTCTTGTGATATTGGGAGTAATACCATCCTCTTCCAACATGGATATTAAGAACAATATCACAGAAGAGCTGTTCACCCCCTGTGATATTAAGAGTAATATTATACTCCCCCTTCTGCATATTAGGAACAATATCACAGGAGGTGTGTACACCCCCTGCCATACTGGGAGTAGTATCATCCTTTTCCCCCTGAATATTAGAAACAATATCACAGGGGGATGTACACCCACTGCGATATTGGGAGTAATATAATTTTCTCCCCCTCTGGATACTCAGAACAATATCACAGGTGGTGTACACCTCCTGCGATGTTGCCATTAGTATCCTTGTCTCCCTCCTGGGATATTAGGAACAATATCACAAAAGGGTGTATACCTGCTGGGATATTGGGAGTAATATCTCCCTCTCCCCCGCCAGGTATTAAAAACAATGTCACAGAAGGGGTGTACATGCCCTGCTATATTGGGAGTAATATCATCCTCTCTGTCCCTGGATATTAGGAACAATATCACTGGGGAGTGTACGCTTTCTGTGATATTGAGACTAATATCATACTCTTTCCCCCTGGATATTAGGAACAATATATTGCGAGTAATATCATCCTCTCTGTCCCTGGATATTTGAAACAATATCACTGGGAAGTGTACACCACCTGCGATATTGAGAGTAATATCAGCCTCTTCCCTCCATGGATATTAGGAACAATATCACAGGAGTGGTGTACACCCCATGGGAAATTGGGAGAAATGTCATCCTCTCCACCTTGGGATATTAGGGAAAATAGCACAGGGGACGTCTACAGCCTCCTGCGATATTGAGAGTAATATCATCCTCTCCCCTCCGGATACTGAGGAACAAGATCACTGAAGGGCTGTACACCCACTGCGATATTTGGAGTAATGTCATCCTCTACCCCCTGACTGTTAGAAACAACAGCACAGGGGGGTGTACACCTTCTGCGACATTGGGAGTAATAACATCCTCTCCTCCCTGGATATCAGAAATAATATTGATAATAATTAATATTGATATAATGAATAGTAATTAATGTTAACATTTATAACACTGATAATGATTAATATTAATTATTAACATTAATATTTATAGCAATGATAGTGATTAATATTAATTACCAATATTAATAACTAAACCAATGATAATAGATAATAATATTATTAATATTATGACTAATATTGATCATCAAAATTTTGTTAACATAATAATATTAGCTATTATAAATAGTAATATTGATAACAGTAAAATAATGTTAATAATTAATATTAACATTAATATTTTTAATATAGATGATAAAAATAAATGCTTAATAATTAATAATAATATTACTCCTAATACCACAGTGGGTTTCCACCCACCTGTGATATTGTTCCTAATATCCAGGTGGGGAGAGGATGATATTACTCCCAATATCACAGCAGGTGTAGGCCTCCCCTGTGATATTTTCCGTAATATCTAAAGGTGGAGAGGATGATATTTCTCCTAATTTCGCAGGAAGTGTACACCACTCCTGTGGTATTGTTTCTAATATCCATGGAGGGGAGAGGCTGATATTACTCCCAATATCGCAGGGGGTGTACACCCTCCCAGTGATATTGTTCCTAACATCCAAAGGAAGGAGGATGATATTACTTTTAACATCACAGTTAAGGTACATCCCCACTGTGATATTGTCTCTAATATCCAAGGGGGCAAGTATATTACTCCCATTAATGCAGAGGGTGTACATCCCTTCTGTGATATTGTTTCTAATATCAAGTAAGGGAGAAGATGATATTACTCCCAGTATCGCACGGGGTGTACACCCCACTGTTGTATTGTTTTTAGTATCCAGGGGGGAGAGAATGATATTGCTCCCAATATAGCAGGGGGCGTACACTTCTCCTGTGACATTGTTCCTAAGATTCACGAAAGGAGAGAATGATATTACTCCCAATATGGCTGAGGGTGTATATCCTCCTTGTGATATTGTTCCTTATATTTAGGGCGGGAGACGACAATATTACTCCCAATACCGCAGGGGGTGTACACCCCCCTTGTGATATTGTTCGTAATATCCAGGTAGGGAGAGGATGATATTACTCCCAATATCGCAAGGGTGTACACCCCTCTGTGATATTGTTAATAACATCCAGGGGAGAGAGGATATTATTAATCCCAGTATCGCAGGGGGTGTACACCCCCCGTGATATTTTCTCTAATATCGAGTTGGGGAGTGGGTGATATAAATACCAATATCGAAAGAGGTGTATACCCCTCTGTGATATTGTTCCTAATATCCAGAGGAGGAGAGGTTGATATTACTCCTAATATCGCAGGAGTTGTACACATTTGTTGTGATATTTTTCCTAATATCCGGGGAAGGGAGAGAATAGTATTACTCCCAACATCGCCGGTGCTTTACACTTTCCTGTGATATTGTTCATAATTTCGAAAGGTAGATATGATATTACTCCCAATATTGTAAACACACTGTGTGGACACTCCCCTCTCACATGGCTCGTAATATCCGGGGGGGAGGGGGATTCTATTACTCCCCATTTGGTGGGGGGGGGATGGACACCTCCCTGTCATATGGCTTGTAATATTCAGGTGGGGAGAGGGGGGTGATATTACTCCCCATATGGTGTGGGGTGGACACCCCCCTGTCATATGGCTCATAATGTCCAGTGGGGGAGAGGATGATATTACTCCTAATATCGAGGGGAGTGTGCACCCCTTCTGTGATGTTGTTCCTAAAATCCAGAAAGAGAGAGGATGAGATTACAAGGGGATGTATAACCTCCCTGTGATATTGTTATATTGTTCGTAATATTTAGGGAGAGAGACGACAATATTACTCCCAATATCACAGGAGCTGTACACCCCCTTGTGATATTGTTCCTAATATCCAGGTGGGGAGAGGATATTACTCCCAATATCACAGGGTGTACACCCTTCTGTGATATTGTTCCTAATATCCGGGGGGAAGAGAATGATATTATGCCCAATATCACAGAGGGTGCTCACCCCCTCGGTGATATTTTTCCTAATATTCAAAGGGGGAGAGGATGATATAACTCCCAAAATCGAAGGTGGTGTACACCCCCTTTGTTCTCCTAATATCCAGGTGGGGAAGAGCGTGATATTACTTCCCATATGGCAGAAAGTGTACACCACCCTTGTGATTTTTCTTTAATATTCAAAGAGGCAGAGGATGATAATACTTTCAATATTGCAGGGTATGTACAACCCCTTGTGATATTGTTTGTAATATCCAGGAGGTGAGAAAATGAAATTACTCTCAATGTCAAAGAAGGTGTACATCCCCCACCCTGTGATATTGTTTCTAATAACCATGAGGGAAGAGGATAATATTCCTTCCAGTATCGCATGGGGTGTACACCCTCCCAGTGATATTGTTCCTGATATCCAAAGGAAAGAGGATGATAGTATTCCCAATATCACAGTTAAGGTATATCTCCCCTGTGATATTGTATCTAATATCCAAGGGTGTTATTATTTGGATATTATTACTTCCAATTACTTGGATGATATTACTCTCAATAATGCAGAGGGTGTACACCCCTTCTGTGATATTGTTTGTAATATCCAGTAAGGGAGAAGATGATATTATTCCCATTATCACAGAGAGTGTACACCCCCCCGTGATATTTTCTCTAATATCGAGTGGGGGAGTGGGCAATATTAATATCAATATCGAAAGAGGTGTACACCTCTCTGTGATATTGTTCCTAATATCCAGGGGAGGAGAGGATGATATTACTCCCAATATTGCAGGAAGTGTACACCTTTGTTGTGATATTTTTCCTAATATCCGGGGAAGGGAGAGAATAATATTACTCCCAATATAAGAGGTGCTGTACACCTTCCTGTGATATTGTTCGTAATTTTGAAAGGGGGATATGATATTACTCCCAATATTGTAAATGTGCTGTGTGGACACCCCCCTTTCATATGGCTTGTAATATCCAGGGTGGGGAGAGGAGGGTGATATTACTCCCCATATTGCGTGGGGTGGACACCCCCCTGTCATATGGTTCATAACATCCAGGGGGGAAGAGGAGGGTGATATTCCTCCCCATATGGCGGGGGCTGGACACCCCCCTGTCATATGGCTCATAATATCCAGGGAGGGAGGAACTTATTACTTTCAATATCGCACGAGTGGTACACCCCCCTGTGATATTGTTTCTAATATCTAGGATGGGAGAGTATGCTATCACTCCCAATATCGCAGCGGCTGAACACCCCTTCTGTGATATTGTTCCTAATATATAGAAAGGGAGAAGAAGATATCATTCCCAATATCGCATGAGGTGAACACCTTTTTTGTGATATTGTTCCTAATATCTGGGGGGTGGAGTGAAGACGATATTACTCGCAGGAAGTGTACACCATTTTTTTGATATTGCTCGTGATATCTAGTGTTGGAGAGGATGATATTACTTACAATGTCACAGGAAGTGTACACCTCCCTGTGATATTGTCCCTAATATCCAATGGGGGAGAGGATAATAGTATGCCCAATGTCGCAGTGGGTGTACACACCCTGCCTGTGTGATATTTTTCCTAATATCCAGGTGCGAGATAATATTACTCCCAATATCTCAAGGGGTGTACAACACCCCATAATATGGTTTGTAATTTCCAAAATTGAAGAGAATAATATTACTTCCAATATTGCAGAAGGTGTACAACCCCCTATAATAGTGTTCACAACGTTGAAGAGGATTATATAAATGCCAATATCACCCTCATGCCCTCCTTTGCAAAAGGCAGATTCTCAACTGCAACTGGCCCCAGTCTCAGGGGAAGAAATCTAAACCCTTACACAAAATTGAGGTCTTGACTATTACTTAGAACTGATATTTTAATTTTACTAAATTGAGGCTACATTGTATGACATGAAATAGCTAAATAACTTTACGTACGTGTGTGGTAAAAAGCACCTAAGATAAAATTTACCATCGTAACTGTTTTTAAGCATACAGTTCAATAGTGTTAAGTACATTTACATGTTTCGCAATGGAGCTCCAGAGCTTTTTCATCTAGCAAAATTAAAACTCTATATCCATAAAAAAAAAAAACTCTGAACAATGAGAACACATAGACACAGGGAGGGGAACATCACACACTGGGGCCTGTTGGGGGGTAGGGAGCTAGGGGAGGGATAGCATTAGGAGAAATACCTAATGTAGATGACAGGTTGATGGGTGCAGTAAACCACCATGGCAAGTGTATACCTATGTAACAAACTTGCACATTCTGCACATGTATCCCAGAACTTAAAGCATAATAAGAAAAACAAGAAAACAAACAAACAAAAAAACCCAACTCTTTTCTGCTTTCCACCCTCCCCGCCAACAGCCTAGTCCCTAGTAATCACCATTCTACAGGCAAAGAACTTTTTATATTTCCTGACAGTGACCAGAAAGGCATGGGTGGGGACAGAGTGGGTGGTTGTGCATGTCCTGCGTGAGTTTTGGGGGATGATGGAGTAAGATCCCCAGAGAGTAGATCTAAGGACACAGTGAGAGACAATAGAGTTGCCTGTTTCCCCTAATGGTTAAACTTAGTTACAGATCTGTGTCTGCTACTGGGCAGGGTTTGTCTTAGTTGTCCTATCCTCGGTGTCTGGCATGGAGCCTGCCACGTAGTACGCATTCAATAGAGATCTGTGAATGAATGGATGCATTTTATGTAACTGTCACTGTTTTGCAAAATGTATGTTTGTCGTAAGTTTTCATAAAAGATTCTAGAAGATAGAATACTTGGAGTCAGTATAACTTGAAGTCAATAGATCCTGACAGGAGGAACTTGGGAGAGAGTGAAAAAGATGAGAGAAAGTGGAATAGGGTGAAGTATTCTTGCTGCATGCTGCTTTCTTGTTTCTCTCCTTCACTAAGGAGGGGAGCCATCCTTCCTTGCGCCTCTAACCCCAGTGCTCCTGCCTACACACGTTTCTGCCTCCCAGTTGCTAATTCAGCCTGCTGTGAATGCCCCTGCCAGTGTCCCTTCCCCAATCCAGAATAACCCCATTTCTGTGTGTGGCGAACCTTTGGCCATGCAGCTGCTGGCACCATGCACAGCCTTCCTGGCCATGTAGCTGGCTCTCCAGTGCACTGCCCCTGGAGAAACCCCTCCTCTCTGCCCCTTCTCAGCTCTAGTGTGGACATGCCCTGCTTTTGCCCTCTCTGTTCATCCAGTACCCTGAACCTGTTGGGGCCCAGCACCTAAAGGGGGAACTTCTTTCATTTTCCATTTCCTCAGATTCAAAAAACAAAAACCAAAAAACCCCAGCACAGCCTGACTCATTGTAGGCATTCAATATGTGTTCATTTCTACCTTCACCTCCTCAGAACACAGCCTCCAAGCTGCTGGCCTCTAAGCAGTCCATGCACTGGCTTCATCCTCTCCAAGCGTCCCTTTCACAATGGGGCCCAGAAATGTCAGGGGCAACAATGTTTTTCATAGCACAGCCTTTGAAATTCTGCCTCCAGCCTTGTTCTCTGGTCCAGCCAATCTCCTCACTGTCCTAGCCCAAGCCTTGCTGGCCCTGGACTCCCTGAGTTGTTTCATCAGCCCCCAGTACCCACCCTACTCCGTCTCTGGTCAGATCCTATGCTCCCTTCCCGGCCCTGTTCACAACCCACTGGCCCTAAGGCAGCTTCCCTGGTCCTTGCCATCTCACTGATCACACTTTCCTGCACATTTCTGTAGCATTTAAATCCAGAACTCTCCCATATGTCACTCATTTTATATTATTGTTTCATTTTGTATTATTTCCTATTATTTTACAATTGCTAGCCTTTTCTCCCTGCGGGGGCTTTGTATTATCTCAACTTAGTTAAGCCAGAACTATGTTTCCCAGAGTCTCTTTCCCTGTATGGCTCTGGATTAAGGTTGGCCAAAGGAGAAATTTGCTCAAGAATTGGAAGGCAGAAGGAAAGCAGCAACTGTGATGTTCCAAAGGTCAATGTCGAGCACCTGGCACAGGTCGCTGCAGAGCTACGTCCCATCTTGCAGATGTGGGTCCACAGCCAGAACCCTTGCTCCTAGAGCTCTACCTGATCCCATCTCTCGGCTCCCAGAGTACCAGGCAGGCACGTGTGCAGCTCTGTGGCAGAGGGTGCCATCTTCTTATTCTGATCGTTACCACCAAAGAAATTGGAGGTGGTGACAGACAGGCGTGGGTTTTAGTTTGTCTTTGTGGGTTCTAGTTGATTCTCATGGGTTCTGGTTTGTCCTTGCTTTCTCCCACATTATGTGCAGCTTTTCTTCCCGACTGATGGCCTTGTTGACCTGCAGTGACTTCTGGCCACCACCAGACACAAAGGCAGCCTTCCATAGACTTCTTCATCAGCTCCCACAATTGCATAAAGTCTAATTTGTATAATAAATTCCTTATTGCATATCATGCAAGTAGTTCTGCTTCTGTGATTTAATTCTAACAGATACATTCCCCCTTAGGTTATAGACACCTTGAAGAAAAGGGCCAGTGGTTCATGCTTGTAAAATCCCAGCACCTCGGAAGGCCAAGGCTTGAGGATTGCCTGAGCCCAGGAGTTTGAGATCAGCCTGGGCAGATAGAGCAAAAAAGTTAACTGGGCATGGTGGCATGTACCTGCAGTCCTAGCTACTTGGAAGGCTGAGGCAGGAGGATCACTTGAGCCCAAGTTAGAGGCTTCAGTAAAGTATCATCACACCACTGCATTCAAGCCTGGGCAACAGAGTGAGACCCTCTCTCTCTCTCTCTCAAAAAAAAAAAAAAAAAAAAAAAGAATGATATCCCTTTTCCCCCTGGAATCTATGCCTGTGATCAGCAAAATCTTATTTTAGACTTTATGGACCACATAAAGTCTCTGTTGCTTCTCTCCACCTCTGCTGCCCTTCCCTTCCCCACTTCCTTCTTCTAGTACTACTATTTCTTCTACTTCTTCTCTACTTCCACTTTTCCTCCTCCTCTTCCTGCTTTATTTTCTTCTCCTCCGTTTCTTCTTCCCCTTCTTCCTACTCCTTTACAACTTTTAAAAAATGTAAAACTATTTTTAGCTTACAGACCATACAGAAGCAGGCCACAGTTTTTGGATCCTTGGTGTATTCTAGACCAATCATTCTCAAAGAAGTGGCACTGCACTCTAGAGAGTATTTTTTTTTGGTGGGGGGCAGGCACAGTGATTGGTGGTATTACTACATTTATTAGGCAAGGTCTAGGGATGATGAACATCCTGGAATATACCAGGCAGTCCCACCCAAGAAGGAAAAGCACATATAGTATTCAAACTCAAGTCACCCAAATAACACCTCTGGCAGTGGTCTGCATCTGTAGCTGTCAATTCCATAGTGATTTATGTGTTTAAATGTAAACATCTGACTACTTCTTCATCTTGCAGGTTAGTTTTGCCTGAGCATTTGAACAATTTTCAAACTTTATTTCTTTAAGTATTTTTTTCTGTTCCTCCTCCTCCCAGGAATTCCAAATACACTTATATTAGGTGGCTTAAAGGTGTCCCACAGCTTCATGATGATCTACTTTTTTTTTTTTTTTTTTTTTTTTTTTTTTTTTTTTTTAGTATTTTTTCTCCTTGTGTTTTATTTTGGATAATTTCTATCGCTATGTTTTAAAATTCACTTGTATTTTATTCCGCAATTTCTTTATTTTATATTTTTTTTATTTTTTATTTTTTTTGAGATGGAGTCTCACTTTGTTGCCCAGGCTGGAGTGCAGTGGTGCTTCTTGACTCACTGCAAGCTCTGCCTCCCAGGTTCATGCCATTCTCCTGCCTCGGCCTCCCCAGCAGCTGGGACTACAGGTGCCTGCCACCACGCCTGGCTAATTTTTTGTATTTTCAGTAGAGACAGGGTTTCACCGTGTTAGTCAGGATGGTCTCGATCTTCTGAACTCATGATCCTCCCACCTCGGCCTCCAAAGTGCTGGGATTACAGGTGTGAGCCACCGCGCCCAGCCATTATTCTGCAATTTCTAATCTACTGTTAGTTCCATCCAGTGTATTTTTCATCTCACACACTGTAATGTTCATTTCTAGAAATTCAATTTGGGTTTTTTCCTATATCTTCCATAGTTTAAAAGCCCAATCTTTACTCTAGCTTATGGAACATATGAAATACAGTTACATCAATGCTTCAAGCATACTTATCTGCTAATTTTATTATCTTATCTACTAATTCTATCATTGATTTTTATCCTCATTATGTGTCATATTTTTTGCCTCTTCACATCAATGATGATTTTTGATTAGATGACAGAGATCACCAATTTTACCTTATTGGCTTCTTGCATGTTTTTATATTTCCATAAATATTCCTGAGCTTTGTTCTGTTATACAATTAGGCTACCTGGAAAATTTTGAGCCTTCCAGACCTTGCCTGTAAGTTTTGATAGGTGATAAGAATAGTATTTGGTCTAGGGTTGTTTTGCTCACTACTGGGCAGAACCCTTCTAAGTACTCTCTCTTCATGAATTATGAGATTTTCTATTCTGACTGATGTTAACAGGGACTGTTCCCTGTGAGCACTGGGAATCCTCTAACCCCTTTAATCTTTGCAGATGATTCTTTTTCTATTCTCAGGCAGTTTTCTTTCCTTTTTTCTTTTCTTTTCCTTTCTTTACTTTTTTTTGAGATGGAGTCTTGCTTTGCTGCCCAGGCTGGAGTGCATGATCTCGGCTCACTGCAATCTTGGCCTCCCAGGTTCAAGCGATTCTCCTGCCTCAGTTTCCTGAGTAACTGGGACTACAGGCGCCTGTCACCACGCCCAGCTAATTTTTGTATTTTTAGTAGAAATGGGGTTTCACCATGTTGGCCAGGATGCTCTCGATCTCCTAACATTGTGATCCACCTGCCTCAGCCCCCAAAGTGCTGGGATTACAGGTGTGAGCTACTGCGCCCGGCCTCTCAGGCAGGTTTCTTACCTGCATACTCTGATCACTATTCCGTTAAATAGTCAAGGAGGATATGTATTCTCTTCAGATTTCCAGAGCTCTGTCTCTGTACAGCCCTCTCCTCCTCAATATTCTGCCCTGTGAATTCTAGCCACATTGGCCTTCCCAGACTTACAGTTCTGTCTTCTCAACTCAGGAAGATCTCTGAGCTCCATCTGCATTCTTCCTTCCCGTGCTGTGGCCTGGAAACTTTTGGGACTAGCCTCCTTTGTTTCTCATCTCTTGAGGATCACTGCCCTTTGTTGCTTGATTCCAGTGATTGATTCCCTTTGTTGCTTGAGGGCCATAGTTTCATATATTTTGTCCAGTATTTTTGTTGTTTTAGGTCAGAAGGTAATTTTGGTCTCTGTTACTCCATCTTGGCCAGAAGCGTAAGTCACTTACCTATGCATTTATATGTCAAAATACTGCATATATAATTTTAGTTTAAGCTACTTTTTAAAAATCTCCTTCATTTTCCATTTAGCATTCTTTTTAGGTTATTACATTGATTTTTTGGAAATTCTGTTACTGGCAGTTTCTATTGCCTATCAATTTCATTTAAAGATAGTGCATAGGATATTCTAAAATAGCTGTTAAACAAAGAGAAAATCGGGCCTGATAGGGTGAGAATCACAGCTCTAATACCTAGAGTGACTTTATAATGTATTGTCCAAAGGAGATACTTTTGACAGTGAAAGATGGTGTTGTTAGTAATTATATCAGGACCATGGCCTAAACCAGGACTATCCCAGGCAGCCTGGGAAATATTTGTATCCCATCTCTATTTTATGCCTTTATACAATTCTTTACTGAACTCTAAAGCCTTTATTGAGCCTGCTTTCTTTGTCCAGCTGAGTGTCACGTGCTGACATCACTAAGATCAATAAGGCAAACTCTGAAAGATGGACAGAGAGACAGGACATGGTCCTTTATAATGCAGTGTGATCTGTGCTCCAATAGAGGTGAGCACAAGGGCCTTATGAAGGCTCAATGAAGAGCATGTTTGATGGCAGGGGAGGGTACTTAGGGTAGAGAAGATGAGTCGAAGTATGTTCATAGGGACCGTGGGATAAGAGGTGGTGGGAAAGGTATTCCAGACAGTGTGTGTCAAGGCCAAGAGCCAGGGGAACACAGGTAGGACTTTTTTTTTCTTTCTCTCTCTCTTTTTTTTTTTTTTTTAAATTCTGAGATGGAAGAGTGTGCTGCTTGGCCGGAAAACAACATACATGGGAAGCTGTATGGAAATGAGTGGAGAAAGGTAATACTTACGGCAACAGCAGTTAATATTTAGTGCCCACTTACTACATGCTGGACACAGTTCCAGGTACTCTCAACATATTCGCTCATTTGATCATTACAACAGCGCTATGAGGTAGGTACTGTTATTATCCCCATTTTCAGATGAGGAATCTGAGGCCCAGAGAGAGTAAGTACATTGCCCAGGGCCACACAGCAAGTATGTGGTAGGTTCTGGAGCTGAATGCAGAGTCCCTTCACTCTAAGCTCCTGAGAGCCAGATGCTATAAGGCCTTGTTATTCCAAGTGGAGGAATGCTAAGGACGTCATCCTGCAGGCGACCAGGAACCCCTGAAGCATTTGAAGCAGGGGAGTGACTTAAAACTAGGTGGTGGATATACCTAATGCTAAATGACGAGTTAATGGGTGCAGCACACCAACGTGGCACATGTATACATATGTAACAAACCTGCACGTTGTGCATATGTACCCTAAAACTTAAAGTATAATAATAATAAAATTAAAACAAAAAAAACAAAAAAACAAGGTGGTATAAGAAAGTGCTCCCAGAGCAGCATCAAAGTTGGGTGTAGTGGATGTCTCCACTAGTCACAAGAGGTAGTAAGAAGTTGAGCTAAAGCAGCTGCAGCAGGGATGCAGAGGATGCATTCCCTGAACCCTTATAGGCAGAGTCCTTTGGCCTCAGTGACTATGGCGAAGGGTGCAGGGGAGAAGCCCAAGAAGATGCCAGGTGTCTGGCTTATGCCCCTGTGTGAATGTGAAGCCTCTCATAGACATTCCGGTTACAGGAGGAAAAGCAAGTTTATTTGGGAAGGAGGCTTCTAGACCATGACTTCCATTTTAGCCATGTAGTTTTTGAGGTGCTTGTAGAAGTTCTAAGTGGAAATGTTCAGGAAGCAGTGGGGAACTCAAAAGTAGATCTCAGGAGAGATGCTTGGGCTAGAGGGCTTGGGGAATCATCAGCATGGGGGGTAGGAGGAGAGCTGGTATTTGGATGAGATTGCAGTGGAGCATGAATAGAGTGGGAGGATGTGGTGATGAACCCAGGGACTCCACTGTGCGGTAGATGGCTGTGAGATTAGGAAGCAATGAAGGAGGCCAAGAAGGATGTTGGGGAGGAGCAACAACAAGGAATAAATGAGTCGCATGTGCTCCAGAGAGGCCAAATAAAGACTGGATTTGGCTCTCACAGGTCATACATGAAAGAATCTTGGAACAAAAAGGAAAACCGCAGTGGTTTAAGGGGTATATTCAGTTTCTAGGTCTGCTGTCACAAAATAACAGAAACTAGGTGTCTTGATAAAACAACAGAAATTTATTCTCTCACAGTTTTGGAGGCTAGAAGTTCAAAACAAGGTGTAGGCAGCATCACGCTCTCTCTGAAGATGCTAGGAAGAATCTGTTACATGCCTTTCCATTTGCTTCTGGGGTTTCTGCAAGTCCTGACATTCCTTGGCTTGTAGACGCATCATCCAGTTCCCGCCTCTGTCATCACATGGCTTCCTCTCTGTGTGTATGTCTGTGTTCCCTCTCCTCTCCTTCTAAGGACACCAGTCATAGTAGATTAAGGGTCCACTCCTAACCAATTACATCTGCAACAACCCTATTTCCAAATAAATTCGTATTCTAAGATTCCTAGGAAGAACATGAATTTTTGGGAGTGTGTGAATACAGTTCAACCTGGGACATGGAGTAAATAAATGGCCAGGAAGGTTACAGATTACTTTAAGCTAGAGAGGGAGATAGGGTTAAATGAATGTATGACTTTTTTTTTGTTTTTTCCAGGATGGGAGAGGTTTAAACATGTTACTACATTGAGTAAATGAAAGAGCCATGGATGTGGAGAGGCTAAAGATTCTGAACTAAGCGCAAGTAATTGACAGCATAAGCTCCCAAGGTGCTGGGGCCTGGAGCGCAGATGGATGGATCAACAGTGGGCAGAACTGGAGCATGGGAGGGTTGTGCAGATGCAGATGTGTTTGAGGGTGGGGGGCCAGAAGCTGAGTGGGGTGAAGTGTGACAGGGCAGCTCTGAGCACCCTGGAGGTGTTCACCAAGCAAATCAAGAGCAGATGGCAGAGCAAGCAGCTGAAGTAACAGCTTGTGAAATCAGCCCTACTTTGTGGGGAGAGGATTAGTTAAGGATTCCAGCCATTGGAACAAAGAAGGGGAGGATAATCTGTTCATGCCTATTATGGGGCTTTGGGGGAGCAGTTTTAGCCTCAACCCGGAGAATGTTTTAGAAGGCCAGAGAGAGGAGGCCTGCGATCATGTGAGCCGACCCCTCACTTTGAGATGAAGTGTCCACACAGCAGTAGCGCCGCCTTCTATGTAGTGGTTCTAGAGTGTGGCAATCTGGAGGGGTCATTATGGAAAAGGGCTGAAGTATAAGAATGTAGGCCCAATACTGAGATAGAAAGAGGATTCTCCGAGATGACTTAGGCAGGGTGGTGGTGGTGGAGGTAGATGTAAAAAGCCCTCTGCTGCCTCAGTCCCAGCATGGAATTCAATTTGTCAAGAGCTGAGCCAACCGTATTAGCCTTAATTTATTCCTCAGGTGTGGAGAATACTCCTCAAGATGCATTCAAAGTATAAGCTACCCCTTCCTCAGGGGAGGACTGCCCAGAAGATTTGCAATTCTGTCATTTGGAAAGTCTCTGATGTCTCCCTCAGCTCTTCTCACTCTTTTGCTTCAACACATGTTAAGACCAGGCCCCTTAACTGTAGAATCAGCATGAAAAACAAGTAGGTTTCAGGAAAAATTATCCCAAATGGAATCTCTACTGTACTGTTTATCAGATGGAAAGCTTAAAACAGTGTAAGAGTTTTTACAGTTTTATATCACACCAGTTTTGTGTCCATAGACGGGCTTTTTCTAGATCAAACAGGTCAATTGTCCTTTTGATCCTGGCCTAAAATCTGAGTAGATAAAAAATATTTTAGGAGAGATGAGATTCTAACCCTTAATGGCAAAAAGCAGGGCTGAGCCCTAGGCCCATGTTTTTACACATATTATACAATTGAATGTGTTGTGCTACAGCTGGAACACTAGTTCTCAACCAGGGGCGATTTTGCTTTCCCGAGTATGTTGGCAATGTCTGGAGACACTTTTTTTTCCATTTTCAAAAATTGTGACAAAGCACCTAACATAAAATTAGCCATTTGAACCATATCATGTGTATAGTTCAGTGGCATTAAGCACATTCACACTGGTGTGCAACCATCACCACCATCCATCCATATAACTCTTCTCATTCTGCAAAACTGAGACTCTGTACCCATTAAACACTAACTCCCCATTTCCCTCTTCTCCTAGCCCCTGACAACCATCATTTCACTTTCTGTCTCCATGATTTTGACTACTCTAGGTACCTCACATAAGTGGAATCATACTGGTGGAGGCATTTTTCATGGTCACAACTTGGGGTGGGGTGCTGCTGGTGTCTAGTGGGTAGAGGCTAGGGAGGCCACTCAACATCCTGCAATACACAGGACAATCCCCACAAGAAAGCATGTTCTCACTCATAGGTGGGAATTGAACAATGAGAACACATGGACACAGGAAGGGGAACATCACACACTGGGGCCTGTTGTGGGGTGGGGGGAGGGGGGAGGGATGGCATTAGTCGATATACCTAATGTTAAGTGATGAGTTAATGGGTGCAGCACACCAACATGGCACATGTATATATATGTAACAAACCTGCACGTTGTGCACATGTACCCTAAAACTTAAAGTATAATTAAAAAAAAAAGAAAGCATTAACTCCAAACATCAATCCTACCAAAATTGAGAAACTCTACGCTAGAAAAATCCCATTAATAATCTCAAGCCATGGAGACTAGTTATGTTGCAATAAGAAACCACCTCCAAATTTCTGTGGCTTAACACAACAACTCATTTTTTTGTGCTAACATGGAGCATCCTTAATCAGCAATCCAGGCTGGTGGGAGTTCCATCCTGACCTGGGCTTCCATGATGACTGAAGCAGGAAAAGGATCAGTGATAAATTGTGCACTGGCTTTTAAAGCTCCCATCGGAAGTGTCCAGGTCATTTTTGGTCACATTTTCTTGGCCAGATCAATGCACAGGTCCACATCTCACTTCAAAGGGAGTAAGAAAGTGCATTTTTACTCTGAAGAAGGACAACCACCACACCTAGCAATTAAAAATAAACTTCATAGTGTTATCACCTGCTTGAAGTGCTGATACCAGAGCAAGCCTACCAGTAGGAGTGGTGCAGGCTGCAGGGTTTTTTTTTTTTTTTTTTTTTTTTTTGAGACTGCACTCCAACCTTACTCTGTCACCCAGGCTGGAGTACAGTGGCATGATCACAGCCCATTGCAGCCTTGACCTCCCCAGCACAAGCAATCCTCTCACTTCAGCCTCCTGAGTAGTTGAGACTACAGGTCCGTGCCACCATGCCTGGCTAATTTTTTGTATTTTTTTGTAGATATGGGGTTCTACCATGTTGCCTAGGCTGGTCTCAAAATCCTGGGTGCAAGTGATCCACTTGCCTCGGCCTCCCAAAGGGCTGGGATTCCAGGTATGAGTCACCGCACCCGGCCCAGGCTATATTTAATGTGGCGTGTGTGTGCTGCCCACAAGAGTCATTCTGTGGCTACCTTGTTCTGCATCTTCATGTCTTGTGATCAAACTGGCCTCTGCCCTACTTCCAAAGTTTCTCTCTGCTTCTGCCTTATCTCCTTTTTGAAACTTTAGATTACCTGCTTCTTCAACTGCAGACCTGCCTCTTCTTTTGGGCCTGATGTTATCTCCTTTTGGCCTCAACACACTCAGATAACCTGAGGCACCTCTGCTTAAGCAGATGACTTTGTGTCAGAACTTTCTGACAAGTGATTTAGCAGCAACTATGCTGAGACTTAGGTGATTGTGTTTGGAAGGTATTTCAAATATTTAAATGAGTAAAATCCTTTTTCTCCATCCAATAGGTCATTTTTTAAAAAGAGGGTGGCTTTTCATCCTGGCTGTACACTAGGGTCACTGGAGAGCTTTTAAAAATATTCTCCATTTCAAGCCATTCTGAATTAATTGTTTGGGTTTTTTATAAGAAGACTGAGAATTACAGGTTGATCCCTTCAGTTGGAGCACATTTTGCATGCAATTCATCCTGGTTGGTCCCATGAAGAACTCATCTCTTTAGGAATTGGAGACTCTTTTTTGAGAAGGCGGTTGATTGGTAACTCCTGCTCTTAAATCCGTTATTTTTTTTCCTTTTCTCCATTGTAGAGCCCAGAACTGTGGGGCCTTAATCAAATAAGAAACTTATTCAAACATGTCAGATGATTTTAAGGTATTTTTAAAGGAAAATTTTTACCCTACCTTGAGTATTCTTGTGGAATACTCACTTC
This sequence comes from Homo sapiens, assembly GCF_000001405.40. Lineage (NCBI taxonomy): Eukaryota > Metazoa > Chordata > Mammalia > Primates > Hominidae > Homo > Homo sapiens. The sequence goes on along the minus strand of NC_000011.10, from coordinate 43,135,565 downwards.
CATGTGGCAGTGAAATGGGCCTTTGCCTAAGTGAGAAGAAAAAGAATATCCATCACTTCCTCAGGGGCTCCTGTGTAATTAGCATTGCACTGAAAAATTTTTACGTATATTATTTAAAATCCTAGACACAACCATGCAAGGTTGGTATTATTATTGCCTCTGTTTTGCAGCTGAGGAAATCAAGGTCCAGAATGATCAAGCAATATCGCACAGGTAAATTGGTAGATTTGGGCTTGAAACCCATATCCATAAATTGAAAGCTCTGGGTCTTTTTATTACATCATGCAACATAAACTGAGGACAATTCAGGACAAGTTGGAGTCAAGACTTTACCCCCTATAATTATAAGTTCTGACTTCTAGATATCTGGAGCAAAATGTGCATGGTTTCCTATACACTCAGCAGTGCCCTCAATGGCCATTTCAGACTCTCTAGCATCCAAGCACCCAGTAGAAAGACTGTCTAATGGATGTATTAACTTTCTGGGCCTCTAGCTTTCCTAAACTCTGTCTCTACTAAAGCAAATCCTCACAGGCATGTCTCTGACCACACTATCTTAGATATAACTCCAGAAAAGCCTCCATAAAAATAAATATTACTGGTATACCCTCCACTTCTATTGAGATCCAGACCCCTGACCCAGATGAAATGATTGCTCAGAGTAGGCATGGGGATGACTTTTAAAGGGGACCATGATGCTAACTTGAGGAGGAATATTAAGAAGAACCGGTGGCTGAGATCCCAGTGGTCACTCCAGAGTTTGTATGGGAGAGTGAGGGGCTTAGGATGGTGATTGGAGTAGAGGGTTGGAGGGCTGGAGAGTTATCTTGTTCAGTGCTTGCATACCCAGCACAGCATTTTCACCTCCATCGTGTATTTATTTGGGTGACTTCGGTAGAGGGCCACTGGAGTTTAAAGGGGTTTAAAGCACTCCAGTTACCCCAGGGCACCACCATTGTGAGATATGGAGTCAGAAGGAAATTGTAGTCAGTGATGGTGACATTAAGATGTTTGGGTTGAAAGGGAAGTTATTTCGATGACAAGTACCTGAACAAGCAACTTTCAAGAACACACATTTGGAGACATTTTCCATGGTGTTTTTAAGTCTCCTGTTACAGGGCCCATGTAATAAAGTTCTCTTTTAGCTCATATTCTCTGGCTAACTAAGACAGTCACTGCTCAACTTTCAGCTTCTAAAATGTTGTTGGCTTTTCTCCTCTGCTCATACTTCTCCAATTTCCTTTGTCCTTATGGGATCATGTCATTTAAAACACTCCTCTTCGTGGTTTTGGGAGGAAGTTGAGACAATGCCACATTTCTCCATAGGGGTTTGGGCATCTTTCATGGTCCTCTTCTATATCTGGATATTTGTGTATTTTTCTTCCTCAGCAGAAATGCCCATCTCATGGGCCTGCCAATGGGGAGTGTTCCTGACTTCAGGGTGGATTTTATTGGATTTGTACCTGGAGTGGCTGGAGGAGAACATGTTCTGAGGGGTGAGTGCACATTGTAGGAAAAGGTGCATTCAACTCCCATCAGGCATGGGGAGCAAGAACGCTTAGACAGGAGACACAGAAAGGCATGAGGGACAGGTCAGGAATGAATGCCTGAGGAGGAATGAGGCTGAAGGGCTCGAGAGCCAGAAGACCATAACCATATCAGAGACCTCAGAAACTCACTCTTTTTTTTTTTTTGAAACGGAGTCTCACTCTGTCGCCCAGGCTGGAGTGCAGTGGTGCGATCCCAGCTCACTGCGACCTCTGCCTCCTGGGTTCAAGCGATTCCTGTGCCTCAGCCTCCCTCAGTAGCTGGGATTACAGGTGTGTGCTACCATGCCTGGCTAATTTTTGTATTTTTTGTAGATATGGGCTTGGCCCAGCTGGTCCTGACCTCAACTCCTGACCTTAATTGATCCGCCACCCTCAGTCCCCCAAAGTGCTGGGATTACAGGCGTGAGCCGCCATGCCTGGCCTAGAAATTCATTCTTATTGGCCAGAAGATAGAGAGTGATCTAAAGGCTCCAAGCCAGGCCAGACTGGTTTTAAGCCTTAGGGCTAGTGGATTAATGAATGAGGTTCAAGCTTCTATGGCATAGGAACTGAAGGGCACCACAATACTCAGCTTACTCAAGGGACCAACTCTAGCAGCCTTCTAAAGAGCCTGAAAAAGATAGCCTTGAATTAGGTTCTGGGGGAAAACTATTTGTCCCAATTGAAGCAAGTGTTATTAGTGACTGTCTGTGCTATGGAAGCAGGGGTTACCTGCTTGCCTGTGAGCAGTAGGATTTCTTGGGATTGATTTTGCAGAAAAATGTACCTCCATATGGCCAAACAAGCTTGCTTAGATTTGAATTATAGGATATTAAAGTGGAAAGGAATCTTAAACATCTAATTGATGGATGGCAAATTGGGTTCATTGTAAGAGTCACCTCTGACCCTTTGGTTGTGGCTGCTAAGAGCATTGGGTGGGAAGAATTCCGAAGTTTTTTCTAGAGAGAGACAGCTACGGTTCATTAGAGGGTCTAGTGGGCATGGAAGGGGGTAGTGGTTGTGCCTGTAGCAGGATTTTGCCATCCCTAGTTCTAATCCAACACTTTGAGAGCTGAGGCTCAGAGACATGAGTGATTTATAGAGGTCCTTCCTTTATTGCTTTTGTGTCACCAAATCTAGAATTAAGTCTTCTGCTTCCAAGAAAGTCAGCTGCCTCATTACCATGTAACATAGCTAGTTTCCCCATTTCATCTAGAAAATAAATATTTATTGAGGGTTGGCCAGGGGCGGTAACTCATGCTTGTAATCCCAGCACTTTGGGAGGCTGAGGCAGAGGGATCATTTGGGGTCAGGAGCTTGAGATCAGCCTGGCCAACATGGTGAAACCCTGTCTCTACTAAAAATACAAAAATTAGCCAGAAATTGCTTAAACCTGGGAGGTGGAGGTTGCAGTGAGCCGAGATTGTGCCACTGCACTCAGCTTGGGCAGCAGAGAGAGATTCCATCTCAAAAATATAAAATAATAATAATAATAAAATAAATAAATTAATTAATTAAAAAATACTTATTGAGGGCCTACTTGGTTTTCAGTACTGAAATAGGAGCTGAACATAGAGCAGTGAATGAATAGACCAAGTCCCTGTTCTCCTTGGTCTTACATTTTAGGGGAGGAGACAGGTTAGCAATTATTAGGAGAAAGCAGGAAATTTCTGCTTTCATGGGTGGGATACCAGAAGGTAAATCATGATGAAAGGAAATTTTGGGACAAATTTCCTTAGCATAGATATATTTTAGGATGATTGGGGCTTTGTGTTGTGAGCACAGGATCTCTGGAGCAGTCAAAGGGCACCGGGAACCTCATCTCTTAAGACTTGCATGCACTGTAGGCCACCCTTGGTGTCCCTCACTCTGGCCAAGCTCACTTCTTCATCATGGCCTTTGCACTTGCTCTTCTCTGCGTGGAGAAGAATGCTCTTTCCCTAGAGATCCAAATGGCTCACTCCTTCAGTGTCTTCAAATCTCTGTCAAATATCACCTTAACAGAGAGGCTTTCCCTGGCCTCTAGAGGACAAAGTAGCACATTTTCCCACGCACTTACCCTGCTTATCCTTCTTTGTAGCACCCCTCACTGCCTGCTGTGTTATTTATCTTTCAGCTTTCTCTCTAGAATGGAAGATCTATAAGAATAAGAACCTGTCTGTTCACTGAGGTGTTCCCAGACTCTAGAAAAATGTCTGTCCCATAGGAGGTGCTTAATCAACAATTTTTGAATGAAAAGTGGAGGAAAAAAAGACAGGAGAAAGCAAACTCATGAAGAAGAGTGCTGGGTAGAGTGGGAGAAGAAGAGGGTAATGGATCCAGGCCCTACAGGGATTCACTGTCCAAGCAGGAAGTCCAGGGAAAGTCACATGGCCTCCTTCAATCAGGTGAGCTGGAGCTGCTGACATCCTCTGCAACCTGGGAGCCAGTGCATGCAATGTTCCAGCTGGGTCTAAGGATAGGAGGAGGCTAATGAACAGCCACCTTTGGAGCCACAGGGTCACTTCAGTCCTCCCTGTTTATTACCAAGCTGCTGAGAGTCTTATGCACATTTCCTCTGCTCACTTGCCTCTTCACATCTCTAGCTGCTGCAGGTATTTATGTCTTAATTAAAGTGGAAAGCAGGGTTTATATATGTTTATATAAAGTTACATTTTCCTCTATGTGGGCATCACCTCTTTGTTGGAAGAAAGAGCAAATGTTAAAATTCTTAGAAGCCCAGGAGTTAAAGACTAACCTGGGAAACATTGCAACCCCATCTTTGCAAAGAGTAAAAAAATTAGCCCAGAGTGGTGGTGCATGCCTGTGGTCCCAGTTACTTGGGAGGCTGAGGCAGGAGGATCACTTGAGCGCAGGAGGTTGAGGCTGCTGTGAGCCATGATCGTTCCATTGCATTCCAGCCTGGGTGACAGAGTGAGACCTTGTTTAAAAAGAAAGAAAGAAACACCTAGAAAGGACACTAGAGATAAATCTAGTTCATACTCCTTGTTTTCTACGGGAGGACACTGAAGTCCAGGGTCACACAACCCATAAATGGCCAGCCTATGGAAACTCTGTAAGAGGTGGAGTTTGAGGAAAAGTTCCTCTTCTAAGCAGTGCCTTGGGGCTGCCTGGAAGCTTTGCTGAGCTGTGCTGGCTTCCTGGAGCTTAATTTATAGCCAGCCAGTGAGTGGAGCTAAAGCTTCACGAGACAGTGGCTTGTCTAACAGACTTGCTGGGGAATTTCTTCCTGAACATTTCCCTTTGCTGAGTGTCCAGCTCCGTCCTCACCTTTCCTTAACAGTCCTGCTGAGGAGCTTATCTCAGCCTGGCAGAACAGAGGGTCACACTTCCAGACAGCCTCTTTGTGCTACACCTAGCCTCCTCTTCCCCCCACTTTGTTCTCCTTTCCCAGTCATGGCCCCTGGCATTCTCAGCCCTAAAGCCAGGCAGCATCAGCTGGGTTTTATTAAACTTTCTAGCCTGGAGAGAAATGGAGCTGCAGAGATCCTTTCTGTTAATCTTTGGTGCAAAGAATGAGCACACCCCCAGGCATTTTAACTCCTTAAGCCAAGAAATCTGTTTAAACCCAGGGTTGCAAACTCAAATGCCTACAGTGGCCAGACAGCAAACATACTGGGAGAGATGAGCTAAGGGAAGACAACAGAGACTGTTGGGGACTGTGGCGCATTGGAGAACACAGGTGCTTTCTCAAAATGGGGGAGCAGCTACCCCACTGCTGTCATTGAAGCCTGGTGGGAATGCAGGTTGCGGGTTGCCTGAGCCTCCGACACATCAAGTGAAAGTGTAGAACCAGAATTTTAAAGCACTTTCTGGGCCAAAGGAAACCTCTCTGTGCTTGCTTGGTGTGTAAGCTGCTGGCTTAAGTCTGGTTTAAACTGCGAGAAGAGGTCCTGGTTCTGTCTACTTTTCTGCCACTTCTCCCTGCCACTCTGCCCTATTTGAGTTCCATGGTAGTGCCTGTTAATCAGGAGACATTGTTGGTCTAAGGAAGAAGCAGTTTGAAAATTATTCGAACCTTTCTCAGTGACCCATGAGCATGGCATTTGCTTGTTATTATGTCTGTTCATTCATTCAGTTATTTGACACATATTGAAGGGTATTTTATACACATATTGCTCTCTCAGGGTGCTGGAGTGAACACTGCATGGCTCTCAAGGAGCTCAGAGTCTCACTGTGTCGCCCAGGCTGGAGTGCAGAGGAGAGGAGAGCAACATGTGTGGTTGCAATGATTCAGTGTGGTGAGGACTTAATAGACATATTAAGCTGCCTGATAGACATATAGGAACATGGATGACAGAATTCTTAGCTCTGCCTGAGGGAACTACAGAAGAGTTCTAGGAGGATGCAGTGAGGTGTGAAGGTGGGAGCAGGGGAAGAGGGGCAATGGGTTTGAAAAGCTGGGTGAATGGACAAAGTAGATAACAGGATGGGAGAGCCTTCCAGGTAAATGCAGGGTGAATTTGGGCTTAGTTGTATGACAGTGTTTGGTGTGGTTGGGGCATATTGCGTAATCTGTGTGGGGTGCTGTCTGAAATGGCTGCAGAAGATGCTGGGGATGCAGAGCTCTGGGGTCAGGCCAGGTAAGGGCCTGTGTGCCATCTTAAGAACCCCATTGGGTAAACCCTGGGGAGATACTAAACTTGTATATACAGGAGAGTCGCACAGTCATATCTGTTTTATAAAGATCATTCTGGTTCCATTGATAAGCATAATTTGGAAAGGCAGGTTGGGAATGTCATGGAGTATCATGGAGGAGCTGTAGGATGGGTGGAGATTGGAAGAAGAGAAAGGTCGTCAAGTTAGGACAGTGGTTCTCAACCCTGGCCACAGTACCTATGACTAAGCCCATCCCAGACAAAGTAAATCAAAATGTCCAGGTTTGAGTTCCCAGTCTTGGAATTAAAAGTTCCCTGAGTGGCTGAGCATCACTGAGCTAGGAGACCATTGCCTGGTGGGGGAAATGTCTCAAAGGAGAGCTAGAGCTCCTGGGGAATCCTTGTGTCTTAGAGTTGGGGAAACTCAGTCCAGCAGCTCAATTTCACAGATGAGCAACTAAAGCCCCAGAAGGGCATTTGCTGTTACATTAGTGTCTTAGTCCGTTTTGTGCTCTTATAACAGAATACCTGAGACTAGATAGTTCTTAAAGAGCAGAAATTTATTTCCTCACAGTTGTAGAGGCTGGAAAGCCCAAGATCAAGGCATTAGCATCTGGTGAGGGTTTTCTTGCTGTGTCATCACATGGAGGAAGGCAGAAGGGCAAGAGATAGCAAACCCACCCCTGAAAACACTTTTTATAGTGGTATCAATTCATTTATGGGGACAAAGCCCTCATGACCTAAATACCTCCCAAGCCCTATCTCCAAACACTCTTGCACTAGGGACTAAATTTTTAACACATGAATTTTGGAGGACAAATTCAGACCATAGCAATCAGGTAAATAAATTTTTAAAGAAGTAAATAATCGATAAATAATTTGTTTTGGAAAAAGCCTGGGATTAGGCCTTGTATAGCTCTGTTTAAACTCTGCCTAAATTGCTCACTAGTTATGACTGTTAGACAAGTCACTGGACTTCTCTTAATTTCATGTTTTCATCTTTAAAATGGATTTAATGGTACTTGCCTTTAGAAGTTGTGATGAGGATTAATATTTATAAAACACCTGTGCCTGGCACACTGTGGTAAATAATAAATTCCATTATTGTTCTGGTAATTATAGTTATAAGGAAACAACTTTCTGTATCACCTTGGTTTCTGGTCTATTCTGCTAAGAAGACTGTAGTAATAAAAGTCAACTGCAAGGAGAGGAGATTTTTAGAAAGGATTCTTATGGGAGTTTTATTATGAGCTGTGATTAAACAAAAAGAATGAATGGTTTAAAATCTCTTCTGTAATTGACCACCTGCACTTATTTTTTTTTCATCATATGCTCTTAGCTCCTATACTATATTGCCTTCCAATGCACAACTGTTTCCGGTTTGTAAAAATAAGTTTTTATTTGGAAATAGTTTAAGATCTATAAGAAATTATAAAAATAATACAGAGTTTTGTGTACCTTTCATCTAACTTCCCCCAGTTATAATATCTTATATAACCATAGTTTTGTTCCTTCTTTAAAAACTGAGCTGTACTCATAGTGCTGTTGTTTCTTCCTCTTCTCACTTAACATAACATTATACACACTTTCATTTATCACAAATTCATGGCAAACATGTATTTCAATGTCTTGATGTTTCATACTCTAATTGAAGCAATTTTCTTACTATTGGACTAGCAATGGGATTCCAATTGTATGAGTTGTTTTTACTGTTTTGTTATTATTGAGCATCCTTGTGCATAAGGCTATTTCCATACTTAGGATTATTTTATTTTATTCATTTCTGAGACAGGGTCTCATTCTGTCATTCAGGCTGGAGTGCAGCAGTGGTGTGATCATAGCACTCTGCAACCTTGAACTTCTGGCCTCAAGGGATTCTCCCACCTCAGTCTCCTGAGTGGTTGGGACTACAGGCATGTGCCAACATGTCTGGCTAATTTTTAATTTTTGTAGAGACAGGGTCTTGCTATGTTGCCTAGGCTGGTCTCAAATTCCTGGCCTCAAGCAATCCTCCTGTCTCAGCCTCCCAGAGTGCTGGGATTATAGGCATGAGCCACCATGCCCAGACAGGATAATTTTTTAAAATTAATTTTAATTTTAATTTTAAGTTCCAGGGTACACGTGCAGGATGTGCAAGTTCGTTACACAGGTAAAGTTTGTGTCATGGTGGTTTGCTGCACCTATCAACCCATCACCTAGGTATTAAGCCCAGCATGTATTAGCTATTATTCCTAATGCTCTCCCTCCTACCACCCCACCCCCTGACAGGCACCAGTGTCTGTTGTTCCCCTCCCTGTGTTATGTGTTCTCATTGTTCAGCTCCCACTTACAAGTGAGAACATGTGGTGTTTGATTTTCTGTTCCTGCATTAGTTTGTTGAGGATAATGGCTTCCAGCTCCATCATGTCCCTGCAAAGGACATGATCTCATTCCTTTCTGTGGGTTCATAGTATTCCGTGGTATATATGTACCACATTTTCTTTATCCAGTCTATCACTGATGGGCATTTGGGTTGATTCTATGTCTTTGCTATTGTGAATAGTGCTGTAATGAACATCTGTGGGCATGTATCTTTATAATAGAATGAGTTATATTCCTTTGGGTATATACCCAGTAATGGGATTGCTGGGCCAAATGGTATTTCTGGTTCTAGATCTTTGAGGAATCGCCATACTGTCTTCCACAATGGTTGAAGTAATTTACATTCACACCGACAGTGTAAAAGCATTCCTATTTCTCTGTAACCTTGCCAGCCTCTGTTGTTTCTTGACTTTTTAATAATCACCATTCTGACTGTCGTGAGATGGTATCTCATTGTGGTTTTGATTTGCATTTCTCTAATGATCAGTGTTGTTGAGCTTTTTTTCATATGTTTTTTACCAGCCAGGATAATTTTTTTTAGGAGTGACTACTGAAGGTGAAATTTCTGGGTGAGAGAATCTGAATGGCTAAAAATCTTTTAATATATATACAAGGAGACTTAATAATTCCTTGTAACATGTGCATTGTAAAATAACTATGCTTGGATTTCATTTTTTTTTGCACTAAAATAAACTCATACTAACTTGTTATAACATGTCTAGACAGGATCTAGTTTGAGGGACTAAAAATGCTAAGATATCACTTTGAAAAGAGCCCCTACCAGAACAACATGAATTCTGATAAAATTGAATCAAGAACAAACATCAAATTTATGGTGGAGCCTGGGTGGAAACATGGTGAAATAATTGATACTTCACAAAATGTTTATGAGGGCAATGCCTCAAAGAAATCAACAGTTTACAAGCAGATAACTCATTTTAAGAAGGGACAAGATGATGTTGAAGATGAAACCCTCAGCTGCAGATCAATTTGTGAGGAAAAAATTAATCTGGCTTATGCCCTAAATGAGAGGACCAATGATTAATAGCAGAAACACTAGCTAACAGCACAGACTTCTCAATTGGTTCTACTTACTCAATTCTGCCTGAAAAACTAAAGTTTAACAAACTTTCCACTTGATGAGTGACAAAATCATTGCGTCGAGTAGCTGCAGAGAAAAGCAGAGCTTTCAATGTAAATTCTGAGTAAGTGTGATCAAGATCTTGAAGCATTTCTTCAAAGAATTGGAAGAGGAGATGAAACATGACTTTACCAGTATGATTCCACAGACAAGGCACAATCAAAGCAATGGCTACCAAGAGGTGGAAGTGGTCCAGTCACAGCAAAAGTGGACCAATCAAGAGGAAAGGTCATGGCAACAGGTTTTTGGGATGCTCAAGGCATTTTGCTTGTTAACTTTCAGGAGTGCCAAAAATGATAACATCTGCTTATTATGAGAGTGTTTTGAGAAAGGCAAAGCTTTAGCAGGGAAATGTCCAAGAAAACTTTACCAGACAGTCCTTCTCCACCATGACAATGCTCCTGCTCATTCCTCTCATTAAACAAGGACCATTTTTTAAGAGTTTCAATGAGAAATCATTAGGCATCCACCTGACAGTCATGATTTGGCTCCTTCTGATATCTTTTTGTGTCCTAATCTTAAAAAATCTGTAAAGAGCACCATTTTTCTTCAGTTTTTAATGTAAAAGGGACTGCGGTGACATGATTAAATTCCTAGGACCCTTGGTTCTTTAGGGATGAACTCAATGGCTGGTATCATCACTTACTAAACTGTCTTGACCTTGATGGAGCTTATGTTGGGAAACGAAGTTTATACTTTTTATTTTTGTCTTTTAATTCCATTATTCTATGAACTTTTTGAAGTCACCTCATATTTATTGGCAGTTGCTGTAGGAGAGCTGCCGGAAATGAACTGGAGGAGCAGGTGCTCCAGAAGTTGAGAGTGGGACTCCAGGGAGTACCTTGAACTGCAAGTGCTCTAAGTGCCACAGCAAGTGATGGAAGCTGCAGCTTAGTTCGAGCTAAAGCAGAAGGCTCCTACTGAGACTCAATCACATGAAGAACCCCTTCTGCTCCCAGCTGAAAAACCCAGGACCCCTGGGGCTTTACTGTTTCTGATGTGGCTGCCTACTTATGACCACTGCTGAGACTTGCCTCCAATCTACTGTGCCCGAGCTCTGGGCTGTTTTATCTTCCACATTTCAGGCCATTTCACTGAAATTTGAGTAAATGATTGATCACTTTAAAGCAAGGAACAAATGAACTTGCTGGGCAGTCAGACCTCCTTCCAGCCACACACTTTTGTGCACTCAGTGGTGGATACAATTTCATTAGCATTTGATGGTTTGTATTTTATGTGCCGTGACAGGCAGACCAATCCTAGTGATTTATCAGGGCTGCAGTTAAAGACTAAGCAGGAATGCTCTTGGGGTATGGAGTGGACATTGGTCCCTCATCAATGGTTAAGACTTCCCATGCAGACAGAGTGGTAGCTCTAGGGGAAAAAGCTGAGGTGGGGGAAGGAGAGTGTGAACTGAATTGGTGGCTAATTGCTCCAGCAAAGGTTAGAACTTGGCACTTACTATTTTACATACTGAAAATGAAAACAATATCTTACCCATGAATAGTGAGTAACTGCAAATTACCACCAGCACCACCACATTTGTTGAACACGTATGTGCCAGGCATTGTGATAGGTGTTTGACCCCATTGGCTCACTTATTCCTACATTGGTTTTTCTCTCTGTTTCATTGAGGAGAAATCTGAGGCTCAGAGAGGATTAAAGATAGGTCTACCTATGTTCTTGCACTTGCTTCCTTAGGTTTGTTATTGCCTATTATAGGGTGATTGTTGCATGAATGCTCTTAAAAATTGCAAGTTATTTTCCAACAATATCTGCTGCTTACCAAAATCCTTGTTACTCTCTTCTTCTGGGGCACACTGCTAGATTACATTTCCCAGCCTTTCTTGAAGTTTGATGTGGCCATGTGACTGAGTTCTGTAGAATGCAAGATAAGTAGAAGTGGTACACATCACTCCAGGTGCTTCTCTCCTTGTAGCTGGTTGTGATGAGAGAGTTTCCCTGGGGTATAGAAACCACATGTCAAAGATGGAAGATTCTTTGTCAGTGCTGTGTGGAACAGGAAGACACCTCTTTGCCCCCAACCCACAATTCTTTCATCTGCCTTTACTGGTTTGTAAACAACATGTAAATTTCTATTTTGTTTAGCCACCATATATTTTTGGATCTGTTTTTTTTCTGATATTAAGTTACCCAAATAATACCAAATGCCAACTCTTAACAATTCAAAAGGATCCAGCAGAGATGTTCCAACTACAGGTTGGAAGTAGGTCGAAGGGATTTGCAGTTGGAAGCAAGTCATTTCCTTAGGCCTGCAAGGGGTGGTGTCCTCCCTTGGGTATGTTTAATGGAGGTTCCAGGGCACTGCAAAACTTAATGTATTCCAAGTTACAGAACAAGCACCAGAAGTTCCTGTTCAGAGATCAGCCTATTGTTTTCTCACATAAAAAGACTTTCCCAGCAATAATAACAGTTAGATTTCTATTCCTGTTTAGGTTATCATCACCTTTGGCAGTAGCTGGAACCAAGGTTATACTAGGTCATGATAATCACAATTTAGTTTAAGTCTAGAGGATCCCAGGACTTTGTCTGACTTTGTCTTTTGAAAAACTTTCTGAGGTATTGAAATGGAGTCAGGAAGCAGTTGGTGTCTCTGTGACTCCTGTTGTTACTCTGGTAGATTGACAGGTTTACCCAGAAGGTGATGGTTTTAATGAATGAATGAATGTATGGGTTGCAATAATAGGATTGGGTTTGATGAAGACTTTCCTGGCAGTCAACTTAGGTTTTACCCTGGCATCTGACTGGAATTCTTTCTGAATACATTAACAGAAAAGCTAATAGGATGGGCACTTTATACCGTCTAAAGTTGGTAGGAGGAGAGGGAAGAAAGACCTTTTCTTTCCTTTGTTCCTGCTTGTTCTTTGGTGTTCACAATGTTTTTAGTGGGTGTGATGATGGCAGTGTGATGGACGATGCAATAGGAGAGGACCAGAGGCCATACGATGCTAATTAGATGTGAAAATATCTGAAGTAGTTTTTTGAGGGCACAATGACAATTAAGTAATTTCAGTTTTTAGTGTACATAATTATAAGATATCCAGTTTGTATTAGTCCATTCTCATGCCGCTATGAAGAAATACCCAAGATTGGGTAACTTATAAAGAAAAGAGGCTTAATTGATTCACAGTTCCGCCTGGCTGGGGAGGCGTCAGGAAACTTACAATCTTGGTGGAAGGCACCTCTTCACAGGGTGGCAGAAGGGAGAATGAGTGCCAGCAGGGGAAATGCCAGATGCTTATGAAACAGTCAGATTTCACAAGACTCACTCATTATCATGAGAACAGCATGGGGGAAATCACCCCCATGATTTATTTCCACCTGGTCCCACCCTTGACACATAGGGATTATTACAATTCAAGGTGAGATTTGGGTGGGGACACAGAGCCAAACCATATCACAGTTTTTCCAGAAATTTGCTCAAATGCTATGATCATTTCTAAGTATTTCCTGACAGCATCCCTCCTCCTCATTCCCCACAAGAAGTTGGTTGTATCCCTCCATACAGTTGCATTATACTAAGTAAACCTATCTACTATAACACTTATACTACCAAATTAATTAATTATGCAATTAATTTATTGACTTCCAAAAGTTTAATTGAACATCTATGCTGTGTCAGTTACTGCAAAGGACATAGGAATATAATCATGCATTAGACACAAGTATCTCACAGGCTGGCAGAGGAGACTGACAAGTAAATCAACAAGTGCAGGGAAGTGTGATGGGTATTATGACTGAAGTATGCACAGAGTGAATTAAGAGTTAGTGTCTAAAGGGTGGATTAAGTATGAACAGAGTGGATTAAATGTTTGACGTCTAAATTACACTGCAAGTAGTTCCTGGAAAAGCCTCTTGGAAGTGATGACCCCCGTTACAATTAAAGCTAAATCCATAAGGAGAATTGGGAGATGGCAAGGCGGAGGGTTGTCATTTAAGGTAGGGGGACTAGCACAGGCAGAGACATGGAGGTGGGAAAGAGCAAGATGCATTTCTAAGCTATTAAGTAATTTGGGAATGAGTGTGGGGGAAATGTAGGCAACATTTTGTAACAGTTGGGTTTTTCCTTCCTGTCTTTTCTTGATAGTTTTTGGGTTCTTGGATCATGCTTTATATATCTTTATATCCTGGAATCTGGAATGCCAAGAGTTTCAGTTAATTTTTGTTGAATGAATGAGAGTTGGCTAATATCAAGTCACTGACACACATGCTGGTCTCAACTCTCAGAGCTGCTGGTTTGATGTCCAGTCCTCTGGGCCTCAAGTCAGAATGGATATGGAGTTCTTCAGCTATGAAACAGCTGCAAGTTTCCTTGCAAACAACAAGAAAAGAAGCACTAAATATTTAAAGCTTAAAAGTTAAATATTATTATAAAAGTAATTTAATATAAATGACTTTCAGCAAATCCTTATCCATATTTTATGACTGCAATGGGTGTCTGATTTCTAATGTTTGTGAGCAATTAATTTTAATGGTTATGTACTCTCAATTTCCCTCTGTTTTTCTCCTTAGCAGATTCTAGGTCTGTCAAAGAAAGTGAAGACCTAGACATCAGATGTCACTGTGGACAGAAGGAGACATAGACCCCTGAGTTGAGGTTTTCAAATACAAGTTAATAGGCATTCAGAAGTTGCTAAGTGGCACATAAGCAGTGATTCCATAAATCTCTGAAGTACAGTATTGGCTTGGTGACATGATGCCTTTATTCCCTCATTGAATAGTTCCACAGAGGTAAGTGTTCTCTCCTTTGTGATTTCATAGTACCTTCATTAAATTCCCTTATAGCAAGAATAACTGTGATAATGACTGTTTTTTATTGAGTCTCTACTATGTAACAGATATCACACTGAGGCTATTATATTCTATTACACTAACCATGGAAAATTGGTATTTTATTCTCCATTTTTCAGATAAAGAACTGAGCTCAAACAATGCAGCTGCTCAAGTTCAAGTAAAGTTTTGTTTTTTTTTGTCTCTTTTTGAAATTCTCTATTGACAGGAGTCTCGTCAGTTTCTCCCTTCAAGCCCAGTAGCACAATGAAGAGGATAAGAGTACTCAGTGGATGCTCAGTAAATGTTTTTTTGAATGACTAAATGAATGAAGGCAAGAACTGGTACTATGAAAGAATAATAATAATCATCATCATCATCTTATATTAAGCACTTGCCACCTCACAAAGATCTTTTAAAGAAAAAATCTCTTCTGGGATTGAAGGGGTGACTGATTTCTCTCTAATGCAGTGTCCTCAACTGTACAAATTCTCATGCTCCTTTGCAAGGGATTTAGAGAGGAAAAGTGAGTCCCTTATCCTTCTCTTCCATAGCCTTCTGGTTCTAATCTAAGGGTAGAAGTGGCAACAAGGAAGGTTGGTTGTTTCTTGATTTTTGATCTTCAATTATGACTAAGTTCACTCTCCTTTTTATGCTGATAAGGGTCACCTTTTGATAATTTGGAAGACCCAACTTTGGCTGTGATAGAAGGGAGAGTTGTAGAATTGCATTGTTCTCTAACACTTGCACTATATGTTATGGGAAAATATTTTTGTCTTTGGTATTTCACATCTGCATCTTTTTTGCCTTGAATAAATATATCATAAATTTTTGCCTTGAATATATGTAAAGTTATGTAAATATAGTTAATTCTTCTAAATAAGTGCCTGGGATCACACAGACCATTTGCCCTTTGCAGTTTAACATTGAGTATCCCTGGTCACCTGATAGGAGAGCTCTGTAAGGGCCAATGTGGCTCTTGTGGAGGGTTTTGCTGAATGTCAGACAACAACCCAAATTCCCAAATTATGTCATCCCAGTGGGAGGCTATCTTTTTCAGTTCAATGGACATTGACTTCTTACTTTGGGCCAAGCTCTGTGCTAGGTGCTGGAGGGTCCTTAGCCAAGATCCGAAGGAATCCGTGGTGAGATGCATGTGGCAGATAGAGAAAAAAGCAGGTAGCATGGATATGCAATGCTTTGAGAACTAATGAGACTTAATGAGAAAATATGGGGGAGAAGAGGGCTGGAGTGGACAACAAGCTGTTTACAAGAGGGACTTGGGATTTGGATAGGTTAAATAACTCACCAATATTACACAGCCAGTAGGGGGCAAAACAGGGATTGAAACTTTGATTTCTCTAAGAGACAGTGAAGAGACAGTGTTACAGTTGCTTAGTCATGAAGAATCGTAAGACCTTGGTATGAAGTCTGACTTGTCTGATTAGCTATGTGACTTTGGGCATCTCGAATAATTTCTCTGAGCCAGCATTTTCTCAGCCTTCTTGATGCTGCTGCTTCAGAGGGTGGTTATGAGGATGAAATGAGATAACATTGGCAAGGTGCTGATCATCTTGCCTGGAAGCTGGTGAGAACCAACTAAATGGTAGCCGTTAGAATCTGCTGGAATGTATTTCTTTGTCAAAGCCTAACAGGGGTGAGGATTGAGAAAGAGGAAGTCCCACAGGGTCTTAGATAAGGTAGACTGTGATAGATAAGACAGTTGGGTTAGAAACTGTGGTTCTCAAACCTAGCTGCCCATTAGCATCACTTACAGAGATTTAAAAGCACAATCATCTCTGAACTCTATACCCAGAGATTCTTATCTGCAACTTAAAACAAGCTACCGGTGATTCTAACTATCCAACTAGATTGAGAATCATTGGATTGGACAATCCTAGGAGGCAGATGGCTTTGAGGTAAATTTTTGTACATCCCCACCTCTGTTTATCAGTGTGACTGGCATCTCAGCCAGTGGGTAACCAGCGAAGTGTCCTGCAATGAGCTCTGTATTGTAATATTGATCATTCCGGAGTGCTGACGGCAGGGTCACGTTGCTAACTAACCCAGCATCTGTAGACTATGTAGACTATACCCTGAAGGGGCATGATCAAAGTGACATTGCTGAGGTCAGGCCTAAGATTGATGTGTGGTGATGAGAGGTGACAAATTCAATCACAGGCCAGAAGGGAGTGGTAGAGCAGTCATACTTACAGGACCTCGGTATATGTATATAAGCCTTGGGCTACTATGCCTCTTCTCACCTGCCTAACCAGTGTTAATTTCTCCAGAACAGCAATTCCCAGCCATTAGTCACAACATGCTTGTATGTTCTAATCAATATAATAATGCTTTGTTATTATAATGAAGCACACGAATTTGTAAATAATTTATTTAAAAATTTAATAAAAATACATATTAGAATGAGATGAGGTTATCTCTGTTTTTCCTCCTCGCTTTTGCAACCAGCCAAGAGCAAGGCAGCAGCCATCATCTCTGCTTTGATAACTGCAATTGCCACTTGCTGCCCTTTCGCATCTATTCTTCCTCCTCCTTTCATTCTCCACCTAGCAGCCAGAGTAATTTTCTTAACATGTAATTCAGACCATGCCATGCTCCTGCTTAAACCTGCTGGTACCTTCTCATTGTGGTCAACATAAAATACAAACTCCTTCCCCATCCTCAAGGCCCAGTGTACCTCTTCATTGACACCTTTTTCTCTCCCGCTGGACCACTACCCTTGAGCTCTTGAAAGTGCTGAGCTCTTTCCAACCTCATGGAGTTTGCATCTTCTGTTCCCTCTGCGTAGAATTCCTTTCTTATTGTGAGACAGGCTCTCAAATATTACCTTACGGAAGAGGCCTTCCCTGACTCTGAACTGAAGTGACTTCCCCTGACACACTGCCCTCCCAACCCCATTACTTCCTATCACATCACCCCATTGATTCCCTCCATTGCAATGAACACCACCATTAATGACTAAATCTTACTTTTTATTTGTACGTCAATGTACAGCAGCTATTTTTCCACTTTCATAATGGAACCTCCATAAGGCAGGAGCCTTGTCTTTTTTATTGCCAGCACCTAGCATAGTGATATGGTTTGCCTGTGTCCCCACCTATATATCATCTTGAATTATAGCTCCCATAATCTCCTGGTGGGAGGTAATTGAATCATGGGGGCGGTTACCTCCATGCTGTTCTCATGATAGCGAGTAAGTTCTCATGAGATCTGATGGTTTTAGAAGGGGCTTTCTCCCCCTTCGCTCTGCACTTCTCCTTGCTGCTACCATGTGAAGAAGGATGTGTTTGTTTCCCCTTCTGCCATGAAGGTAAGTTTCCTGAGGCCTCTCCAGCCCTGTGGAACCATGAGTCAATTAAACCTCTTTCTTTTATAAATTATAATTTATAAATTACCCAGTCTTGGGTATGTCTTCATTAGCAGCATGAGAATGGATTAATATACATAGTATATGGCATGTAGTAAACATTTGATAAATATTTGTTGAAAGAAGGAATAGTTCAATAATTCTGTCATTCTTATACATTCTGAAATACTTTCTAGAGGAGAAAGATAGGTTGGAATGATAGCTGGCTGTAAGTGGCACATAAACTGGGCAGGCCTAGGGGAACAGTCATTTATTTAGTCAACAAATGCCTGTTGAGTATTTGATTGTCCAGGCACTGTTCTACGCACTGAAAATACAATTATACACAAGGTAACAAGTTCTCCTGCTCTTATGAAGCTTATGGAAAATATTAACAAAATGAACACGATTATTCCAGTAAGTTATAAGTTCTATGAAAACATTATTCATGACAGGATGGTGTGGTCAAGAATGATGGGGGCTACTGTAGACAGGGTGGACAGGGAAGGCTTCACTGAGGAGGGGGCTTTTATGAAGGATCCCCAGGACAGTGCTTCCTAGAAGGATCTTGTATGAAAGAAAAAAACTTTCAAAGTCACTGCTTCAGGAGATAATACTAAAGCTTTAATTAGAATCCACTTAAGTCAGATGCTATTTTGTTCCCTAATAGTGATTAGCACTGTCCTGGGTAATTAACAGCCCTTAGATTTGGGAGAAGATATAACTTAATTATCCATCTGACCTTGATTTTGTAAGTGTTGGGCCAAAAAGAAGGAAAGGGGCCAGAATATAGCTGGGGAATGGAGACAGATGTAGACCAAGCTCTATCCGGCTGAAAAGGGATCCACTGGGCAAATGGGGAATGGATTTCCTGCAGGGAGGTAAGATTCCAATGACTGAGCAACTTGCTGGTTCTTTCACACTAGATGTCCTGCTCTCTGTTTCCATGCTATTGCTGGTGTGACCTGGCCCAAGACATCTGCATGCCACCAGTGACTTTGCTCCATTGCTTCATGCACACCCACTTTTCTGGAGACTAGAATTTCAAGCTCACGGTTGCTAACCCCATCCCTACTTCAGCCTCCCTGGCTAAGGTGGGCTGGTCACCATCCAAAGCTAAGAGATCCCCTTCTAATAGAAGCGACAAATTCTTCATGCCCCCTCATTTCCTCCTCATTCGATAAATCTCTCCTAAAGTCACAGACAGTCAGACTCTGGAAAGTTGTGAATGAAAGAGATCAATTTTTTTTCCAAAGTAGGGAAAGTAATTTGTGTCTTTAACTTTTAACTTTTTTTTCCTGACTCTAATTTCTCCTTGTCTTCCTCTCCTTTTCTTCTACTTCCATTCAAGTCTGCTTTGGACTAGAGTTTCAGATTAACTTTCAATTCTTTCTTTAGTAGATTTTTAATTATCCCAAAGCCACACTGAGAGCAGGTCAGTTCAGAGGCTCCAGGCAGCTTTGCTCACATCTGCAGACCACGTAGGTATAATCTCTATGGCAACTGACCCATGTTGGTTAGGAACAAATAAGCTGAAAACCAAAGGTTAATTGCTGTTTCATTTCTGCTTCTTTTTTTCCCTTGCAAGTCCAGCATTGTGGATGGAAGTTCTAATTAAAATCAAATTATCAGCAGATTGAGCATCTTCTTTATAATTTCAGTGGTTGAAAAATTATTCTGGCTGCCTTGAAAAGGGAAAGCAATAGATGGTTTCTATTGGCCTCCATGGCTCCTCTTCCCACCTCTAAGGCAAAGACAAATAGCTTAGAGGACCCAGCCAAATGGCCTGGATCTTTGCTACACCTAAGAACAGTATGCACCTTCACTGTCACTTGATTTTGTTATTAATACTATCACTGATAGTGCTGACCATATTGGGAATTTACTTTCTGCCATGCACTGTGCTAAGCACAGATGTACATGATCTCATTTAAATTGTGAAGCAACGCCATGAGAATCTCTACGTTCTTAACTCCTTCTTACAGATGAGAAAACAGCATCAGAGGTATGAAATAGCTTGCTCAATGCCAAATAACTAATAAATTGCAGAGCTGGGTTTCGAACCCAACTTATCTGATTCTAAAGCTCTTAATCTTTAGTTGGATCCTCACATATGCACCTTGAGGCTCTGAGGTGGTTAGAGAGGCTGGGAGAAGGAGACGACTTGGTTTTCCTTGTTAGTCACTTCAAATCAATATGCTCAGGTCATATGTTGGGCTTTATGTCCCCACACAAAGCTCATCTCAAATTGTAATCTCCACTTGTTGGGGGAGGGACCTGACGAGAGGTGATTGAATAATGAGGGTAGACTTCCCCCTTGCTGTTCTTGTGATAGTGAGTGAGTTCTCAGGAGATCTGGTTGTTTGAAAGTGTGTGGCACTTTCCCCTTTGTTCTCTCTCTCTCCTGATCTGCCATAGTAAGATGTGCTTCCTTCCCCTTCACCTTCTGCCATGACTATAAGTTTCCTGAGGCCTCATAGCCATGCTTCCTGTACAGCCTGTGGAACTATGAGTCAATGAAACCTCTTTTCTTCCTAAGTTACTCAGTCTCAGGCAGTTCTTTAAAGCAGTGTGAGAACGGACTAATATATCAGGGATTTGGTTAAACTCATTATCTTCCCAGTATTCCTGAAAGAGTAATTATAAATTTAGGGAATCATGCTACACATTAAGTCTTATATACAGTTTCTTTATTTTCCTAGGATGAAAAAAATCAATATAAGGTCTTTTACTTGTCACCTTTAAATATAGTGCTCTTGTGTTCATTTCTTGCCTTTGCTCAAGTCTTCTCCCCCACTGAGGAATTCTCCTTCCCTTTCTATATTTGCCATTTGTGCTTCTCATCCTTCGAAGGCCAGTTAAAGACACAATATTCTTTATGAAATGTATTTTCTTTGATAACAATAGCTCACATTTTATCATTTATCATGACTTCTTTATAAACATTCACTTTCTGAATTGTACAGTAGTAGTTAACAATTTAAACTGCAGCTCAGATGTCCCGGATTTGAATCCCAGCTTCACTATTTAATTTAATACTTCAATGTTTTTGAGCAAATTACTTCTCTCTGTGCTCAGTTTTCTCAGCTATAAACTGGAGATCATAATAGAATCTACATTTTAGAGGGTTCTTCTCAGGATTAAATGAGTTTTCACAGGTAAAAGACTTAGAGAAGAATGCAGGCTGATAGTACGTGTTGCTGTTAGGTCCTGTCTTATTCATTAGTTGTTTTGTTTAATATTATTCAGGACAGAACTTTAATTCAAACAAATTTAAGCACAACAGTGGAATATATTGGCCCTATAAGTGGGAATTTCAGTGACAGACCTAACATTGGGATCACTGGATCCAGAGACTCAATGGTATCACTCAGCAATACTTTCTCTGTGTGCTGGCTTGATCTCAGGCAGGTGCTATATTTATGGTGCTCCCTCCATCACTAGGTTTATATCCTCTCACTGAAAGACTCCAGAGGTTAGGCAGCACCTCCCTCCTCTAACTTCAGTAAAAATTCTGGGGCTGGTTTTAATTGTTCCCGTTTACATCACTGAAGCAGTGGTTGTGGCCAGGAGGATTCAGTAAACTCACTGGCCAGGGCTTGGAGACAGAGAGTGGGGTTAGCCCTATTCAAATCATGTGGCCAGAGGGTTCTCCAAAGAGGAATCAGGGCATATGCTTATTTCAATGTCTGTCACTGCACTTTTATGGTAAGGCCTTATTGGGAGAATAGTGTTGGACTCATCTTTCATACTTAACATTGGGCAGAAGCTCAGAACAAAAACTTCCTGGTGACGGCCTTGCATGTGGTGTCTGCCCGCAGGACTAGGAAGTGAGCTGCTTGAGCTTTAGCCTGCAAACCTAGATCCATTCAAAGCTGCCTTGGAAAATCAGCACTTGGGAGAGAAGGAGCGAGGGTGTGAGCAGGACAGAGGGAGAAGAATGAGATGTACGGGAATGAGAGGCACCTTCATCTGCATTTGTAATGTTTTATTTATTCACAGAAGGATATAAAGCAAATACGGAAAGATGTTCATATTGGTTAGACCTGGGAGATGGGAACTTGAGTGTTATAATAGTCTTTGCCTTTTCTGCATGATATATTTCATAAAAAATCAATACAAAAACAACAACAAAACAAAGCAAAATCCAGGAGCAGGAGCTACTTAGCCAGACAGCTTTTTTCCTTCTGATTTTCTTGTATACCAAAAGAGAGAAGTTCAGTAATCACAGAATCCTAGGTGCTTTTCTGATGAATGTCATTTGTGAAAGCCCTTTCTGCTCTTTTATCTGAGAGGAAACATGAAGTTCAGAGTCATCTTCAAGGAAAGTTCAACAGCTTCTGGATATGAATTGGAGAAAGCTTTATTTGAAACCTTTTATGAGGAATAAGAATGTCAAAATTTATGATAATCATAATGATCCTAGTAATAATAGTTATCCCTTATTGAGAACTGATTCTCAGGCACTGTGCTAAGCACTAAATGTATATTATTTTGTTAAATTCTCCCAACAACACTGTGACGTGGGTAGTTCTGTTACTCCTACATTATAGATGAAGAAGTAGAGGCTCAGATGAGTTAAGTGACACATCCAAGGTCACACAGCTATGATATGTGGAACTTGGTCTCAAACCCAGGTCTGTCTGGTTCAAAGGCCGGTTTGGCCCCCACTCCAAGTTATTTGTTTACCCAGGAGTAGGTCTGGGCACCAACAGGCTTTGGCAGTTAGTATTTCCCTCCCCAAAGAGCATCATTAAGCACACTGGCTCTGAAGTATAAATGCCAGGCTGAGCCATGCTGCTTACTATGATTTTTAATCTCTCAAGCAATGTGAGCTTCAGGTGTACGGGGATAAAACGGTGGAAAAGAGCACTTTCTTCATTGATTTTCCTGAGGATTAGATGGGGAT
This sequence comes from Homo sapiens, assembly GCF_000001405.40. Taxonomy (NCBI): domain Eukaryota; kingdom Metazoa; phylum Chordata; class Mammalia; order Primates; family Hominidae; genus Homo; species Homo sapiens. The sequence goes on along the minus strand of NC_000011.10, from coordinate 43,112,869 downwards.
GTGCATTTAAAATGCTGCACACAGTGGTTGACAAACAGCAAGTGCTCAATAAATGTTAATTTTGTTTCCTGCCATTTCAGACAACATGGATGAACCTGGAGTGCATTATGCTAAGTGTAATAAATCAGACACAGAAGGATAAATACTACATGATATCACTTATACAGGGAATCAGAAATAGTCAAAGTCATAGAAGCAGAGAGTAGACTGGCGATGACTAGGGGCTGGCTTGGGGAAGGGGGAACTGGGAGGTATTATTCAAAACATACGAAGTTACATTTTTGCAGGATGAATACTTCTAGAGATCTACTGTACAGTATGGAGCCTATAGTTAACTATATTATAACTGTATGTAAACAGTTATATAGTTAACAATAGTTAACAATAACTGTATTATATAATTAAAATACTTTAAAATGCTAAGGGGGTAAATCTTAAATGTTCTTATCACAAATAATAATAACAATAAGGTGAGAGGAAACTTTGGTGGTGATGGATATGTTTATGGCATAGGTTGTGGTGATGGTTTCAATGAGTGTATACTTTGTCTCCAAATTTATCAAGCTGTATACATTAAATATGTACAGCTTCTAGTATTTTAATTATACCTCAATAAAGTGTTTTAAAAAGAAAAGGGAAGGTCTCACAAGTCTACTCCACGTTAGTCTATTTCATCAAAATAGAATCTCTCAGCATCTTTAAAAATTAATTTTTATCACATGAATCAACATTATGTGATTCTACAAGGCTTTTTAGTGAAAATGGACAATCCTTTTCTCAATCCTTCTTTACCTTTGACATCTAAGAGTCAGCCACTTTTGGTTCTTTTAGCTAGCTATTTTTCTGAGACTTTACCTTTGATTTTTTAAGTTAAACTCTTTATTTTGAGATCATTGTAGATTCACATGCAGTTGTAAGAAATAATAAAGAGAGACCCTGTGTACCCTTTACCCAGTTTCCCCCAATGATAACATCTTGCAAAACTACAGTACAATATCACAACCAAGATGTCAACAGTGATACAGTCAATATACAGGATATTTCTATCACCCTACGGATCCCTTATGTTGGCCTTTTGTAGCTGCACCCACTTTTCTCCTGCCTCTATACCCTCCTTTGCCCCTGGAAACTATTGCTTATCTGTTCTCCATTTCTATAAATTTGTAATTTCAAGCAGTTTATGTGAATGGAATCATACAATATGCAACTTTTGGAGGTTGGGTTTTTTCAACCAGCATAATTCTCTGAAGATCTATATAACACCCTTTGTTGTATGCATCAATAGTTCCTACTCTTTCTTCTCTCCAGCTTTGTTGAGGTATAATTGAAAAATTTAAATTGTTTAACGTGTATAGTATGACGGTCGGCTACTTTGTGAAATTATTACCACAATCAAGCTAATTAACATGTCCATCCTCTTAACATATCCATCACCACAATTCTGTCCTTTTTATTGCTGAGTAGTATTCCATGGTTTGGCTGTATCACCTGTTCTCAGCACTTTTTACATTAACACTCGTTGTGTATTCACAAGGACCCCGGATTTATTGTTAGGACCAACACCGCTTTCTTTTATTTTCGTTCCTCTCTGTAAATGTATGTTAGTTATCTTTTTCAAAATGATGCCTCCCAGCTCTTTCATGTTTATTTCCTGCTTTTAAAAATACCCCTATTTGTCATCCCCCCAACAATCTGAATTATGCTCTAAGAAAATGAAGGAAATCTAAAAATTTCTCCTTCTACATAATTTCTCTCTGTAGTGTTTTCATTGTTGGGTGCAGAAGTTCATTTGGTGATTTGCATGGAGCATTTGAAGGATCACAAGTGACCCAGTTTAACGATAACATAAGGAAAAGTCTTGATGGGGTTAAAGTTATGTTCCAACCATCAAAAGCTACACCTGGGCAAGGGAGAGCTGGGTGCTGGGCTGCATTGTCTAGAACATCCTCCAGCTGCTCTCTCAAGATGACATTAGTGACACCAGGAAATGACTTCCCTACATAATTGCTCCTTACATTCAGTTTTAGCAGCAAAATATTTAATAAATGTGTCTGTGTTTAAGGTGCAGGTCAAGAGGGAAGTGGGTTTTAGTGCATAAATAATAGATTTTCTAAATTAGTTTATTTCTCTCCTTGTCCACCTGGGTCCTTATTGCCTGCTTCTTTGGAATCCTCTCCTACTTAGCCCCACTCACAGTTCTTCTCAAGGTCAATGGTAGCAGGGCAAGTCAATTAAAAAAACTTGTCTTCCCTATTCAAGATTGCAAACATTTTAAGGGAAAGGGCTACTTATTCCCATTTTTCCCATTTTTAATTGTCACCAGCATAGTATCTTTCACATACTAAGAGCTCAGTTAATACATTTTTGTTTGAAGTGTTCTTGGTTCACAAAGATGTTATTTAAATTAAGTTTGTCTGTTTCTGGATCTTTGAGAAACATATTTTTCAGATTTTCCTCCCTGCCCACTTTTTCTTTTTCTTTTTTTTTTTTTTTAAACAACTCTAAAATTTCTTTAAAGGGCTTTGTTTGCCCATGTCCTCCATTTCTACAGAAGAGGGGACTGGGAATCAGAAAGCATCCTTTCAGTCTTGGATTCATTATTTACTAACTGAAAGATATTAAGCAATTCAATCTCTGTAAAATGGAAGTGGTAATGAATTATCAGGTTGCTGGGGCAACTTACAGATCAGTCTGCTCAGAACTTTCCAAATACAAACTAAAATATTTCTGTTGCCCATTGGGAAAGGTACAAGATGGGGGTGGGTAAAAGAGAACTGTTTCTATACGTATATACGGAGATGGGTATGCCAAAAATATGGACACTGACATTATTCTTCATTGCATATATTTTAGGGCCTGTATTGAGAGGTTTTTGATATCTTTCACTTTAATTATTTTACAAAGGCTTGCCATACATTTTCCCCTTTCATAAGGTAAAATCTCTTTATATAATTTGTTGCAATTAAGAATTCCTTTGGCTTTTCCTGCAGAGCTCTGGGGATATAGTTTTTTCTTGGAGATCTTGGTGGAACGAATTAATCTACATTTAAGCAAAATTAGAGATTCAATTACATGATAACTTTAAAAGGATAATTATGTTCGTAATGCCTTTAGCTTTATTGTCATAACTGATTTCTGAACATTCCCATCCAGTTTGGCCTCTAACTGTATGCCCAGGGTCGATGGTGATTCCCTCTTTGCAACATGTGGTTTTCATAATCTGTGAAGCATGGTCGCTCCCCTCAGGAAGGTGTTGGGACACCAAGATGCCCGAAACATTGACCATTAACCTAGATACTTCAAGATGATGGATTGCATAAGAACAAGTATAGAGAATTGTTACCGAGAACAGTTGTTGCTGAAATGTCAAACCAAGAGGGGGACACACTGGCCAACCATTACTGCTTGAAAATCAAATTAAATGGAAAGACACTAATATTTCTCTAAAATCTGTCATGTGCTACACACTGGGAAAAGGTTTTACATATTTTATTTACTCTCCACAATTAGTATCATTTCATCAATGAGGAATTGAGGGTCAGAAATGCTGATTACATAGCATGCATAAGTTTATACTCATAAGAGGAAGATTTGAATATGGATCCCTGACTCTGAGCTGATGATCTTTTCAGTGGGATGTGCTGACTTGTGGTGGAGGAAACAGGGTGACTTGGATGTGAGGGTAGATGACGATGCTGATGTTACAGGGGGGTTCTGGAAAGATGGTGACATGAACCTAACTCTGTTTTCCATTCAGTATCAATCAACTCCAATATATCTTCTTTTTGAGATGATTAGTTGGGACCTAAATGTTGCTAAGTGGAAATGAAGTTGTGGGCTCTGTGGAAGTCTTACGGGACAGAACTGGTGCAGTGCTTTCTGAGCTGTGGGTGGATGAATGTCTGGATACCAGAGAGCCTTGAGAAAGGGATTGTAAAATGGGGATGCTGGGAAGAGTTTGGCCCAAAGAGGTTTATGGACTCTGAAAAGAAGTTTGATGGTCTTCTGTGTGTGAGTAAAAGGTCTCCATGATACCTGAGACGCCAAGGAGTAGCCAAAAATATGACTTTAGTCATCCCTTGAGGAACAAAGATGCTTCCTGAAGAGGACTAATTTGTCTTTCTTCACTTGTAGACTGCTACCTGGTAGGATATTCCAACAACAACACCTGATCTCAGTGATCAAGAAAAGTAAGAGTTAAGACTGAAGCAGAGACAGCAAGGTCCAGCAGAGCACACAGAACACAGCTACAGACGGAGCTTTTGAAGGTGACAGATGACAACGTGGACAGAAAAATAAGAAGTGCACTTAAAGAGACCCAAGTACAGCTTGAGAGAACTTTCTGGAGCTAAAAAACCACTTCCCACATTCGTAGATAAATAAGGGCAAAGATGACCACTGTGAAGACAAATTACTGGCCTGAAAGAGCAATTCGAAGGTATTTCTCAAAGACTGAGTAAAAATGTAAAGAAATGAAAAACAGAGGAAAAATATAAAAGGTTTAGAGGATACAGCCATGAAACCCAATATGAGAAGAATAGATGCTCTATGTCATGAAAAAAATATGTGATTTGTAAAGAAAATATACGTTATAAATTTTTATATATATCAAACCAAAGGCACTGCATATATAAAGAAGAAATGCTAAGAAATGTCAGGAAAATTTGCTAAACATACAATGACAGTGGAAGACTTCAGTACTTCTCTTTCAGAATTATATAGGTATGTTAGATAAAAGTTACTTAAGGCCGGGTGCGGTCACGCCTGTAATCTCAGCACTTTGGGAGGCCGAGGCAGGTGGATCACGAGGTGAGGAGATCAAGACCATCCGCGCTAACACTGTGAAACCCCGTCTCTACTAAAAATCCAAAAAAAATTAGCCGGGCGTGGGGGCGGGTGCCTGTAGTCCCAGCTACTACAGAGGCTGAGGCAGGAGAATGGCGTGAACCCGGGAGGCGGAGCTTGCAGTGAGCCCAGATTGCGCTACTGCACTCCAGCCTGGGCGACAGGGCGAGACTCTGTCTCAAAAAAAAAAAAAAAAAAAAAGTTACTTAAGAACATAAACATTTATTAACACGGTAGATTTATGTATACAAGTAATTATATGTGTATATTTTTGTGTTATATTTACAAAAATCATCATAAATTTGAAGGCAAAAAAATTTACAAATCAAACATGCTGAGATTTTATAGTCCACCTTTTTAAATAGTGGTTTAATATACTGAAAAAGAATAAATGCAGATGAAAACCACAATGAGATGGCATCTTACACCAGTCACAATGGCTATTATTCAAAAAGTAAAAAAAGAACAGATGCTGGGAAGGCTGCAGAGAAAAGAGGATGGCTGGCAGGAATGTAAATTAGTTCAGCCACTGTGGAAAGTAGTTTGGAGATTTCTCAAAGAAAAAGCAGAGCTACCATTCAACCCAGCAATCCCATTACTGGGTATAGACCCAAAGGAATAGAAATTATTCTACCATAAAGACACATTCATGTGTGTGTTCACTGAAGCACTATGCACAATAGCAAAGACATGGAATCAACCTAAATGCCCATCAATGGTAGACTGGATAAAGAAAATGTGGTATATATACACCATGGAGTACTATGCAGCCATAAAAAAGAATGAGATCATTTCCTTTGCTGCAACATGGATGCAGCTGGAGACAATTATCCTAAGCAAGCTAACGCAGGAACAGAAAACCGAACACTGCACGTTCTCATTTATAAGTGGGAGCTAAACATTGGGTACATTTGGACACAAAGAAGGGAAAAACAGACACCAGGACCTACTTGAGCGTGGAGGATGGGAGGAGGGTGAGAATCAAAAAAACTATCTATTGGGTACTATGCTTATTACCTAGGTGACAAAATAATCTGCAAACTCCCATGACATGCAAGTTACCTGTATAACAAACCTGCACATGTACCCCTGAACCTAAAATAAAAGTATGAAAAAAAGAATAAAAAGTTGATACCCCCAAATCTTACAATATTAAGCAGCATAGTCTTAGATAACTATTGGGTCAAATAAAGGAGAAATTGTGGCTCATTTAGAAGGCAATATAAAAGACAGAGATGACTTAATATGCGATTGTAAGGGGTCTCTATATTCATTTCCCAGGGCTAATGTAACAAAGTACCATAAACTGGATGGCTTAAAACAATAGAGATTTCTTCTCTCACAGTTCTAGAGTCTAAAAGTCTAATATCGGGGTCTCGAGAGGGCCAGGCTCCCTCCTAATACTCTAGGGAAGGATCCCTCTTTATCTCTTCTAGCTTATGGTAGACACAGGCATTCCTTGGCTTGTGACAGCATAACTTCAATTTCCACCCCCTTTTTCATGTGGCCATCCTCCCTCTTTATCTGTGTTTGTGTCTCTTCACCTTTTCTCTTACAAGGACACCAGTCATCACCACCAGTTAAGGTGGATTAGGGGCCCACCCTAACTCAGTATGATCTTATCTTAACTTGATTACATCTGCAAAGACACTATTTCCAAATAAGGTTACATTTACAGGTACCAGAGATTAGGACTTAAACATGTTGGGGGACACAATTTGACCCATAATAAAGATAAGTGAAAATTGTATTTAGAGGAACAATCTTAGCTTTAACTACTTTTATTAGTTAAGAAAGAATATGGTGCTCATCTTTACATTGATAAAGAGGCCAATAACATGAACCAAATGACTTGGGAGAAGGAAATAATTAAATATAAAAGTTGAGACAAATTAAATATAAATCAAAAAGGCTAAAGACTAAATTTAAAGATTGGTTCTATGAAAAGAACCAGATAAATCCCTAATAAGCCTGATTAGGGAAAATGGAACAAGAAACAAAAATAAAAGATTAGAAATTAGTAAAAGTAACATGGTTACAGATATTGAAGAAATTAAAATAATAGCATTGTATTTTAAATTGTAAGATTAAGAATTATGAGCATACACTATACATCTACTATGTAGGAACATTTTGAAAATTTAGAGCGAGGGTTTGCAAGAAAGACCCATGGGCAAATCTGGCCCATTGCATGTTTCAGTACGATTCACAAGTTGAGAATGTTTTTCACAATTTTAAAGAGTTGAAAAGTAATTAAAATATATTATTTTGTGATATGTGAAAATCATATAAAATTCAGAGATCAGCATCTATAAATAAAGTTTTATTGACACACAACCACACCCATTCATTTATACATTGTCTATGGCTGTCTTTGTATCACAATGGTAGAATTGAACAGTTGTCATAGACTATGTGCTCCTCAAAGCTTAAAATACCTGTCCTGTTATAGAAAACAGGACATTATCTAGTCTCTGACCTAGAGGAGGTAGATAATTTTCTAACTAAATACAACTTATTCTCGAAGAGGTGAAAAAGTTGATAGACCAATTGTCAGAGACAAAGATGGAAGGATAATTTTAAAAATCAACTGTTGAAAAGGCCACCAGAATAGTAGATTTCACTGATGAGTTTCATTCAAAATTTTTAAGGACAGGTACTTTTTATATTATTTAAAAAATTCCAGGCCATTGAAAAAAACAAAGTTCTTCAATTCATTTTATGAATACAGTAGAAGTTTAACGCCAAAACCTGATAAAAAACATAGTACAAGAAAGAGAACTGTATACAATCTTACAAATATAAATTTAAAAATTCTAAAAAATATTAGAAAATGGAATGGTGACACATCTATAACAATGCTTTCTATTATCAAGAAGAGTTCTCTTCTAGAAATGCAAATGTTATTCAATAGAAGAAATTTAGCAAGAAAATTATAGAACTATATCCTTCTATCAATAGACTTAAAAATAATTTGATAAGCAGCCATTATACATTTTCCATTAAAATCAGGAATAGATAGTGCTGTCCATCATTGTTATTGTTCAGTATTTTCTTGGAATGTTGAACAATTTCAATGCAATTAGTAAATGCAAGAAGAAAAGAATATTAAGTAACATAAAATATTAGAAAATAAAAAGATAATATTTTCTCATTTTCTGACTATATAATATGTACCCAGATAATTTAATAGGCTTATTGCAAAACCATTAGAATTGGTAAGGGAATTTAGTAAGTAGTTGGATGGATATACAAATATAAGTAGCTATTTGTGGTTTTATCAATAAGCACTTCAAAAGGTAAAGAAAGATAAAGATCCATTCACAAAAGTTAAAAAAACTGTAAAGTGCCTTTAAATCCCAAAAAACAAAATAATAGAAATTTCGTAAAAAATTTAGGTGGTTATATGTATCAAATCAGTGAGATGTTAAGCTTTTTGACTACATGCAAATAGCTATAGTAAATAGCACAAAGTCAATAGACAAATGACAGCTTTCAAAAAATAATTATTATGCTGATGAATGACAGATAATTAATATTCTAATCTATATAGTCTTCTTAAAAACGGACACTAATGGGACAAAAGACCCAAAAGGAAAAAGAGCATGAATGCATGCACGGACACGGACTACAAGTCCAAATGTCCAACAGACACATTAAAAGAAAGTCAAATTCAACAGTAGTTAGGAAAATGCAAATTAAAATAGCAATGAGATATCACTTCCCAATATTCAGACAAGAAAAAAATAAAAAAGACTGATCTAGGGGTGCAAGAAATGGGTACTCCTATACATTGTGCTGAAAATATAAATTGTCATGGCCCTTTTGAAGAGTCATGTAACATCTATTAATTTAAAAATAGAGGCTTTGAACCTAATATTCTACCCTCAGAAATCTGTCCAATACACTAAAATCACTACCATAGAAGCATATATATACCAGGTTACTTATTACAACATTTTAGGTGGTAAAAAATTAAAAACTAAGTGAATACTTACTATTTGGGGATTGGACATATAAATTATTGTAGGTTCACGTCATGAAGTATTATGCAGCTTTTTAGAAGCATTTATGAGAGCTGCACTATGTCTCTTGATGTGGACAAATTTCCATGAAGTATGAGTAAAACAAGGTACTTGTGTGAAAGAGAATGTGTGTAACTGTATTTGAGTATTTGAGCATGGAGAAAAATATAGGACAAATACCAGTGATTAACATGCATTGTCTGAGTGGGACTAGGAAAGAAGAAAAGAGGTAGGAATCAAGGGAAAAGAAGGATAAAAAGAAAAAGATGGAAGTAAAAGATACCTAGAGCATACATAAATTTGTCTTGCGTATGCATTTTTGAACACATATGTGTACGTGTTCAAAGAAATAAAACTGAAAAGCCAGATGCCGAATTTTAAGTCAGTGCTCTTCCTTTTCTCTGTTGCACTATAACTTGCAAACTCCTTTGTTGCCATCTGACAATTGTTCTAGCCAAATGGAAGATTCCAGTTAAAAGTTCCAATGACTGTGTCAGAGAGGGCATAAAAGTCAGCTTCGGCCCTGTCTAGGGTCAAGGATCAAAGGTTCTCAGTTGAAGAAATCTGAGATTTTTAGCATATTACTTAGAATTTAGTTCTGCGCTTTTGGACTTGCTTTGTCTTCAAATGCATTTGTTTTTACCAGGTCTTTCTTTCCAGAACCATGAGGCAATGAGAAAGGAGTCATAGGTCTGGGTTTAAGTCCTGGTTCAGTTGCTTTCTTTTTGTTGCAATGTTGATTAAGCCAGTGGTTCTCAAAATTGAGCAAGCATCGGAATGACTTGAAAAGCTCGTTGAGACACTGATCTCTAGGTCTTACCTCTAGAATTTCTGATTCTATGGGTACAAAGTGGAACCTGATAATTTGCATTTCTTTTTTTTTTTTTTTGAGATGGAGTCTCACTCTGTCGCCCAGCTTGGAGTGCAGTGGTGCTATCTTGGCTCACTGCAAGCTCCGCCTCCCGGGTTCATGCCATTCTCCTGCCTCAGCCTCCCGAGTAGCTGGGACTACAGGTGCCCACCACCATGCTTGGCTACTTTTTTGTATTTTTTAGTAGAGATGGGGTTTCACCATGTTAGTCAGGATGGTCTCGATCTCCTGACCTCGTGATCCACCTGCCTCGGCCTCCCGATAATTTGCATTTCTAATAAGTTCCAGGTGATGCTGCTGCTGCTGGCCCAGGAACCACACTTAAGAAATTACTGAATTAAGCCATTCAGTCTCTTGGAACATCTCCCCACCCCCCATAGTTCCCACAATGCAAAATGAAAATAATAAGAGGCTTGTGGTCTGCTGGGGCTTTAAGGCTTTTATGACGGATTCAGTTCTTTCCTTTTGTAAATGAGGAAACAGTGGCTTAGAGACCCATGCTTATTGACAGAGCCAGGTTGGAAAACCAGGTCCTTTGAGTTGTGGTGCGGTGTCTGTAGCACCCCACTATTTAATGCTGTCTGGGTCACAGCCTTATTGCAAGGGGACATGAGATAATGCTGATGAAAGGACTTCTATGAAACACAAAAGCAAGGGTTATTATTCTCATTTATTGAGTACTAACAGTTAAGCAGTAGTGGTCTTTGAAGGGGTCTATTAAGCAGCATCCTTCTTTCATGGCTAAGTTCTAAGCCAATTGAAAAATAGCATAAAACAGATACAGGATGAAAATATTTCATTACTGACAAAGGTAGTTTGAAGGATAAAGCTTGTATCTGTTGATGATGGATTTCCAAATGCTAAACTCAAGAATTAGAATGGGAAATAAAGGTTTTCTCTCTAAAGCTTGTAATGTCAAGTACTGTGTTTGCATGCTTGATCTCATTTAACCATTTCCACAATCCTAAGAAGTAGATCATATTATTACAGGCTGAGTATCCTTAATCAGAAAATCTGAAATCCAAAGTGCTCCAAAATCGGAAATTTTATGAGTGCCAACATAATGCTCAAGGCAAATGCTCATTGGAGCATTTCTGATTTCGAATTTTCTAATTAGGGATGCTTAACTGCTAAGTTTAATGCAAATATTCCAAAATTAGAAAAAAAAATCGGAAATCCCAAACACTTCTGGTCCCAAGCATTTTGGATAAGGGATACTCAGCCTGTATCACCACTTGTCAGATGAGGAAACTGAGTTTCAGAAGTAAGCAATTTGTCTTAGGTGGAGCTTGGACTGGAACCAAAAGAGAGTATTCTTCACTGTCTACACTTAAATTATTCCAATGTTTCCTTTTGTGAGCATTTACTATACTCCAGGCACGGCTTATCAGATCCTCTATGAGTCATATGCCATCCAGGGTTTCTCACTGGAATTATGCTGTACTTACTTACGGGAGCTGAGAAGGCAGCCTGTGGAAGGTTGTTGCCTCTGTTGCTGGTCATGGCCTGGTCACTGAAAGTCAGCAGCATGGACAGTTAGAAAGAACTGGCTGTAAATTGTAGGAGAGGTAGGACAAACTATAATCTTGTCTGTTTTTCCACCTCCACCATCTTGGAGATGTGAGTAACTTACAGAAAGGCTGTCAGGTGCTCTGCCCTGGGACTCAAAGAAGCTGAAGAGCAAGGCCAAGCAACAACTAACATGGGTGCCAACAGACCAGCTACCAGATGGGTGAGCTGCAGTGGTGCCTGACCCTACACTGACCTTCAGAGCCCAGTGGCTACTGCTTCACTTCTGCCTTCCTGATCTCATGCAAATTTCTTTGTGACCAACCCTAACCCAGGACCATTCAGGTCAGGGGATTCTGGGAAATGTAGTTCCAGCTTGTCTAAATTGACTGTAGGAAAACACATTGTGGATTTTTTTTTTTTTAACCACCAGCTTTACTGAGGTATAGAAATTAAAATTGTGTAAATGGGGGTGGAGCCAAGATGGCCAAATAGGAACAGCTCTGGTCTACAGCTCCCAGCGTGAGTGATGCAGAAGATGGGTGATTTCTGCATTTCCATCTGAGGTACCGGGTTCATCTCACTAAGGAGTGCCAGACAGTGGGCGCAGGTCAGTGGGTGCAGCACACCGTGTGCGAGCTGAAGCAGGGCGAGGCATTGCCTCACTTGGGAAGCACAAGGGGTCAGGGAGTTCCCTTTCCTAGTCAAAGAAAGGGGTGACAGAGGGCACCTGGAAAATCGGGTCACTCCCACCCTAATACTGTGCTTTTCTGATGGGCTTAAAAAACGGTGCACCAGGAGATTATATCCCACACCTGGCTTGGAGGGTCCTACACCCACGGAGTCTCGCTGATTGCTAGCACAGCAGTCTGAGATCAAACTGCAAGGCAACAGTGAGGCTGGGGGAGGGGTGCCTGCCATTGCCTAGGCTTGCTTAGGTAAACAAAGCAGCCGGGAAGCTCCAACTGGGTGGAGCCCACCACAGCTCAAGGAGGCCTGCCTGCTTCTGTAGGCTCCATCTCTGGGGGCAGGGTGCAGACAAACAAAAAGACAGAAGTAACTGCTGCAGACTTAAATATCCCTGTCTGACAGCTTTGAAGAGAGCAGTGGTTCCCCCAGCACACAGCTGGAGATCTGAGAATGGGCAGACAGCCTCCTCAAGTGGGTCCCTGACCCCTGACCCCTGAGCAGCCTAACTGGGAGGCACCCCCCAGTAGGGGCAGACACCTCACATGGCCGGGTACTCCTCTGAGACAAAACTTCCAGAGGAACAATCGGACAGCAGCATTCACGGTTCACGAAAATCCGCTGTTCTGCAGCCACAGCTGCTGGTACCCAGGCAAACAGGGTCTGGAGTGGACCTCTAGCAAACTCCAACAGACCTGCAGCTGACGGTCCTGACTGTTAGAAGGAAAACTAACAAACAGAAAGGACATACACACCAAAAACCCATCTGTACATCACCATCATCAAAGACCGAAATTAGATAAAATCACAAAGATGGGGAAAAAACAGAGCAGAAAAACTGGAAACTCTAAAAAGCAGAGCACCTCTCCTCCTCCAAAGGAACGCAGTTCCTCACCAGCAACGGAACAAAGCTGGATGGAGAGTGACTTTGACGAGTTGAGAGAAGAAGGCTTCAGACGATCAAGCTACTCCGAGCTACAGGAGGAAATTCAAACCAAAGGCAAAGAAGTTAAAAACTTTGAAAAAAATTTAGAGGAATGTATAACTAGAATAACCAATACAGTGAAGTGCTTAAAGGAGCTGATGGAGCTGAAAACCAAGGCTCGAGACCTACATGAAGAATGCAGAAGCCTCAGGAGCCGATGTGATCAACTGGAAGAAAGGGTATCAGTGATGGAAGATGAAATGAATAAAATGAAGCAAGAAGGGAAGTTTAGAGAAAAAAAAGTAACAAACAAAGCCTCCAAGAAATATGGGACTATGTGAAAAGACCAAATCTACGTATGATTGGTGTACCTGAAAGTGACGGTGAGAATGGAACCAAGTTGGAAAACACTCTGCAGGATATTATCCAGGAGAACTTCCCCAATCTAGCAAGGCAGGCCAACATTCACTTTCAGGAAATACAGAGAACGCCACAAAGATACTCCTCAAGAAGAGCAACTCCAAGACACATAATTGTCAGATTCACCAAAGTTGAAATGAAGGAAAAAATGTTAAGGGCAGCCAGAGAGAAAGGTCAGGTTACCCACAAAGGGAAGCCGATCAGACTAACAGCTGATCTCTCAGCAGAAACTCTACAAGCCAGAAGAGAGTGGGGGCCAATATTCAACATTCTTAAAGAAATGAATTTTCAACGCAGAATTTCATATCCAGCCAAACTAAGCTTCATAAGTGAAGGAGAAATAAAATACTTTACAGACAAGCAAGTGCTGAGAGATTTTGTCACCACCAGGCCTGCCCTAAAAGAGCTCCTGAAGGAAGCACTAAACATGGAAAGGAACAGCCGGTACCAGCCACTGCAAAATCATGCCAAATTGTAAAGACCATTGAGGCTAGGAAGAAACTGCATCAATTAACGAGCAAAATAACCAGCTAGCATCATAATGGCAGGATCATATTCACACAAAACGATATTAAATTTAAGTGTAAATGGACTAAATGCTCCAATTAAAAGACATAGACTGGCAAATTGGATAAAGCGTCAAGACCCATCAGTGTGCTGTATTCAGGAAACCCATCTCACATGCAGAGACACACATAGGCTCAAAATAAAAGGATGGAGGAAGATCTACCAAGCAAATGGAAAACAAAAAAAGGCAGGGGTTGCAATCCTAGTCTCTGATAAAACAGAGTTTAAACCAACAAAGATCAAAAGAGACAAAGAAGGCCATTACATAATGGTAGAAGGATCAATTCAACAAGAAGAACTAACTATCCTAAATATATATGCACCCAATACAGGAGCACCCAGATTCATAAAGCAAGTCCTGAGTGACCTACAAAGAGACTTAGACTCCCACACAATAATAATTGGAGACTTTAACACCCCACTGTCAACATTAGACAGATCAATGAGACAGAAAGTTAACAAGGATACCCAGGAATTGAACTCAGCTCTGCACCAAGTGGACCTAATAGACAGCTACAGATCTCTCCACCCCAAATCAACAGAATATGCATTTTTTTCAGCACCACACCACACCTATTCCAACATTGACCACATACTTGGAAGTAAAGCTCTCCTCAGCAAATGTAAAAGATCAGAAATTATAACAAACTGTCTCTCAGACCACGGTGCAATCAAACTAGAACTCAGGATTAAGAAACTCACTCAAAACCGCTCAACTACATGGAAACTGAACAACCTGCTCCTGAATGACTACTGGGTACATAATGAAATGAAGGCAGAAATAAGATGTTCTTTGAAACCAACGAGAACAAAGACACAACATACCAGAATCTCTGGGACACATTGAAAGCAGTGTGTAGAGGGAAATTTGTAGCATTAAATGCCCACAAGAGAAAGCAGGAAAGACCCAAAATTGACACCCTAACATCACAATTAAAAGAACTAGAAAAGCAAGAGCAAACACATTCAAAAGCTAGCAGAAGGCAAGAAATAACTAAAATCAGAGCAGAACTGAAGGAAATAAAGACACAAAAAAACCTTCAAAAAATTAAGGAATCCAGGAGCTGGTTTTTTGAAAGGATCAACAAAATTAATAGACCACTAGCAAGACGAATAAAGAAGAAAAGAGAGAAGAATCAAATAGACACAATAAAAAATGATTAAGGGGATATCACCACCAATCCCACAGAAATACAAACTACCATCAGAGAATACTACAAACACCTCTACGCAAATAAACTAGAAAATCTGGAAGAAATGGATAAATTCCTGGGCACATACACCCTCCCAAGACTAAACCAGGAAGAAGTTGAATCTCTGAATAGACCAATAACACGCTCTGAAATTGTGGCAATAATCAATAGTTTACCAACCAAAAAGAGTCCAGGACCACATGGATTCACAGCCAAATTCTACCAGAGGTACAAGGAGGAGCTGGTACCATTCCTTCTGAAACTATTCCAATCAATAGAAAAAGAGGGAATCTTCCCTAACTCATTTTATGAGGCCAGCATCATCCTGATACCAAAGCCTGGCAGAGACACAACCAAAAAAGAGAATTTTAGACAAATATCCTTGATGAACATTGATGCAAAAATCCTCAATAAAATACTGGCAAAATGAATCCAGCAGCACATCAAAAAGCTTATCCACCATCATCAAGTGGGCTTCATCCCTGGGATGCAAGGCTGGTTCAACATACACAAATCAATAAATGTAATCCAGTATATAAACAGAACCAAAGACAAAAACCACATGATTATCTCAATAGATGCAGAAAAGGCCTTTGACAAAATTCAACAACCCTTCATGCTAAAAACTCTCAATAAATTAGGTATTGATGGGACGTATTTCAAAATAATAAGAGCTATCTATGACAAACTCACAGCCAATATCATACTGAATGGGCAAAAACTGGAAGCATTTCCTTTGAAAACTGGCATAAGACAGGGATTCCCTCTCTCACCACTCCTATTCAACATAGTGTTGGAAGTTCTGGCCAGGGCAATTAGGCAGGAGAAGGAAATAAAGGGTATTCAATTAGAAATCAAATTGTCCCTGTTTGCAGATGACATGATTGTATATCTAGAAAACCCCATTGTCTCAGCCCAAAATCTCCTTAAGCTGATAAGCAACTTCAGCAAAGTCTCAGGATACAAAATCAATGTACAAAAATCACAGGCATTCTTATACACCAATAACAGACAAACAGAGAGCCAAATCTTGAGTGAACTCCCATTCACAATTTCTTCAAAGAGAATAAAATACCTAGGAATCCAATTTACAAGGGACATGAAGGAGCTCATCAAGGAGAACTACAAAACACTGCTCAATGAAATAAAAGAGGATACAAACAAATGGAAGAACGTTCCATGCTCATGGGTTGGAAGAATCAGTATCGTGAAAATGGCCATACTGCCCAAGGTAATTTATAGATTCAATGCCATTCCCATCAAGCTACCAATGACTTTCTTCACAGAATTGGAAAAAACTACTTTAAAGTTCATATGGAACCAAAAAAGAGCCCGCATTGCCAAGTCAATCCTAAGCCAAAAGAACAAAGCTGGAGGCATCACGCTACCTGACTTCAAACTATACTACAAGGCTGCAGTAACCAAAACAGCATGGTATTGGTACCAAAACAGAGATATAGATCAATGGAACAGAACAGAGCCCTCAGAAATAACACCGCATATCTACAACTATCTGATCTTTGACAAACCTGAGAAAAACAAGCAATGGGGAAAGGATTCCCTATTTAATAAATGGTGCTGAGAAAACTGGCTAGCCATATGTAGAAAGCTGAAACTGGATCCCTTCCTTACACCTTATACAAAAATCAATTCAAGATGGATTAAAGACTTAAACGTTAGACCTAAAACCATAAAAACCCTAGAGGAAAACCTAGGCATTACCATTCAGGACATAGGCGTGGGCAAGGACTTCATGTCCAAAACACAAAAAGCAATGGCAACAAAAGCCAAAATTGACAAATGGGATCTAATTAAACTAAAGAGCTTCTGCATGCAAAAGAAACTACCATCAGAGTGAATAGGCAACCTACAGAATGGGAGAAAATTTTCGCAATCTACTCATCTGACAAAGGGCTAATATCCAGAATCTACAATGAACTCAATCGAATTTACAAGAAAAAAAACAAACAACCCCATCAAAAAGTGGGCGAAGGTCATGAACAGACACTTCTCAAAAGAAGACATTTATGCAGCCAAAAAACACATGAAAAAATGCTCATCATCACTGGCCATCAGACAAATGCAAATCAAAACCACAATGAGATACCATCTCACACCAGTTAGAATGGCAATCATTAAAAAGTCAGGAAACAACAGGTATTGGAGAGGATGTGGAGAAATAGGAACACTTTTACACTGTTGGTGGGACTGTAAACTAGTTCAACCATTGTGGAAGTCAATGTGGCGATTCCTCAGGGATCTAGAACTAGAAATACTATTTGACCCAGCAATCCCATTACTGGGTATATACCCAAAGGACTATAAATCATGCTGCTATAAAGACACATGCACATGTATGTTTATTGCGGCACTATTCACAATAGCAAAGACTTAGAACCAAGCCAAATGTCCAACAATGATAGACTGGATTAAGAAAATGTGGCACATATACATCATGGAATACTATGCAGCCATAAAAAATGATGAGTTTATGTCCTTTGTAGGGACATGGATGAAATTGGAAATCATCATTCTCAGTAAACTACTGCAAGAACAAAAAACCAAACACTGCATATTCTCACTCATAGGTGGGAATTGAACAATGAGAACACATGGACACAGGAAGGGGAACATCACACTCTGGGGCCTGTTGTGGGGTGGGGGGAGGGGGTGGGAGGGTAGCTTTAGGAGATATATCTAATGCTAAATGACGACTTAATGGGTGCAGCACACCAGCATGGCACATGTATACATATGTAACTAACCTGCACATTGTGCACATGTACCCTAAAACTTAAAGTATAATAATAATAAAATAAAAAAATAAAAAAATTTGTGTAAATGTAAGATGCGTAGTCTAATGATTTGATATATGTATGCATTGTGGATTGATTACCACAATCAACCTAATTCACATATGCATCACTCCACATAGTTACCATTGTGGGTTTTGTGTGTGTGTGGTGAGAATATTTAATATTTACTTCCTCTGCAGAATTCAAATATACATTACATTGTTATTATTCATAGTCACCATGCTGTACATTAGATCTCCAGAATTTAGTAATCATGTAAAACTGAAATTTTGTGCTCTTTGACCCACATCTCCCCATTCCCTAGCCAGCCTCTGGCAACCACGATTCTACTGTCTGCTTTTTTGAAATTCTTTTGCATATACTATTTCATTGATCTTCAAAGCAATCATCTAAGGCAGAAGGTCCATTTTCCAGATGGGGAATTAACAGGTTACATAACTGTTCTAAGATACAAATTTGCCTAAGGTATACAACCCCAGTATGGGGTTTTGAACTCAAATCTGTTCTGTGTGACTTCCAACTTTTTCATAGCCACTGCACGATGCTGCACACTAATTTTTCTCTAAGTATCACTCTGTGCTACTTGTATGGGCACTGATGACACTGACATAAAGTAAGAGGGGTGACACAATACTGCTCAGGGTATATTTGGACCCCAAAATTCTTTTCTCTCCTATCCTCATTTCCTAGACTTGAGCTTCCTAGACAGGACACTGAGATTGGGTTAAGGCTTGCTGAGATATTGATCCACCCCTCCCCTCACACACACCTTGGAGTGGGCTGGGCAGAAGGAGCTCTGGGAAGGTATCTCCAAGCCCTTAGCAGTCTCATCCCTTTACCATGTGTGTGCCATGTCTTGAAGGCTGGGGAGCAATACTATGGTCTCCTGGGAAATGGCTTACCTCAGAGAGATGGGCTTTGTTGGCCTCTTGGAGAAGAACCTAGGAGAGAAGTGGGGTGACCTGAAGTACACTCTGTTAGCATGATTGAAGCTGGCTGCAGAC
The DNA here is from genome assembly GCF_000001405.40 of Homo sapiens. Taxonomy (NCBI): domain Eukaryota; kingdom Metazoa; phylum Chordata; class Mammalia; order Primates; family Hominidae; genus Homo; species Homo sapiens. Next base: position 43,094,007 of record NC_000011.10, on the reverse strand, counting down.
AGTGGTGGAAAAAGCCTTCCTGTGACACTGTCAGGCTCCCGGGTAGCAGCCAGGTATCTTGGTTTTGATTTTTGTTTTATAAACATTTTCTCTGCCTGTCGGTTCTCCAAATGGAGCCAAACACATCTCTGTGGCAGCTGAGGCATAAGAGCCCCAGTGAATATGGAGGAAGCTCTGCTCCAAAACAGGCATAAAAGGGAGAAAAAAAAAGGTTTGTTTTTTTATCACAGAGTCTGGACAATACTGAGGGGGAAAAAATCACATTACAGAATGTTAAATGGAAAATGTTTTTCTCCTTCTGGAGCTGCAGTGGAGGCTCATGAGCTGAGGACATTGGTTGGTAATGCTTACATCCTCTGTAAAGAAAGTTATCAATACCATTTGTGCAAGACATGCTAAGAGATGACCACCAATGCCCATTCCTCTTAACGAGTGCATTTAAGAAAAGCCTAGACATTCTTTAAGACAAAGCAAAACAAAATTTGTCTCTTAGGTTGGAGTATTAGTCTGTTCTCATGCTTCTAATAAAAACATAGCTGAGACTGGGTAATATATAAAGGAAGGAGATTTAATGGACTCACAGTTTCACGTGGCTGGAGAGGCCTCACAATCATGGCGGAAGGTGAAAGACATATCTTACATGGCAGCAGGCAAGAGATAATGAGAGCCAAGTGAAAGGAGAAACCCTTATAAAACCGTCAGCTCTCGTGAGACTTATTCACCACCACGAGACCAGCATGGGGGACACCTTTCCCCTCATGATTCAATTATCTCCCACCAGGTCCCTCCCACAACATGTGGGAATTATGGGAGCTACAATTCAAGATGAGATTTGGGTGGGAACACAGCCAAACCATATCAGTTGGATTCTCCCAGAAGCAGAACCCCTCAGCTCAAATAATTTCCAAGTAATTTATTTAAAAAGTGTTCCCAAGAGAAACCAGCAAGGAAGTGGGAGAATGGACAAGGAAGAGGAAGACTCAAACAAGGTGAAATCCCTGAGGCTTGGGTGTGTAAATGACACCTCCAGGTTTTTTCTGCCTCAAGGCAAAAGTACCCTCACATGGAGCCTGCTCTCAGCTTTCAATGCTCAGTCATCTGTAGGTCACTAGTGGGATTATCAACAGCAAAGCATTACAGAATCTGGGGAATGAGGTGATAAAAGGGGTCCCAGGGAGACTTAGGTACAGGAGGTGCCGCAGTGTCTTCTACAGAAGGAAATTTGCAGAGTAGAAAGCACTTCCTCTCCCCACCCCTGCATCTCAAGCCAAAAGAAGGAGCCCTAAGAGAATTACTCACAGAGACTTGGGCTGTTGGCACAGGAAGAGCTTTGTTTCTCTCGCATCTCTGCTCTAGTCTAGCAGGATGCTTGCTGAGCTGAAGGAACTCTTAGGCCCACACGAGGCTGCCACTGCGCCAGAGTGGAGTGTGATGAGAGTTCTGGGGAGAGCTTGATTTGTGCCTTCTCGACTTTCGTGGGCATCAAGGCTGGAGAAATGGAATGAAGAACAGCTCACAAGGGCATGGTGAGGAGCTGGGCTGGAAGTGGGAGCTTTGTGCCTCCTGGAGGCTACAAGGTTTAGTGATCAAGGGTAGAGACCTCAGAGCTAGATTGCCCAGGTTTGAATCTTGGCTCTGCTGTTTACTAGCTGTGCAATCTTGGGCAAATTTCTTGCGCTCTCTGTATCTCATTTTCCCTATGAATAAAATGGGGATAATACTATCACCTTCTTCATGGGGTTGTTATAAATATTAAATGCAGACTTGGCATATGTAAGTGCTTAATCTACTGCATACACCAGACACACACACATACACGCACATATATAATACACAATATAATCCAATATATATCTTATATTTTAGATATTACTAAGCAATTACTCAGTCATTCTGTAACCAGGCATCTGACTTTAAAGACTATGGTCTCAATCCTAAGCCCCCATTGTTAAAAACAGAAGAATCATACTTGAAAAAAAAAAAGAAACTATGGTCTCAATCACTACACTGTACTGATCTTGAATACATATTGTATTGCAAAAGATAAGCTAGTGAGCTTTGAAGTCAGCTGGCTTGGATCTAAATCCTAACTCTGCTATTACAATTTACTGTGTCACCTTGAAAAATTATTGAGCCTTTCCAAGATTAAAATCATATCACCTTCATTGAATTGTTAGAATTAGAAGAGATAACATGTATAAAGTATATAGCAGAGTGCCTAGCATAGAGTAAGTTCTTGGTTAACTATTATTGTGCTATTTCCCTAGGCCTGGTTCCAGTGCTGGCTTTTTGTCCCTGTTGAGAAACTGCAGGCTTGGGGTGGGGAGAAGGGGAAAAGAGAGAGGCAGCAAAACCAGTATGAGAAATGCATCTCTCCATGAGAGGGTCTAGGACAAAGAAAAGGGAAAGAGAAAAAAGAATTAAAAGTGATGAAAATGTCACCGACTATTCATTAGTGACTTGGGACTTTAAGTATTAGTCATTTGACTTTCCTTTTGTGTTTTATTTATTTTCTACTCAGCATCATCAAGCCCTGAGTTAGGTTTTAAAATTGAATGAATCATCCCCTTATCCTTGAGAACTGCATCAGGGACACAAAATATTATCCTCATTTCACCAGTGAGAAACTGATAAACAGAGAGGCCAAGGGATTGGTGCAAGTTCACAAATCTAGAAATAGTATCTGTGGTCAGGAGGCTGGCCTTCAGATTTCGCTGCATCCCCGGGTTGTAGGAGGCAGGCTCTGTCAGGAGGTGAACAGCAAAAGCGGCTTTATGAACATGGAAGACATGGGGAAAACACTATGTCAGTTGATCACCTATCATGTGGCAGCTACTATGTGAAACATTTTACATTTGTGTTATGTCAAATTCTCACAACCATCCTATGAACCTACGTATAAATCCTATTGGGTTCTATAGTCTCAATAGATACATGAGCCAGCTCAGGAGGATTTAAACTGGTGTTCCTGACTCCAGAATTTGTAATGTTCTCATTATGTCAGGCTGCTCTTGGATAGTTGGTTCTTGTTTCTATTTCAGAAGGAGTCTGAAGGCTAGTGGGGTGAATCTTTGTATTCAAAGCCACCTCCACCTCCCCACCCAGTTCTAGGAATCCCTGATCCTATTCTGTGGCAACGGGTTGCTCCCATTTCCATTTGTTTGCTGCCACTTCCTGCTCTCTCCCCGCTCTCTAAAACCTGAGAACTGGAGGGATCTTAGTGATATTTTCCAGGGATGACAAACCCTTTGCAACCATGCAAGTATTTAGACAGTGGTTATTTACTATATAACGTAATTCATATCTATAGATATTTGTTGACTCTTGGCTCAAGCCAATACCTTGTTAGATTCATTTCTTTATCTCTGGAACCTGGCAAGACTAATCACCCTGTTCTAGCCCATAGCTCAGTTCAAATCCACAAGATTCCAATAGCAATAACAATAATAGTAATAGTAGTAGAAAAATAACTACCATATAACAAACCAGTGGCTCATACAAACCTTATTTCTTCTTAAAAAAAACAGGTAATAGCTATGTTTATTTTTCCTAATTTTAAAGATAATGAAACTGGGAGTTAGAGAAGTTAACTTAGTTGTCTAGAGGCACACATCTAGTAAGAGAAAAAGCTGGGATTTGAACCTAGGCATGGTTAATTCCAGAGCCTCTCCTTTTAATAATTTACCTTCTTAGTCAGTTAGCAA